>NC_000023.11:152051363-152354393 GCF_000001405.40 Homo sapiens
ATTTTATAGTTTGAGGTCTTACATTTAAATCTTTAATCCATTTGAAGTTAATTTCTACCTGTGATAAAAAGGTAGGGGCCCAGCTTCAACCTTCTGCATATGGCTAGCCAGTTATCCCAGCACCATTCATTGAATAGGGAGTCCTTTCTCCATTTCTTGGTTTCCTTGGCCTTGTTGAAGATCAAATGGTTGTAGGTGTGTAGCTTTATTACTGAGTCTTCTATTCCGTTCCATTGGTCTATGTGTCCATTTTTGTACCAGTACCAAGTTGTTGTGGTTACTGTGGCTTTATAGTATAGTTTGAATCTGAGTAGTGTGATACCTCCAGCTTTGTTCTTTTTATTCAGGATTGCCTTGGCTATTCAGGCCCGTTTTTTGGTCCCATATGAATTGTAAAGTAGTATTTTTCTAATTCTTCACAGAATAGCTTTGGTAGTTTGAAAAGAATAGCACTGAATCTGTAAATTGCTTTTTATGATTTTGGTTCTTCCAGTCAATGAGCATGGAATATTTTTCCATTTATTTGTGTCCTCTCTGATTTCTTTTAACAGTTCAGTAGTTCTCCTTGTAGAGATCTTTCACCTCCTTGGTAAGCTGTATTCCCAGGTGTTTTCTTTGTGCCTAATGTAAATGAAATTGTGTTCTTGATTTGACTCTCAGCTTGAATGTTATTGGTGTATAAAAGTGGTACTGATTTTTGTACATTAATTTTGTATCCTGAAACTCCTAAAGTTGTTTATCAGTTCTAGGATCCTTTTGTCAGAGTCTTTAGGATTTTCTAGGTATAGAATCATATTGTCTTCTTTTCCTATTTGGATGCCTTTTATTTCTTTGACAGCCTAATTGCTGTGGCTAGGATTTCCATTAGTATGTTGAATAAGAGGGGTGAAAGTCAACATCCTTGTCTTGTTCCAATTTCCAAATGGAATGATTAGAGCTTTTCCCATTTAGTGTAATGTTGGCTGTGGGCTTGTCATAGATGGCTCTTATTACGTTGAGCTATGTTCCTTCAATGCCTAGTCTGTTGAAAGTTTTTATTATGAAGGGATGTTGAATTTTATTGAAAGCATATTCTGCATGTATTGAGATGATCGTATGGTTTTTGCTTTTGATTCTGTTTATGTGGTGAATCACATTTATTAATTTTCATATGCTTAGCAAGCCTCGTATCCTAGAAATAAAGCCTACTTGATTGTGGTGTTGGAACTTTTTGATGTACTGCTGGATTCAATTTCCTAGTATTTTGTTGAGGAATTTTGCATCTGTGTTCATGAGGGATATTGGTCTGAAGTTTTTATTTTTCATTGTGTCTCTGCCAGATTTTGGTATCAGGCTGATGCTGGCTTCATAGGAAGAGTTAAGGAGAGGCTCCTTATCCTCGATTTTTTAGAATAGTTTTGGTAGGATTGGTGTCAGTTCTTTGTATGTCTGGTAGAATTTGGCTATGAATCCATCTGCCACAGGGCTTTTTTTGTTTGGTAGTTTCTTTATTATTGATTCAATTTCAGAAGTTGATGTTGATCTAGTCAGAGTTTCAATCTCTTCCTGATTCAATTTTGGGAGATTTTGTGCTTCCAAAAATTTATTCATTTCTTCTAGATTTTCTAATTTGTATACATAGAGTTTTTCATAGTCGTCTCTGAGGATCTTTTTACTTCTGTGGGATCAGTTGTAATGTCACCTTTGTTGTTTCTGGTTGTGCTTATTTTGATCTTCTCTTTCTTTTTCTTTGTTAATCTAGCTAGAGGTCTATTAATCTTATTTATTTTTTGAGAACCAACTCTTTGTTTCATTAATCTTTTGTATAAATTTTTGCATCACAATTTCATTAAGTTCTTCTCTAATCTTAGTTATTTATTTTCTTCTGCTAGCTCACCCTCAAGTAATCTTAATCCATAGTTGGGCACAGGTGACTTGTCCTTGCACATGCCATAAGGGACATAAAACCTCTCTGTGAGTAGATGATCTAATCTAGTGACTCCACATTATTTTGTATACATATACACACACAAATATAATATCTGACATCAAATTTTTAAAAAATACAAGTCTTGTCAGAAGAGAAAACCAAATAATCAAAATATCAAGCGAACAAAACAAGCAATAATAAGAGACCCACAAATGATACATAAAATGGAGCTATTAGCACATACTTTAATTGTGATTAATATGTTTAAGGACATAAATTACAACATATAAAAGTTCACCATAGAACTAGAACCTATAAAATAATAAATAGATAATTGTAGAGTTAAACAGTAGCAACTCAAATGAAGAACTTAATATAGGGGTTAAACAAGAGATTAGAGTAACAGAAGACAGGGTAAGTGAATTAGATGAGTGATTAATAGATAAAGATGCCCACCTTTACCACTGTAATTCAACATTTTAGTGAAAGTTATAGCCAGATGAATCAGGAAAGAAAAAGAAACAAAAGACATGCAAATAATAAAGAAATAGTTAAAACTATCTTTATTCACAGATGACAAAATCCTACAAGTAAAGAATATACTAAATAATATATACAAATGTTATGTTGTTAAGGATAATAATAACTGAAATCTGCAAAGTTTCTAGGTACGGATCAACTTGCAAAAATTAGTTGTATTTTCGTACACTAGGACTGAAAAATCTGAAAAAAAATTTAAGAATGTAATTTTATTTATAATAGCATGAAAACATAAAAGAGTAGTAAATTTAACCACAAAGGTGTAGGACTCTTACAATGAAAATTTTAAAATGTTGAAAGAAATTAAGTGTGAATTGCCTAAAAAAAAGGAAAGTCATTTCGTGTTCATGGATTGTAAGACTTAATATTGCTAAGATGTCTATACTTTCTAAAGTGATAAGTAGATTAATTGCAAATCCCATAAAAATCTCAATGGCCTATTTTACAGAAATGGAAAAGTTGATCCTGAAATTCATATGGAATTACAAGGGGCCTTGAATTGCCAAAACAATACTGAAAAAGAAGAGTGAATTTGGAGGACTCACACTTCCTGATTCCAAAACATATTAAAAAGCTACAGTAATCAAAATGGTCAAGTATGGGTATAAGGATAAACATATAAATCAATGGAATATAATTGAGAATCCAAACAAAAATAGATACATGTATGGTCAACTGATTTGTGACAAGGTTTCCAAGACCATTCAAAGGAGGAAATAATAATCTCTTCAACAAATGATGCTAGGACAATTGTATAACCACATACAAAAGAATGAAGTAGAATTCTTACCTTACACAATATACAAAGATTAACTCAAAATGGATCAAAGATATAAATGCAAGATGTGAAACTATAAAATTCTTAGAAGAGAACATAAGGGTACATATTCATTACCTTGAAATTGGCAACAGATTTTTAAAATATGACGAAGCAACAGAATAAATAAGTAAATTGGAATTCATCAAAATTTTGAAAATTGTCAATGGGAAGGCACTATCAAGAAACTGAAGGCAAACTATTGAGTGGTAAAAATACTTAAAGATCATATATGTGATAAGTGTCTAATATCCAAAATATGTAAAGAAAAGCTAAAACTCAACAACAAAATGACAAGCAACCCAATTAAAATAAGCAAAGGATTTGAAGAGACATTTCTCCAAAGAAGGTATACAAATGGACAACAGGCACATTAAAAAATGTTCAACGTTTGTCATTAGGAAAATGCAAATCAAAACCACAATAATATGTTAGTTTACATTCACTAAGATGGTTGACACTAAAGAAATAAAAATGGAAGATAATAAGTGCTGGTGAAGATATGGAGAAATTTGAACCCTTATATATTGCAGGTGGGAATGCAAAATGTTGCGGCCCCTTTGGAAATCTGTTTGGCAGTGCCTAAAGAAGTTTTTGTTTTTTAAATGTATATAGAGTTTCATGATCTTTCTGCACTTGCTCCTATTATGTTTTGACACAATTTGAAAAAATGAGTTATGGTTGAAAACACTTAAGTAGAATCAAACAAAGACTTACGAAGAAGAAACGTAAATTAACTATTGGAAATTGAATCCAGTTTAACCTGGACTTTCTCAATTATTTATTTTCCCTTTTTAAGCTAAGCAATAGAACTTTTACATCATACCAAAGAACATGGCTTTACAAAATGAGATTACTCAACCTCCATCTAAAATGAAGGTTAAGATTTTGTTCTTTGGCAATCTTAATATTTGCTAGAATAGTATAAAACAGAATGACAAAATGTCTAAGAATTTATACACTAAAGGGACTTTCAAAATTCTTATAAAGCGCCTCAGAATTTTTTTAACTTTTATTTTAAGTTCAGGGGTACACATGCAGGCTTGTTATATAGGTAAATTTGTGTCACGGGGATTTGTTGTACAGATTATTTCGTCATCCATGTATTAGGCCCAGTACCCATTAGTTATGTTTCCTGATCCTCTCCCTCCTCCCAACATCCACCGTCTGGTAGGTCCCAGTGTGTGTTGTTCTCTTTTATGTGTCCATGTGTTCTCATCATTTAGCTCCCACTTATAAGTGAGAACATGCAATATTTGATTTTCTGTTCCTACATTAGTTTGCTAAAGACAATGACCTCCAGCTCCATCCACAATCCTGCAGATAACATGATTTCATTCTTTTTTGCGGCTGCATAATATTCCATGTTGTATATCTGCCACATTTTCTTTATCCAGTCTACCATTTATGGGTATTTAGGTTGATTCCATGTCTTTTACTATTGGGAATAGTGCTGCAATGAAAATATGTGTGTATGTGTGTTTATAATAGAACAACTTATATTCCTTTGGGCATATACCCAGTAATGTGATTGTTGTGTTCAATGGTACTGCTGTTTTTAGATCTTTGAGGAATCATCACACTATTCTCCACAATGGTTGAACTAATTTACATTCCCACCAATAGTGTGTAAGTGTTCCCTTTTCTCTGCAACCTTACCAGCAACTGTTATTTTTTTTTTTTTTACTTTTTAATAATATCCATTTTCGTTGGTGTGTGATGGTATCTCATTGTGGTTTTGATTTGCATTTCTCAACGATCACTGATGTTGAAATTTTTTGTAATGTTTCTGTTGGCCGCATGTATCTCTTGTTTTGAGAAGTGTTCTTTCCCAATAGAAGACATTCAAGAGGCCAACAAACATGAAAAAAAAGCTCAACATCACTGATCATTAGAGAAATGCAAATCAAAACTACAATGAAATACCATCTCACACCAGTCAGAAAATAATTTATTTATTTATTTGAGATGGAATCTTGCTCTGTTGCCCCAACTGGAGTGCAGTGGCATGATCTCTGCTCACTGCAGCCTCCACCTCCCAGGTTCAAGCAATTCTCATGACTCAGCCTCCTGAGTAGCTGGGATTACAGGCATATGCCACCATGCCCGGCTAATTTTTGTAATTTTAGTATAGATGGGGTTTCACCATGTTGGCCAGGCTGGTCTCAAACTCCTGATCTCAACTGATTCACCCACCTTGACCTCCCTTAGTGCTAGGATTACAAGCATGAGCCACTGTGCCTGGCCTGGAATGGCTGTTATTAAAAAGTCAAGTAACAACAGAGCTGGTGAGGTTGTGGAGAAAGAGGAACACTTTTACACTGTTGGTGGGAATGCAAATTATTTCAACCATTGTGGAAGACAGTGTGGTGATTCCTCAAAGATCAAGAAGCAGAAATACCATCTGACCAGCAATCCCATTACTGGGTATATACCCAAAGGAATATAAATCTTTCTATTATAAAGATACATGCACACGTATGTTCATTGCAGCACTATTCACAATAGCAAAGACATGGAATCAACCCAAATGCCCATTAATGAGAGACTGGAGACTGGATAAAGAAAACGTGGTACATATACACTATGGAATACTAGGCAGCCATAAAAAGGAATGAGATCACGTCTTTCCTGGATGGACCTGGAAGCTGTTATCCTCAGCAAATTAATGCAGGAATAGAAAACCAAACACCACATGTTCTCACTTGTAAGTGTGTGCTGAACGATGAGAACACATGGACACGTGGTGGGGAACAACACACAATGGGACCTATGGGCAGTGCAGGACAAGGGAAAGCATCAGGAAGAATAGCTAATGGATGCTGGGCTTAACATGTAGATGATGGGTTGATCTGTACAGCAAACTACCATGGCACATGATTACCTATGTAACAAATATGCACATCCTGCACATGTACCCTGGAACTTAAAATAAAAGTTGAAGAAAAAAGAAGTGTTCGTTCATGTCCTTTGGCCACTTTTTTTAAAAATTTCATTACTATTATACTTTAAGTTCTAGGGTACATGTGCACAACGTGCAGGTTTGTTACATATGTATATATGTGCCATGTTGGTGTGCTGCACCCATTAACTCGTCATTTAGCATTAGGTATATCTCCTAATGCTGTCCCTCCCCTTCCCCCCACCCCACAACAGTACCCGGTGTGTGATGTTTCCCTTCCTGTGTCCATGTGTTCTCATTGTTCAATTCCCACCTATGAGTGAGAATATGCGGTGTTTGGTTTTTTGTCCTTGCAATAGTTTGCTGAGAATGATGGTTTCCAGTTTCATCCATGTCCCTACAAGGGACATGAACTCATCAGTTTTAATGGCTGCATAGTATTCCATGGTGTATATGTGCCACATTTTCTTAATCCAGTCTATCGTTGTTGGACTTTTGGGTTGGTTCCAAGTCTTTGCTATTGTGAATAGTGCCGCAATAAACATACGTGTGCATGTGTCTTTATAGCAGCATGATTTATAATCCTTTAGGTATATACCCAGTAATGGGATGGCTGGGTCAAATGGTATTTCTAGTTCTAGATCCCTGAGGAATCGCCACACTGCCTTCCACAATGGTTGAACTAGTTTACAGTCCCACCAACAGTGTAAAAGTGTTCCTATTTCTCCACATCCTCTCCAGCACCTGTTGTTTCCTGACTTTTTAATGATCGCCATTCTAACTGGTGTGAGATGGTATCTTATTGTGGTTTTGATTTGCATTTCTTAAAATCCTCAATAAAATACTGGCAAACCAAATCCAGCAGCATATCAAAAACCTTATCCACCATAATCAAGTGGGCTTCATCCCTGGGATGCAAGGCTGGTTCAACATATGCAAATCAATAAATGTAATCCAGCATATAAACAGAACCAAAGACAAAAACCACATGATTATCTCAATAGATGCAGAAAACGCCATTGACAAAATTCAACAACCCTTCACGCTAAAAACTCTCAATAAATTAGGTATTGATGGGACGTATCTCAAAATAATAAGAGCTATCTATGACAAACTCACAGCCAATATCATACTGAATGGGCAAAAACTGGAAACATTCCCTTTGAAAACTGGCACAAGACAGGGATGCCCTCTCTCACCACTCCTATTCAACATAGTGTTGGAAGTTCTGGCCAGGGCAATCAGGCAGGAGAAGGAAATAAAGGGCATTCAAGTAGGAAAAGAGGAAGTCAAATTGTCCCTGTTTGCAGACGACATGATTGTATATCTAGAAAACCCCATCGTCTCAGCCCAAAATCTCCTTAAGCTGATAAGCAACTTCAGCAAAATCTCAGGATACAAAATCAATGTACAAAAATCACAAGCATTCTTATACACCAATAAGAGACAAACAGAGAGCCAAATCATGAGTGAACTCGCATTCACAATTGCTTCAAAGAGAATAAAATACTTAGGAATCCAACTTACAAGGGATGTGAAGGACCTCCTCAAGGAGAACTACAAACCACTGCTCAATGAAACAAAAGAGGATACAAACAAATGGAAGAACATTCCATGCTCGTGGGTAGGAAGAATCAATATCGTGAAAATGGCCATACTACCCAAGGTAATTTATACATTCAATGCCATCCCCATCAAGCTACCAATGACTTTCTTCACAGAATTGGAAAAAACTACTTTAAAGTTCATATGGAACCAAAAAAGAGCCCACATTGCCAAGTCAATCCTAAGCCAAAAGAACAAAGCTGGAGGCATCATGCTACCTGACTTCAAACTATACTACAAGGCTACAGTAACCAAAACAGCATGGTACTGGTACCAAAACAGAGATATAGATCAATGGAACAGAACAGAGCCCTCAGAAATAATGCTGCACATCTACAACTATCTGATCTTTGACAAACCTGAGAAAAACAAGCAATGGGGAAAGGATTCCCTATTTAATAAATGGTGCTGGGAAAACTGGCTAGCCATGTGTAGAAAGCTGAAACTGGATCCCTTCCTTACACCTTATACAAAAATTAATTCAAGATGGATTAAAGACTTAAATGTTAGACCTAAAACCATAAAAGCCCTAGAAGAAAACCTAGGCCATACCATTCAGGACATAGGTATGAGCAAGGATTTCATGTCTAAAACACCAAAAGCAATGGCAACAAAAGCCAAAATTGACAAATGGGATCTAATTAAACTAAAGAGCTTCTGCACAGCAAAAGAAACTACCATCAGAGTGAACAGGCAACCTACAGAATGGGAGAAAATTTTTGCAACCTACTCATCTGACAAAGGGCTAATATCCAGAATTTACAGTGAACTCAAACAAATTTACAAGAAAAAAACAAACAACCCCATCAAAAAGTGGGCAAAGGATATGAACAGACACTTCTCAAAAGAAGACATTTATGTAGCCAAAAAACACATGAAAAAATGCCTTGCCCACTTTTTAATGCAGTTGTGTGTTTTTGTAAATTTGTCTAAGTTCCTAATAGATGCTGGATATTAGACCATTGTTGGATGCATAGTTCGCAAATATTTTCTCCCATTCTGTAGGATGTCTGTTTACTCTGTTGTTAGTTTCTTTTGCTGTGCGGAAGCTCTTTAGTTTAATTAGATCCCATTTCTCAATTTTTCTTTTGTTGCAATTGTTTTTGGTGTCTTCGTCATAAAATCTTTGCCCATTCCTATGTCCAGAGTGGTACTGCCTAAGTTGTCTTCCAGGGTTTTTATAGTTTTGGGTTTTATATTTAAGTCTTTCATCCATCTTGAGTTTATTTTTGTATATGGTATAAGGAAGAGGTCCAGTTTTAATCTTATGTATATGGCTAGCCAGTTATCCCAGCACATTTATTGACAAGGAAATCTTTTCCCCTTTGCTTGTGTTTTTTGACTTTGTTGAAGATCAGATAGTTGTAGGTGTATGACCTTATTTCTGGGCTATTTTGTTCCTTTGATTTATGCATCTGTTTTTGTACCAGTACCAAGATGTTTCGGTTTCTGCAGCTCTGTAGTATAGTTTGAAGTCGGGTAGTGTGATGCCTCCAGCTTTGTTCTTCTTGCTTAAGATTGCCTTGGCTATTTGGGCTCTTTTTTGGGTTCATATGAATTTTAAATTACTTTTTCTAGTTCTATGAAGAATGTCATTGGTGGTTTGATAGGAATAGCATTGAATCTGTAAATTATTTGGGGCAGTATGGCCATTTTAATGATATTGATTCTTCCTATTCATGAGCATGGGATGTTTCTCCATTTGTTTGTGTCACAAGAAGTTAATCATAGAATTATCACTTCACCAAACAATTCTAGTCCTGTGTATATACCCCCCAAAATTGAAAACAAATGTTCAAAGAAATACTTGTATATGAGTGCTCCAAGCAGCATTATTCATAATAACCAGCAAGCAGAAGCAACTCAAATGTCCATCAAATGATGAATACATAAGCAACATGTGATATATCCACACAATGAAATATTATTAAGCCATAAAGGAATGGAGTACTGGTACATGCTACGACATTGATAAACCTTGAAAACACCGTATTATGTTATTCCTTTTATATAAAATGTTTAGAATAGACAAATTTACAGAGACAAAAGCCAGATTTGCGCTTTCCAGGTCCTGGTGGTAGGGTTTATAGAGAGAGTGACTGCTTAGTGGGCATGAGATTTCCTTTTGCGGTCAATGAACATGTTCCGGAACTAGATCGATAATGATTACACAACACTGTGAATGTCCTAAATGTCACTGGGTTATACACTTTAAAATGGTTAGGATAGCAAATTTAATAAGCATATTTTACCACAATTAAACAACGAAACATGAATCTTAGAAAAATTCTTCCAAGAATAGTAAACAAACATAATATTTTGAAACGTATTTTATGAGACCTGAAAAGTATTGATACCAAAACCTAAAATGGGTTCCAAAAGAAAGAAAAAGTATAGGCCTACCTTCCTCATAGATGCAAAAATCCCAAATAAAACTTTTTCAAACTGAACCTACAGACATAGAAAAGGGAGAATACCTAGTGGGGTTTATTTTAAGAATGCAGTATTTGTTTGGTATTTGAAAATAAATGAGAAAAGACATGAAGAAACCTTGTATTTTGGAATGAAAAGACATGAATCTAATCATTAACCTGGTCTTGATCCACAGCCAATCTACAGACCCTGAATGAGAAATATATCTTTGTTGTTTAATTACATAGGAATTTTTGAAGTTAATATTTAGCAAAAGTTAAATAATAGATATGGATTTACCATATTTATGACTTGGTAACCAATATTGGAAAAATGTCAACTGTCTCAAAATTAAGCCATAGTTAGTACATGTAGAATCAAAATCTTAGTATTATTTTTTGTTGTTGGAGAACTTAATAACCTGACTCTAAAATATATGTGGAAATCAAAGTGCCAAAAGTAGCAAAGTGTATCTTGAAGGGAAAGAACAAAATAGGAAGGCTTACAATGATAAATAGCAAGACATGTTAAAAAAAAAGGTATAGTAATTAAAACAATGTGGCATTGACACAGAGACACAAATAGATGAAACAAAATAGAGTCCGTAATCATCCATATATAGATCTTATAAGATCTTCTGATTTATGACAAAGATGACTCTTTAATCCAGAGGGGAATAGATGATTTTTAAAACAAATGGTCTGAATGTATAAGTTACCCATGCATTGGGGAAAAAAAAATCAAATCCTAACGAGTATATCACACCATACACAAAGATCAATTCCATATGGATAGTAAGCATAAATGCAAAAATTAAAACAATTAAACTTTTTAAGGATAATATAGAATATCTTCATGACTTTGGAGTAAGCAATACTTTCTTAAATTAGAAAAAAGGCATAATAAAAATATTGATAATTTAGACCTCATTGAAATTATGAACACTGATCATCAAAAGATACCATTAAAAGATAAAAACTTGCAAGCCATAAAGTGGACTAATATACTGGCAATATATATTAGACAATGCATCCAGAATGTATTTGTGTGTGCTTTTATACACAAATACTCCAGAAAATCATTAAGAAAAAGACAGAAATCCTCCCCTCACCAAAATGGTCAAAATACTTCACAGGGACTTCAGCAAGAAGAATAAACAAATAACTAATATATGAAAAGATACTGAAAATAATTAGTCATCAGGGAAATTCAAATTAAAACAGTGATGAAATTCCACTGCCTACACAAATCAGAACAGTTAAAAAAAGAGGCAGAAATTAGCAAGTGCTGAAAAGTTATAGAGAAACTGGATCTCTCATTGACTGCTGGTGAGAATGTAATTGGTACATTTTTTCTGTTCTCAATTATGGATATAAAATATACACACAATAAAATCATCTTTGTAGATATACAGTGCTATGAATTTTTACAAACAGATAAAGTTATATAACTACCACTACAAGATATAGAACATTTACATTACCCTAAAAAGATTCCTTATTTCTTTTTGTAGTAAATCTCCTCTCCCCACTCAGCACCTGGTTAACTTTGATCTGTTTTCTGTCCATATAGCTTTGCCTTATCAAAAATGTCATATATTTAAAATATTAATTTCACTTACCCAAATATTCTGCTCCATCACTCTTTTTTTTTTCTTTTTTTTTTGAGAGGGAGTCTTGCTCTCTCACCCAGACTGGAGTGCAGTGGCATGACCTCAGCTCACTGCAACCTCTGCCTCCCAGGTTCAAGCAGTTCTCCTGCTTCAGCCTTCTGAGTAGCTGGGACTACAGGCACGTGCCACCATGCCCGGCTAATTTTTGTATTTTTAGTAGAGACGGGGTTTTACCATGTTGGTCAGGGCTGGTCTTGAACTCCTGACCTCGTGATCCGCCCGCCTTGGCCTCCCAAAATGCTGGGATCACAGGCGTCAGCCACCGTGCCCAGCTACTCTATCACTTTCAATGTGCACATAGTTACCATTTCCAAGTATATGTGCACATAAAATGTCAGCATAATTTGATCAATTTTATGTTGTTGCCTTCTTACCTTGTTTTCATCATTCTTCTGAATTATGAAAACTGCTGTGAGCATTCTATTACGGTTGTCTCTGTATACTGGTCTGTATGTCCCTTTGAGATAAATTCTAAGTCAGATAAAGTGGGTAAAATGCAAGCTCTACTAGGTACTGGCTATTTTGCAAAATATTTTTATAAAAGTGGAAGAATACTAAAAAGAGAATGTCATATAAATGAAATCATACAGATACAGTAATTAGACTTGATTCTGAATCCTTTTACATAGCAAGATGCATTTGAGATTCATAAATGTCGTATGTATCAGTAGTTCACTTCTTTTTATTGCTGAGTAGTATACCATTTTAGGGATGTATCATAGTATGTTTATATATTCGCCAGTTAGTGAACATATGGGTTTTTCAAATTTTTGTTCTTTATGAATAAAACTGCTAAAACATTCATTAACAAGATTTTACATGAACATTGATTTTTTCATTTCTTTTGAATATATACCTATGAATGAAATTGATGTGTCATAGTGTAGTATATGCTTAAACTTATAAGTAACTGCTATACTATTTTACAAAGTGGTTGTATCATTTTGCATTTCCATAAGCAATGTGTGAGAATTCTAATAACTGCATCCTGTCTAGCACTTGGTATTTATTGTTGTTTTTTTAAAAAACATTCTAATAGGTATGTAGGGGTATTTTATATTGATTTAAATATGCATTTCCTCATAATTATGTTGAACATGTTTGTATGTGCCTATTTGCCATCTATATCTCTGATGAAGCATATAACAAATATTTTGTCAATTAATATATTCAATAGTGTGTTTTCTTATTATTGAGTCTGGGGTTTCCTTATATATTCCATATATACATTCTTTATGAAATATGTGATGTGCAAACAATTTTTCCAAGCTTGTGGCTTGTCTTTTCATTCTTTTAATGTCATTCGAATAATAGAAATTCTAAATTTTGATAAACTCTAATTCATCAGTTTTTCTCTTATGGCTCTTGCTTTTTGTGTCCTATCTAAAAAAATATTTGTCTAACCTAAGGTTTCAAATATTTTCTCTTATGTTTCATGTAGAGGCTTTATAGTTCTTGTTTATATATTTAAGTCTATGATACAATGCAAATTCATTTTGTATATGGCATAAAATAAAGGTCAAGATTCTTTTATTTTTCTTATAAATGTCAATTCTTCCAGCATCATTTACTAAAAGCACTATGCTTTCTTCACTAAATTTCCTTTACATCTCCGTTGAAAATAAATTTACTGTATATGTGTGCATCTTCTTCTGCTAACTCTATTTTGTCCCATTGATCTGTTTGTCTGTATTATGGCCAATCCCACAAAGTCTTGGTTAATTCAGCTTTATAGTGAGTGTTGAAATCAAGTAGTTGAATCCTCCAACTGTGTTCTTCATTTCTAAAATTTCTTTGGCTTTTCTACTTATTGCTTATTTGCTTTGTTTTGCTTTTCCAAAATCAGCTTATAGTTTTCTATTAAAAAATCCAAAGCCCTGCTGGTATTTTGACTGGGATTATGTCAAATCTATAAATTTGGGAGAATTGATATCTTAATAACATTGAAACTTCAAATACATGAATTTGGCATAGCTTTCCAATTATTTTGGTCTTTTTTTGATTTCTCAAACCACTGTTTTATCAATTTTTAGCATACAAATTTTCCTTACAGTTTGTCAAATTTATCCCTATATATTTCACATATTTTGCTTCTGTTGTAAACGGTACTTTTAAAAATTTTCCAATTTTAGTGATTCATTACCAGTATATGGAAATATTATTGATTTTTTAAATTGACCTTGTGTGCTGCAACTTTCTTAAACTCACTTATTAGTTCCAATGGCTTTTATGTGAATTCTTTGGAATTTTCTAAGTAGAAAATTCAGTCAACTGTAAATACACTCAGTTTAATTTTTTTTCTAATATGTGTGCTTTTTAAATGTCCTTACTGCACTGGTTAGTATCCCTAAAATAATGTTAAATATAAGCAGAGAGAGTGCATATTCTTGTCTTATCCTAATCTTAAAAGGAAAGCATAGTGCATTTCAGTATTATGTATAACGTGAACTGTAGATTTTTCGTATATAAACTTTTCTGAGTAAAACAAGTTCTTTTTAGTTCTTAATTTGCTAGGAATTTTATCATGAATTGGTGCTGAATTTTGTCAACTGCTTTTTCTTCATCTATTGATATTATATTATTTTTCTTCTTTATCCTTAATTAATAAATGTATAACTATTTAGATTATCTATTCTTTCCTGAATGAGCATTGGTGGTTCATATATTTCAAAGAATTTGTCTATTTTTTCATCAGTTACCAATTTTGTTGGGATAAATTCAATTATATGAGGCCCTTATTATGCTTTTAAGAGCCTTATTGATAAAGAATTTACCTACCTCAAATTTCACCTGTTTCAAGTGTGTAATTCAATGATTTTTAGTAAATTTATAGAATCATACAATCATCTAAGTTCAATTTTAGAACATTTCCATAATCCCAAAAAGATCACTCATGCCCATTTGCAGTCAATCCCCATTCCCATCCCCAGACCCAGGAAAATACTAATTTCTGTTTCTATAGATTTGCCTTTTCTGGATATTTCACATAAATAAATCCATCCAGTATGTGTTCTCTTTTTGACTTACCAGAACATTTTTGAGGTTCATTCATGTAGCTCAGCAGTATTCTTCTTTTCTCTTCTAAAATTCTACATGATCTGTATTAATAGTGCCTTTTTATTCCTCATATTGCTAAACTGTGTCTTCTCTCACTTTCACACATACAAAAGGTTTATCCTATCAATTTTATCAATAATTTCAAAAAAATTGTATTGATCTTTCTGTATTGCTTTTCTCCCTCAATGCCATTGATTTCCTATCTTTATTATTATTTTTCTCTGCTTACTGTGCATTCAGTTGTTCATTTATTTTCTTAAGGTGGAAGCTTCATGTTTATTAGTCTAATAATTGAGGAAAGTTTGTGGATGTCATGGCCCAACCTCAGTTTTAGACAGAATCTGTGTGGCTAGGTCTCAAAGATGGTGTTTCCTCTGTGTTCCTTTCCTGCTTCTCCTCTCCATAGGAGCCAACCTCTGCCTTGTTTTGGTGGCAGAGACAGTTTTCTGCCTCTTCCTTAGTCACTGTAGAATTATAATTGTATTGCTAGACCTCTTTAGCTCAGAACTGTTTCTGCCACTCTCCCACGGTGTTTTTGTTTTGCTTTTTTTAGGGGGCGGGGGGAAGTTGGGAGGGACCTCTATCAATTTCCAAGCAGTAATTTGCGTTTACCTATCTCTGTAGGTAACAAAATTAGCTTCTCTTGTTCCTGGTGACTTAAGCATTTTGCTTCATGTGAAGGAAGATTTTGAAGAGAATATTTGGTCATCTTGGTTTTTGTGCAGTGACATCCAATACCTTCTTACGTGTCTGCACCACCAAGGTGGACTCTGTTCTCCCACACCGGAATCAATCTTTCTGACAAAAAACCCAGTAGAGGTTCAAGGAAAAGAGTTCATGAGTGAGTCCAAAGTTCTCTGGTGTCTAGGGCTCCCAGGCATCCTGTACAGTCATGCTAGACATGCTCGGCCTTTGGAATTTGTTAAAAGTTAAATGATTATCTTACCTGTTTGTATGGCCACTAGTACTTCTTTCTCCTATGCTCTGATGCAGATGAACTGGTACACATATCGTGTCTCTCTTTGTGACCTCAGATTACTGATTGTATCAAGAAATATTAGAATTTTGTACTTTACCTTATTACTCTTGGTGTTAAGGTGGGAGCAATGTTTTTCCAAGCTTCTATAATCTAGGTGGAAATGGAATTTTGTATTAGTACTTTTGAAAAGACTGGAGGCATCTGCCAAATCTAGGCATATGCATATTCTATGAACCACCAGTTCCACTTCTACATATACAAATAAGAATGTGTACCAAAATTCACACACAAGAATGTTCATAGTAGCATTTTATCATAGTAGCATTAGCTTAAATCTGAAAAAAACGTAAATCTCTTAAAATACTATAATGGCAAAATAAATCGTTGTACATTTATACAATGAAATACTATATACCAATGAAAATAAATAAACTATTAAAAGCAACAACATAAATGAATCTCACACAAAAATTTAAAATAAAAAATGTAACAAGGGAATCTCGCAAACATAATTTGA
The DNA here is from genome assembly GCF_000001405.40 of Homo sapiens. Taxonomy (NCBI): domain Eukaryota; kingdom Metazoa; phylum Chordata; class Mammalia; order Primates; family Hominidae; genus Homo; species Homo sapiens. The sequence goes on from NC_000023.11 coordinate 152,067,774, forward strand.
ATAAAATAGGTCAGATAGAGAATACATGCTGTGTGATGCTGTGTGATTCCACTATTATAAAGTTCAAAACAGGCAAAACAATGAGATTAAAATCAGAAGAGTAATTATCTCTGGGTTGATTGGATAGGGAAGTTAGAAAAGTCGGAAGGGAATTTCTGGGATGCTTGTTATGTTCTATTCCTTTTTCCTTTTTTGTTTAGTAAACATTTTTTGGAACAATTTTCTATTTACAGTAAAATTGTGAACACAGTATTGAGAATTCTCACATATTCCATAGCAGTTTCCTTATTTTAATATCTTACATTAATATATTATTATATAATTATGAACCCACATTAATATATTATTATTAACTAAAGTCCATACTTAATTCAGATTACCTTAGTATTTACCTAATTTTCCTTTTCTGTTCCACAATTCCATCAGGATGACATACGGCACAGCAGAAATTGATCATCAGCTGGAAATGATATATAACAGGTAAGGCTGAAGTAGGCCTGGAAAATTCAGGTAAGTTGCATAAGCAAGTGACTCAGACTGATACCTGCTATATTGAATCTTCTCACTGTATTTACAACTATGGCTTAATATAGACCAGTTGACTGAGAAGGAAATATCAGATCTATTTTATAGACATTTCTGCATGATATTCTGGAAGTGGACAGGTGTAGCGTTAAAGCCCCACTCAGAGGTAGCCCTGAAAGATAGGGGTGAAGGGAATTTTCCCAGTTGGCAAAGCTTCATGCTGTATGTTTCGCTGTTTACTTAGTCTGGAATAAAAGATGTCCAGAGGTACCAGTCTTTACTAATTTGTTATCACTTCTTAATGATTTGGCTGTATGGCCAGGGACTTTGAAAGAATGCAATTGGAAGATTGGTGACAATGAAAGACCACTCAGAATGGTCACAGAGCGTGAAGGTATTTGTATGTCATATGAATGCTCACTAAAGGGCATATACTGCAGAGAAGGTTCAATAATTATGTGGACAAAAAAAAAACACATTCTGTGAATTTCTGTTGGCCCTTTTTTTTAGTCACGCAAATCCTTACTCAACAGGTTCCATAAACAGAGTGGCTGTAGTGGCAGGGATAGAAGTTAACAAATAGGCTCAACAACTTATCTGGTTACTATGACTGTTGATTACCTTACCTGTCAACATAAGAGAAGAGTACTGAGCCCTGGACATGGCAACATTTCCTTGGGGGAGACCAGCTAGCCATGTGGTGGCAGCTTGATTATAATGGCCTTTATTCCGTCAATGAGAAAGAAGTGGTTCATCCCCACTGGAATTGACATGTTATGAATATGAGTTTGGCTCCTCTGTCTAAAATACTTCTGTGAACATCACAGTTCATGAACTTATTGGTTGCCTAATCAACCATAATAGTAATTGAACGTAGTATTGCTTTTGATGAAGGAAATCATTTCACTGCAAAATAATTGAAAATGTGCTCATGCTGAAGTAATTCACTGTTTTACCACATACCTCATTACTCAGAAGTATCTGGCATAATACAATGATATAATAGTGTACTATGGGGTTAAAACAACCAGAAATGTTGTGGTTCTATTTTACAGGATGTGCTATATGCTTTGAACTAGGAACCAGTTGTCTTAGTTTGCACAGGATGCCATAACAAAATTCCATAGATTGGGTGGCTTAAACAACAGAAATCTATTTTCTCATAATTCTGGAAGCTGTAAGTCCGAAGTTGACGTTCCAGTAGAGTTCTGGTGAGGGTCTACTACTTAGTTTCCCAAAGGCCACCTTCTCACTCTGTCTTCACATGAAAAAAGAGTGATGTCTGGGTCTCTCTCCTCTTTTATGAGAATACCTGTTCTATTGGTTCAGGGTTTCATCCTTATGACCACATTTAACCTTAATCACCTCCTTAAAGGCCCTGTCTCCAATACAATCAGACGGGGAGTTAGGGCTTCAACATATAAATTTTAAAGGTACATAATTTAGTCCATAACACCCAGAGTGTGAATCAAGGAGTCTCATTCCATTGAATTGTAAGGTGAGACAATGACCTGATCATTTTGAGATCTTCATTCTACTGAACCATGAGGTAAAGAAGGATTATTATAATGGCTGGTATGATTGATCCTGATAACCAAGTGGAATTGGGTTGCTGCTACATAATGAAGGCAGAGAGTACTATATCTGGAACAGTGGAGATTCTCCTGTGCCTTTTTTAAATACAGTTATGCACCACATAACAACATTTCAGTCAATGATAGATCATGCATGTGACAGTGGTTCCATAAGGTTATATTGTATCTTTACTACCCCTTTTCTATGGTTGGATGTGTTTAGATACACAAATACTTACCATTTTGTTACAATTGCCTGCATTGTATTCAATACAGTAATATGCTGTACAGGTGTGGAGCCTAGGAGCAATAAGCTGTACTATGTAGCCTAGGTGCGTGGTAGGCTTTACCATCTAGGTTTGTCTAAATACACTCTATGATGATTACACAATGATAAAATCGCCTAATGATGCATTTCTCAGAATGTATCCCCATCATTAAGCAATGCATGACTGTACTTCCACCAAAATAAAAGTTAATGGGAAATTATAGTAACAACAACAACAAAAAAAAAAGGTAGGACCATTAAGCTTCAGATTTTTCAGGGATGAAGGTTTGAGTCATGCTACCAGATAAAGAATTCCATCCAGTTGAGGTCACAGGTGAAGGCAAAGAGCAAGTTAAAAATTCCACTATGGTCTCATGACAAGGTACAGAAACATGGATTATAATAGCTATTCATATTTTTTCCTTTCTCTTATATTTCCTCATACTATTTAATACAAGTTTATTTGGTGGTTAACTTTACAATTTTATCTTTTTATAAAAGAATATTCAGCACTGTGACTGAATTTGTGGAGAAATTAATATATCTCAGAGCCAGATTATGTGATTGTTTCCCAGAAGTAGATGCAAAAATTTTAGGGTCTTTCCATCTCCTCACTTTGAAGAAAGGATGAGAATGTCTACTTTTGTACAGAGGATACTCTGTTCTTATCAGACAGACACATAGAGTGGTTGTGTTGTTTCATGAAAGTGTAGAAGTATGGTATAGAAGTATAGAAGGGTACGTATGCAACCTCTGCCTCCTGGGTTCAAGCAATTCTTGTGCCTCAGCCTCCCAAGTAGCTGGTATTACACGTGTGTGCCACCACACCTGGCTAATTTTTGTATTTTTAGTAGAGACAGGGTTTCATCATGTTGGCCAGGCTGGTCTCGAAGTCCTGGCCTCAAGTGATCTGCCCACTTCAGCCTCCTAAAGTGCTGGGATTACAGGTGTAAGCCACCATGCCCGGCCTTAGCAATACACTTCTGTTATCTGCTAGTCTATTCTCTAACTCTGCTCATTACTCAACAGTTCACAGGGAAAGTCTATGGGCTCAGAAAGCTAACAGAAGGGCTAGCTTGCCTTTTTATTTCAGTCTGCCATCCCATTTCTACCTTGGGATATGGGTTTCTCTTTCCCCAGTGCCACACATGTACAGCCAATCCATCTGAATGGCTTCCAAGCCTTAAAACCCAGGGTCCTCTTCTTTATTTAAATCCCATCAGAGGCTCCTTAAAGATGGGTTGACTGAGTTTCATAATCCTATCCTATGCCCTGGGTGAGTCTTAAAGCTCATGGACTCAATGGAGAAGCCCAGAAGTAAAGACTGCAGCTCCAAATAATCTTCAGAGTAGGGCACAGAGAGGTATGAAGAGCCTTAGTCCAGGAGGTGGGGGTGGGGTGTGGGGAAGGAGATCCAGTCCTAGTCCGGCACTGTCACTCACTTCATCTATGACTTTTAATGGGTCAGTTACTTACTCTGAACCTTCTATTTCCCATTTGTCCACTAATGGGATTAAACTAGATGATCTCTAAGCACCCCTTTTCACCCCTGCTTCTTACTGGCTTTGCTAACTTGGTTATAAGGATTTGACTGCAGAAAATCTGAATCTAAGGATAGGGTCAGAAAATATTAATTTAGACATTAAAATTCCCTAGAGGCCTTATTTGCTTGAGGAGCTTACATCTTTGTGCCATGTTGCTGAGATGATTGGTGAGCATATGCCCTCCAAGGAGTCTGCTGTTACTTGAATCTCAGCAAGTAATCTTGATAACTGATAAAAGAAAAGTGTTCATCTTGTATGAAAAAAAAGAAGAAAGACTGGAACGGTAGCAAAATTTATATCATCTGGTAGAGAAAGGTTAGTTATAATCGACTTTGTTGGAGGCTGGAAAGGAATCTTACAAAGGGAGAACTTGGATTGGCAAAGTAGCTACCCTCCCAGGACTGATGTCTGATCCCAAGTGGTCTTATCAGAAAAGGAGGGTATGTGTATGACTTTTAGGCTACCATGCCTTTCAATGGAAATGGAGGAGTAGGCATCTAGCACCTGCCAAATCAGCCTGTCTCCCAGAGCCTGATCTCTGAGTGGGATGAATTTGCATTGTGCCCCCTACATGCACACTTGTGCATGTGCATGTACACATGAATACACATGTCCACATATGTTCTCTCACACACAGGCACACAACCACACCTGTAGCCCTCACAGGGCCTGGCAGAACAAGGCGCATGTTACATGAAGTAAGCAAATAAACAATGGAATGAGTCATCTCTAGGGCCGTAACATTGTCTGAATTGGAAAAATAGCTGAGAACCAGCTTCTGGACATCCCTTAACCACTCCAATGAGTCACTGCATAGCAGACCCTGCCAAGTGCAGCAGGAGTTTTCTCTCCTCTTCTAGAAGGTCCTCGCCAGTAGAATTGCCCAGGGCAAATGACACAAGTGGGCGAGGAGACACTTTTGAAGAGTGACAGTTTGAACAAGAGAAGAGAGGAAAAGGGGCAATGAGGATAAAGAAGGCAGTAGCAGTTAGCTGGCATGATATTGGAGCTGGTGGACCTAAGAGCAGAGTGGAATTGGAAAGAAGCTGGGGCAGGACATGAAGGGATTTTACCACTTGAGGTGGCCTTAGGCCAAAATAAAAGCAAATCATATTCTTGAAAATATCACATACCACGGAAGAGAGAAAGGCTCGGGAGAAATCATCCCAACAAATAATTTTAAATTGCCCAATTTCTAGTTATCAGTTTCATTCACAGGCATTATCCCATGCATGTGTTCTCTCCCTCCAGCTTGCTTTCCCTTACATCCTAGTCCTCAGCAACAGGCACTGATAACAGTCATTGAGTGCTTACCATGGGCCAGACCCTTTCCTGAGCACTTTACACATATTCACTCATGTATTCCTCATTCTCATAGGCCTAGGATATAGGTGCTACTATTATCATTGTCCTGCCTCACAAACAAAGAAGCTGTGATGAAGTTTTGTAGTGAAGTTATCCAAGATAACAGTTGGCAAGTAGCAGAACTAAAACTTGATCCCAGGCAGTCTGACTCCAGGGAGAAAAAATCTTAACCATTATGTCAAACTGCCTTTTTTACTGACTGCAGTGACTAGAACTCTTTAGAAAGACCAGTCCTTTCATTTATAAGTGAAAACATGCAGTATTGGTTTTCTGTTCCTGCATTAGTTTGCTAAGCACAATGGCCTTCAGCTCCATCCATGGCCCTGCAAAGGACATGATCTCATTCTTTCTTATGGAAAGCTCAAATTGTATGTAAGATTTAATTTTTTGTTTTTTTTTGTTTTTTTTTATTATTATTATACTTTATGTTTTAGGGTACATGTGCACAACGTGCAGGTTTGTTACATATGTATACATGTGTCATGCTGGTGTGCTGCACCCATTAACTCGTCATTTAGCATTAGGTATATCTCCTAAAGCTATCCCTCCCTCCTCCCCCCACCCCACAACAGTCCCCAGAGTGTGATGTTCCCCTTCCTGTGTCCATGTGTTCTCATTGTTCAATTCCCACCTATGAGTGAGAATATGGGGTGTTTGGTTTTTTGTTCTTGCGATAGTTTACTGAGAATGATGATTTCCAATTTCATCCATGTCCCTACAAAGGACATGAACTCATCATTTTTTATGGCTGCATAGTATTCCATGGTGTATATGTGCCACATTTTCTTATTCCAGTCTATCATTGTTGGACATTTGGGCTGGTTCCAAGTCTTTCACATGGACACATAGTGAGGAACTACACACAACTGGGGCCTATCAGAGGGTGGAGAGTGGGAAGAGAGAAAGAATCAGGAAAAATAACTAATGGTAACTAGGCTTAATACCTCATTGATGAAATAATCTGTACAAAAACAAAGAGACAAGTTTACCTATGGAACAAACCTGCATATGTACCCCTGAACTTAAAATATAAATTTAAAACATTTTTGAGCTTTCAAATTTTAATTTATTCTGTTTATTCCATGCTTTTATAAGAACAAATTTCAATGCCTATATTCATGCTTTGCTTTCAATAATTACAGTTTTCTAAAAGCTTCAGTTTTTTTGGGTTTCCAATTTTTGAATACTTTGATTAAACATTTCCAACTGATTTTAAATAAAACTGCAACCAAATGACTCATGTACAAAGGAATTGAATGCCATTGTAGGACACTCAGGTTTATCTACAAGTGAGTCCTCCAGGGCCTCAGATATTTTTGGACGCAATTGAAGCTGGGCAACAAAAGGAAGACTGTGATACTGGAGGGTTGTTTTACTTTTTTAAATGTAATGTCAGTTCTATCATAAAGGTTTTTCAGTTCAGTTAAAAAAAAAAAAAAGAAAGAAAGACCAGTCCTTGTCATGGAAAAGCAGGAACCAACCACATGCATAATATCAAAGGAATGCATCTAAGGTGGTACATTTCATGGGTTCTTGAAACTAACTCAAGAAATTACTAAACCCCTCTATTCATTTCATATCCCCTTTTGTGATGGCCAGTTTGCTTCCTCCTTTTTTTTCTACAGCCATCTGCATTTAGAGAATATATTCTTCCTATCTTACTCCCCTCTTTTGCCAGAGCCTGGCAGTGGCTTGGGTACTAGCATTGCCCAACATGATTGTCAGGTTATTCAGCTCTTCTCTAGTGCTTCCCCTTACCTCTAGTAACATTGTTTCCTGAGACTAGCTCTGAGGTGTTTGGGGATCCGGTGAGAGAGTTAAGCTAAACTTTTCATGGCTGAATAATGACTAGGAGAAAATGGAAAGATAGACGAAGTGCTAGTAGGTCTGGCAGCCAGCACTGGATGGGCAGGAAGCAAAGAGAAGCGTAACAGAGAAAGGCAGAGTGCTCACTACCAGTGAATACCCACTATGAGCAAAGCACTCTGCTGGTGAAGAGGTTTCCTTTCAGCATTCTAAGGAGGTAGGTCATGACCCAGGAATCTGTTCACTAGAGTTGTCAAGCAACAAATCACCATTGGTGGATATGTTTGCCTCCTCCACTAAACTGGTATGTCAATGGTGGGCACTGTGTCTTGTACTTCTACGCATTCATTACAGTCCCCAAGAGCAAGAAGGCTGTGTAGTAAATATGTTTCTCAACCATCCAGCTGCTTCCATACATTCTTTACAACGCCTCTCCTTTTCAACTTCTTTCAAGATTGATTCATCATCATAAATGTGATTGTGAGGTCCCTGTGGTTATCACCCTTGTTAACAATTGCTATTAGGATTAAGTATTACAATAATAACTCTGAAAATTATCATTAGAACTTCTCATGACAATATACATGATTATAATTGAGCTCATAGAAGCTTGTAATACTGAAGGAGAAGTTTCCTCTACAAAGCTTTGTCAGATCTAGAATGTCAGGAGGAAATATTACCTAAGGCAATTTAAACATGCAGAGATAGTGCAACTGGAGATTTGGCTTGTCAAGTCTACCCACAGGGTGCTTTGCAGTTAATGCCAGTCGCTGGAAACTGTGCAGAGGTCAGTCAAAAGACTGACGAATGTAGCTAAGTGGGCTTTCAGAAACAATTCTTTGGGCTGAGCATATCTGGGCCGTTGCTAGATGCCAAGCTGCCAACTCTATCCTCTTGCTGATCATTGGCCTCAGGGGCTAAGCACAAGACTCAATCAGGTATTACTAGACTTTGTAAATAGCATACTTCTTTTCAGGAAAAGAGATGTCTCCATGGGGCTGTGAACCCTGGTTCCCATCAGCCAGGACACTCTTCTCATCACCCTGTGCACTTCACCTCAACTAAGAAGTGTGTAGTATCCACAAGCATCATGGTTTCTTGAGGATGCCAGGATTTGGGTGGAGAGAGGAGAGAAGCAGCACTAGGTGTCTCTTATTAAAAGGCTGTACCACCAGATCCTATTAAATCCCGCTTCACAGCAGTCCTGACTTCCAGCTTACCCAGCTTTAGTGCCTCCTGTGAGGCCCTGTTTTTCTTCTTTAATTAGATGGAGACATCCGGTGTTTTGTTAGCTACCTCCACAGGGTTATAAGTATAGCCATGAGCACTACTCCTGCCAATAGGGTACAGATAGGAGTTTTTCATAATGGGAATTTCTGATACTAAGGAAGAATTCTCTTTCCTCATTAAAATACAGTGTAAAAGCTCAGCAAACAAGTGATATTATATTTTTGTGAATAAATGTCGCAATAGTAATAGAAAACATATGCTAATTAGCACAAAGTAAAGAGAGTTATCAAGTCTAACGAGATTGAGAAGGACTGGTTTCATGAATGACAGAGAAAGTCATATTGGCTTGATCTATGGACATATGTAAAGTTTTAGCCAACAATTATAGGATACAGATTTTTCTCATCCGTGAAAAATGTACCAAAAAGCAATGATGATGATCTAGGCTGTAATGAAAGCCTTACTAAACTTCAAAGAATTAGGTATCATACAGATTGATCTCTTATTACCACAAAACTAGGTAAGAAACTAATAATAAAAGTGATAAATAGAAATGACCATATTTTAAAAAATTAAACACATGCTTCTAAATAACTTATGATTTAAATCAGAAATCACAATGGAAATATAAAATTACCAGAACTTAATGAAAGAAACACATATGAGACCTTCACGATACAGCCAAGTCAGTACATTTATTTTTAACAACATTGTGAGGTAAATTAACATACAATAAATTACGCAAGTTTAAAGCATACAGTATTATGCTTTTTGACCTTCGTATACATCCTTGAAACCATCATTACAATCAAGAGAATTAACACTTCTACAACACTCTAAAGTTTCCTTGTGCCCCTGCGTAATTCCTCACTCCCTAGATCCCTCCTCACCTTCCATTCCTAGGTAATACCTGACATAATTTGTCATTAACAGATTAGTCTGCATTTTATAAAATTCTATTTAATTGTAATTTAGAGTGACCAACCATTCAGGTTTTCCTGGGACTGAGGAGTTTCCCAGGATGTGGGACTTATATCCATGCTAATAGATGTGTAATTATATATTATTGTGGTTTATTTGGCATCTTCGTAATGAGTAATGATATTCATTTTTATATTTGTTTGTGATTTGTATATCTTCTTTGGCGAAGTGTCTCTTCAAATATTTTGCCTATTCTTAATTGAATGTTTGCCTTCTCATTATGGAGTTTTATGATTTATTTATATGATCCTTATAAAGTCCTTAATGATTTGCAATTATTTTCTTCTGGCATATGCCCTGTATTTCATTCTCTTAACAATGTATTTTGAAGAGCAGAGATTTTAATTTTCATAAAACCTATTTTTTTATCATGGTTTTATTGTCATGTCTAAGAAATCTATAGGTTGTAAACATTTTCTTTTGTTTTATTTTAGAAATATTATAGTTTGGGGTTTTACATTTTGGTCTCTTATCTATTTAAAGATAATCTTTATATGTAGTATGAGGTATAGATCAAAGTTCATAACTCATATGGATATGATTGGTATATAGATAGCCAATTTTAAAAGCAAAATTTGTTGAAAAGGCTATATTTCCTCCACTCCTATGCCTCTGTAGCTTTATTGCAAATCAGTTGTTCATGTATGTAAGGGTCTATTTCTGGATTTTATTCTGTTCCATTGACCTATTTGTCTATCTTGATGCTGATATAACACAATCTTGATTGCCGTAGCTTTGTAATAAGTCTTGGGATTAGAAAATGTAAGTCTTCCAAACTTGTTCTTTCTTATCAAATTTATTTTGGCGATTCCAGGTAATTTGTATTTCCATATGTACTTTATAATTAACTTGTGAAGTCTGCAAAGAAAAGGCTGTTAGTTTTGTTGGGATTGAAGTCAATTTATAGAAAAATTTGGGGAGAATTGATGTTTTCACTGTATGTTGTGTTTAGACAAAAGAAATAACGTATTTCTATTATTTAGATCTTTCTTTCATTTATCTCAACAATGCTTTAGAATTTTCAGTTAATATGTCTTGTTCACATTGTATTTGATTTATCCCTAAGCATTTCATAATTTGATACTATTGGAATTGCTATTGTTTTATGCCTTTAAATTCCAGATGGTTTATTGCTAGTATATAGAAACAAAAATTATTTTTTAAAATAGATGACATTTATTTCTTTATCTTGCCTAATTGGCCTGTCTAGAACCTCCAGTACACTGTCAAATAGAAATGGTGAGCGTGGACATCCTTGCCTTCTTTCTAATTTAGGAAAAAAAAAACACTCGTCTTTCATCATTACATAAAATATTAGACATGGATTTCTCATAGATGCTCTTTATCAGGCTGAGGAAGTCCCCTTCTATTACTAATAATAATTTGTAGAATGTTTTTGTAGTGAAAGAGTTTTGGATTTCTCAATTGCTTTATTCTTGTCTATTGAGAAGATCATAATTTTATCTTTTAGTTTGTTAATATAGAGAATTATAAGTTGACTGATTTTTCAAATGTTAAATCCAACTTGCATTCTCAATATAAAATCAGTTTGGTTAAGATATATTATCGTTTTTATATGTTAGTTAATTTGTTAAAACATTGTTCAAAATTGTTTCATCTATGTTAAGGGATATATGTCTGTAGCTTTCTTTTCTTGTAATGTCTTTTTAACTACTTTGAGGAAGGGAAGCCTCATAAAATGTGATGTGAAGTATTCTTTCCTCTTCATTTTTTTATTAAGAGTTTGTGTGGAATTGCTATTATTTCTTCAACAAATGTTTAATAACATTCACAAATAACACCATCTGTGCCTGAAGTTTTCTTTGTGTGAAGGTTTTTCACTATAAATTTAATGATTTTAACAGGTATAGAGTTATTCAAGTTATTTATTTTTTCTTGAATGAATTTTGATAGTTTATGCCCTTCAAAGGATTTGTCCATTTCATGTAAGCTGTCAATTTTATTGTCATAAAGTGTTTCATAATATTTGATTTTGTTTCTTTTCTTCTATATTCTAATATATATAGAATCTGTAGTCAATTTCCTTTCCCATTCTGGTGTTAATAATTTTTGTCATCTCTCTTTTGTTTCTGATCGGCATGTGAAGAGGTTTATTGATTTTATTAATCTCAAAGAAACAGCTTTTTCTTCATAGAATTTCTCTGCTGTTTATTTGCTTCTATTTTATTGATTTGTGCTCTTATATGTATTATTTCTCCATTTTATCATTATTACTATTTGTGTTTCTCTATTTTTAAAGGTGAAACCTTAAGGCATTAATTTGAGACTATTTTTGTACTGTAGGCATTTACTGTTACAAGTTTCTCTCCTAGCGCTGCTTTAACTGCATCCCATAAATTTTGATGTATCATGCTTTCATTTTGTTAAAAAGTTTCTAATTTCCCTTTTCATTTCTTCTATGACTCATTAGTTATTTAACAGTGTGCTTTTAGTTTCTAAATTCTTGGCAATTTTTCAAATATATTTCTGTTATTATTTCTAGTTTAATTCCATTTTGGTCAGAGACCATACTTTGTATGATATGGATTCTATTAAATTTATTGATACATGTGGTATTATCCAGAATATTATCTATATTGATAAATATTCCATGTATACTGTTAAAAATCTATTATTTTTAGCAATTGACATCATACTTAATAGAGAGAAATAAGAAGCCTTCTGTCAACAATTAAGAAAAAGGCAAGAATGCCCCCTCTTGCCACACTTATTCAACATGAGACTGGAAGTCCTAGGTAATTCAGTAAAGCAAGAAAATAAAAAAAAAAGGATATAAAGATTGGGAAGGAATAAATAAAACTGTTCATGAATGACAGAATGGTGCATGTAGAAAATCTCAAAGAATCAACAAAAAAGCCTTTGAAAGTAATAAGTGATTATTGCAAGGTTGCAGAATATGTACTAAAGTCAATTTATTTTCTATATACTAGCAATGAGCAATTAGAATTTGAAATTCAAAACACAACACTATTTAAATTTCAACCAAAATATTAAATACTTAGGCACAAATCTAAGAAAATACATAAAAGATCTATAGAAGGAAAACTATAAAACTCAAAAAAGAAATCAAAGAAGATCTAAATATATTGAGAAAATGTCCAGTTTATTGATAGAAAGACTCAATGTAGTTATAATGTCAGCTCTCCCCAACTTGATATAGAGTCAATGCAATCTCAGTTCAAATCTCAGCAAGTCATTTTCTATATAGGGACAAACTGATTCTAAAGTGTAAATGGAAAAGCAAAATAACCAGGATAGTCAACTCAACACTGGAGAAGAAGAAATTCAGAGGACTGATACTATCTGACTTCAAGTATTACTGTAAAGCTACATTAGTCACAGCAGTGTGGTATTAGTGAAAGAATAAATAAATAGGTTAATAGAACAAAATAGCTCAGAAATAGACCCACACAAATGTAGTTAATTGATCTTTGACAAAGGAAGAAAGGCAATTCAATGGAAGAAATAATGACCTTTTCAACAAATGATGCTGGAACAACTGGTCATCTATGTGCAAAAAAACACCATGAATCTAGACACAGATCTTACATGTTTCACAAAAGCTAACTCCAAATGGATCATAGACCTAAATGTAAAATACAAAATTATAAAACGTCTAGAAGATATCATAGGAGACTAGGAGAACATGGGTTTGGTGATGTATCTTAATCACAGGGATTGAGAAAACTATATATGTTTGTCAAAACTCATCAAATTATATACTTAAAATAGGTAAACCCTATTGGATATAACTTATACATCAGTAAACTGATTTATTAAAACAAGTTATATGATCTATAGTAAATCAGACACAAGGCACAAGGACAGGAAAATAGACAAATGTAACAGAAATAGAAAGTCTGAAAGCAGATCCATACATATTTGGAGAATTTATTTCTGACAATGCTGGCATATAGAATTTTTTTTTCTGTATGAATATGGCTATACCAAATATCTATGTGGAAAAAAATAAAATTTGATTCCTAACTAAAAAAAGATCCCGGGTATATTGTAATTCTAAAGGAGAATAGTAAAACAATAAACCTACTAGAAGAATGCATAGGAGATACCTTTTTGACTTTGGAGCAGAAGATTTTATAGGCAAAAAGTAAAAGATTTGTAAACTGAACTACATTAATAACCGGGCTTCTGTCCATCAAAAGAAACCATTAAGAGAATGTAAACGCAATACACAGGTTGCTGCCATAGTGAAGCTATTCAGAATTTCCCACCAGATATTGTTGAGTCACCTTCATGCTCTTTATTATAGATTCCCTAAAAGGGGGACAGTTGGTGAAAGAGTCCAGCCTCTAGACTTTTTTAAGCCTGTGCTGGATATGGGGGCACTCAGAGGATGACAAACAAATGTTCTCTGTCTTTAAAGCACAGTGCCAGCTGACACCTCCCATATTTGAAGGGTCAAAATCTAAGGTATGAGATGCAATTTGGGAAAGGGATTGGGGAAAGGTACGATGTTTATATCATGCGATTTTTGTAGGCTGGGTTAGCTAAATTTCCGTTCCCTTGTGTGCCCCTGTCCCACTGTTTAGTAGCAGATCCATACACTGTTGGTGTTCATTTCATCCCAACTTACCAAGCAGCAAAGATATTATAAGGGGGCATATTTTGTGCTAAGTCCATAAACATGGCCAGTAATTTACAGCAACTTAGCATTTCAATTTGTGCCTGGGCTAAGGAGGTAATAACAACTGTGCATTTTGAAAGATGAATATGGAGGAAATATAACAAGGTCCAGGAAAATCTTTCTAGGTAACAATAGGTTCTCATAGTAATCCAGAGTCTTGTCAGGAAAACAGTCTCAGGATAAAGATGAAGCCAAATCTACAGATTCAATGCTTTTCTTATCAAACTACCAATGTCATTTTTCACGGAATTAGAAAACTACTCTAAAATTCATATGGAACCAGAAAGGAGCCAAAATTGCCAATGCAACAACAAACAAAGCCGGAAGCATCACATTTCCTGACTTCAAACCATATTATAAGGCTACAGTAATCAAAACACATGGCACCAGTACCAAAACAGGTGTATAGATGAGTGGAATCAAATAGAGAACCCAGAAATACAGGCACACACCTAAACCAAACTTATCTTCAGCAAAGTTGACAAAAATAAGCAATGGAGAAAGAACTCCCTATTCAATAAATGGTGCTGGTATAACTGGCTAATGAAGGATGAAGAATGAAACTAGACCCCTACCTATTATCAGACACAAAAATTAACTCAAGATGGATCAGAGACTTACATTATCTTTATGTAAGAACTCAAACTATAAGAATCCTAAAACAAAACCTAGGAAATACTCTTCTGGACATTGGCCTTGGCAAAGGATTTATGACAAAATCCTCAAAAGCAATTACATCAAAAGCAAAAATTCACAAGTGGGACCTAGTTTAACTAAAAAGCTTCTGCACAGCAAAAGAAACTATTAACAGAGTAAACAGACAACCTACAGAATGGAAGAAGATATTTGCAAACTATGCATCTGAAATTTGTCCAGCCACTGTAGAAAGCAGTTTGGAGATGTCTCAAAGAACTTAAAAAAGAACTACCATTCAACCCAGCAATCCCATTTCTGGGTATATACCCAAAGGAAAACAAATCATTGTACCAAAAAGACACATGTACTCATATATTCATCACAACACTATTCACAATAACAAAGTCATGGAATCAACCTAGGTGCCCATCAACAGTGGATTGGATAAAGAAAATGTGGTACATATACACCATGGAACACTACACAGCCATAAAAAAGAATGAAATCATGTCCTTTGCAGCAACAGGGATATAGTTGGAGGCCATTATCTTAAGAGAATTAACGCAGAAACAGAAAACCAAATACCACCTGTTCTCACTTATAAGTGGGTGCTAAACATAAGGTACACAGGGACATAAAGATGGGAACAATAGACACTGGGGACTACAAGAAGGGGAAGGGAGGGGGCAGGTCGAAGGTTAGAAAACTACCTATTAGATATTATGCTCATTACCTGAGTGACGAGTTCGATCGTACCCCAAACCTCAGCTTCACACAATATACTCATGTAGCAAACCTGCACCTGTACTCCCTGAATCTGAAATAAAAATTGAGCCTAAAAAAAAAAAAAAAACAACAAAAAAAAAAAACAAGAAAACCCTCCCATGTAGGACTATAAAACCCTTTCTAAAGACATCAGAAAATTTAAGGTAGAGATTCATAGATCTCGCAGAAAAAAAATGCTTTCTTAGAATCTTAAAACATTTATACAATATAAATGTTTCTTGAACAGTAGGATTTTTCAGAATTTGGGGGACATAATCATGCCATGACTGCCACACAAGAAGCCCAAGTTAAGGAGGGACTTATCTCTTGAAGAGACCTAAGGGTTTGGCATTTGTCTAAAGGAGCTGATTATACACTGACCCATAAAACTCCACAACGCTTTTAAAGTAATTATACCAGCATGCACTGAAAGGGGGAGAGAGAATGTAAAACCAAAGGAGATCTTTGGACCCACCCCAAATTCTACAGTCAGGAAACAGCCTGAAAAAACTATCGAGCTGCAAACACAGGCTACTTTTTTATGGAAAATAAATATTTTGAATACAGAATAAAAAATAAGGATGGCAGAGCCAAGAGACAGGGAAAATCACAACTAGGGAGGAGGACTTGTCCATAACAAAAGATGTGTCAACGCATGCCCAACTGGCTTGAGAATTGCTATGGAGCAGTAAAACTTATATGCCTCCCACTTTCCCTTTTCCTGAACAGGAGTGTCTATTGTAGATATCCTATGCCTGTCCTACCATTGTATCACATGGGATAGATAACTTGTCACTTTAGTTCACAGGCCTTCAGATCAAGAAGAATCATACTCAGGAAATTGAACTCGGAGAGTCTTATTCACATCTAGAGCTAGTTTAGATGACAAGATACTGGACCTGATGCCATGGCACAGAGGGACTTTGGGTGGGGTGAGGCTGAGGGTTCTTGGGAGAGGTAGAGTGTGTTTTGCTTATGGGAGGAATATAAATAATGTGTGGCCAGAGGGTGAATTATGGTGGTTTTGAAATGTGGTAGCAAATCCTTTGACACTCTTCCCATCAATAGGAGCTAACTCTCCTCCCCACGAATCTGAGCAGGCTTGATATTGCTTTGATCAGTAGAAAGTGGAGGTGATGCTATGGTACTGCTAAGACTAGGTCATAGGAGAAAATGCAAGCTTCTGCCTTGTGTGGCTGCAATACTCACTTTTGATGTCCAAGGACAGCAGATAAGAAATCCAACAATCCTGAAGTCTCTCTGTTGTGAGAATGTCCAAACCACATAAAAAGGCCATGTGTAAGTGCTCTGGATAACAGATCAAGTGGAGCCAAACCTTTAGACATCCCATGCCTCATGACAGACATGTGAGTGAAGAAGCCTCAGATGATTCCAGCAGCCACTCAAGTGTTCCCAGTGGAGGGACTGGATACTGGGTGTTGGAGATAGTCATCCTCACTGTGTCCTATCTAAATTTCTGACCCACAAAATCAGTGGCCATAATAAATTGGCTTTTGTTTTATGCGTTTACATTTGAGGTGATTTGTTACACAGCAATTAATAGCTGACTATTCTTCTTATCCAGAATATATAAATAATGCAAAAATTATTAATGAAAAAAGCCAGAAAACACAAGAGAAAAATGAACAAGAGAATGCAAACAAGCACTATCCAAAGAAGGATATCAAAATGGCCAACATGCAAATGAAAAGGTGCTCAACCTTGTTAGTCATCAGGGAAATGCAAATTAAAACACAATGATATACCACTTCACACCCACCAGAGTGGTTAAAAATAAAAATACAGACAACAAATATATGTACAGCTAAGAGGACTCTTACGAACTGCTGGCGAGAGTACAAGTTGATTCAAGCACTTTAGAAAAATTGTTTGGCAGTAATTTCTCCAGTTAAAAATATGCATATCCTAGGAACAGCAACGTCATTCTGAGGTTTATATTTAACATCCATCCATGCACATGTGCACTAAAAGACTTGTACACAAATGTTCATGGCAGCATTATTCATTAAAGTCAAAGACTGAAAACATCCCCCATATCCATCAAGAACAGATTGGATAAGTTAAGCTGGGGCGTATTAGTAAGATGGAATACGGTGCAACAATTAAATGAATGATCTACAGCTATATGTAACAACATAGATGGATCTCAAAACATAAACTTTAGTAAGAAAAGCCAAATATAAATAAGACATCCTGTATAGTTTGACATATATATTATATTATATGTGTGTATATATAATATATATTATATATATAATATATATAATATATATATAATACATAGTATATATTATATATAATATATATTATATATATAATATATATATATAATCACAAAACAGGAAAAAAGCAATCAGTAGTATTATATGACATAATAGCATTTTCTTTGCGGATGGAAGAAGGAAGTACTAATTGTAAAGGAGCGTGAGGGAATTCTGGGTTTGTGGAAATATTGTTTCTTAATCTAAGGGGTTGTTACATTGGTGTATTAACTCTGTAATAATTTATTGAGCAACAGGTATGCAAGTTTTCAGGTAGGTTATATGTCAATAAAGGAAAGTGGAAAAAAAGACAATGGAAATTTAGATTTGACAGGTTAAATGAAGTTGAGACAGAAAGAGGGGAAGTTGTGAATTCACTCCATGAATACCAGCCACCAGGCTAAGAAGACTGCTTTGAGGGATGAGGTTGAATGAGAGCCATCCCATCAGATACAAAGTTCTCACATATATTAAGGTTTCCCAACAGACTGGCAAAAAAGGGAAAATTGCGGGCAATAAAGAAACATTAATAAAATGATAAATTTAAAAATGCACAGGTAAATAGAACATATTTAAAAATTCATTGGGGTGGTGGGGTTTATTTGTTTCTGTTAAAGAAGAGAGAGAAAAAGAGAAGGCGGAAAATTGTCCACTGTGGAAAATATACCTCCCCTATGATACCCAAGACACACAATAAAATTTAACATATGTGACATGAGTAGCTATCTTCTGAAGCAAGAGGAATCGCAGGAATTATATTATCAGAACATTACGAGGCTAAAGTCAAAGGAATTAAGAACCTAAAACTCCCAGAATTTAGGGGGCCTGAGTAGGAATTGGGGCATTTACTGAGCTTGCAGGACTGCTAGGTTTTTGGTAAATATCACCAGTCACATGCGTGACTCATAGCGTCAAGCTATGAGATAAGTTATGTGAAAAAGCTTCACTATTCTTTCACCTGTTCAGCAAATATTTTGTGTGTGTGCTTACTACATGCTAGGGACTATTGTAGGCCCTGTGAAGGAAGATGAGTCCTTTTTCACGGCTTCATAAACTAGATGGAGAGACACAGGAGGAGACCAACAAGTACGGCACAGAACAACCAGGGATAGAAGTGGACTCTGAGCTGTCTTCTCTAGAAGAACAGCTACTGCATTGGAACTCATCTGGGGGTAAGTGGACAGCAGGAAGGTCTATAAAACAGGAAGAAGGACATGGATAGATTAATAGAAAAGAGCACTCTTGGCTGAACTTCCACAGGTCATTCGAAGATATACAAGTAAATGTAGCTGGAGCAAAGGTTATCAAAGAAGAAATGACAGAATGTTTAGCTGGAGGTAAGGCAGGGCCTTGACCACCAAGACCATACTGTCAGGAACTGTGCAGTGTCTGGTATTTTACCCTACTCACTAGTTAACAAGTTTGTCTGCCATAGTCTCACAGATGAGTCTGTGTCACAGAAAAAGGAAGTTATTACTGAGGATACAACAAGAAGCATGAACTTCAAAGTTTTGTAAGTTTACCTCATCCCTCCCCTGCTTGTCCCATGTGACATGTCATGATTCAGGTACATATCATGCATGTATGGGGTTATTGTCACAGCTGAGGGACATTAAAGTTATGTAATCTTAATCTTTTATAATGGACTGTAAGCAAACCTCCCTGACCCTGTCCTAGAGGAAGACATTATCTTATTATTATTATTATTATTATTATTATTATTTTTATTATACTTTAAGCTTTAGGGTACATGTGCACAACATGCAGGTTTGTTACATATGTATACATGTGCCATGTTGGTGTGCTGCACCCATTAACTCGTCATTTACATTAGGTATATCTCCTAATGCTATCCCTCCCCCCTCCCCCCACCCCACAACAGGCCCCGGTGTGTGATGTTCCCCTTCCTGTGTCCATGTGTTCTCATTGTTCAATTCCCACCTATGAGTGAGAACATGTGGTGTTTAGTTTTTTGTCTTTGCGATAGTTTGCTGAGAATGATGGTTTCCAGCTTCATCCATGTCCCTACAAAGGACATGAACTCATCATTTTTTATGGATGCGTAGTATTCCATGGTGTATATGTGCCACATTTTCTTAATCCAGTCTATCATTGATGGACATTTGGGTTGGTTCCAAGTCTTTGCTATTGTGAATAGTGCTGCAATAAACATACGTGTGCATGTGTCTTTATAGCAGCATGATTTATAATCCTTTGGGTATATACCCAGTAATGGGATGGCTGGGTCAAATGGTATTTCTAGTTCTAGATCCCTGAGGAATCGCCACACTGCCTTCCACAATGGTTGAACTAGTTTACAGTCCCACCAACAGTGTAAAAGTGTTCCTATTTCTCCACATCCTCTCCAGCACCTGTTGTTTCCTGACTTTTTAATGATCGCCATTCTAACTGGTGTGAGATGGTATCTCATTGTGGTTTTGATTTGCGTTTCTCTGATGGCCAGTGATGATAAGCATTTTTTCATGTTTTTGGCTGCATAAATGTCTTCTTTTGAGAAGTGTCTGTTCATATCCTTCACCCAATTTTGATGGGGTTGTTTGTTTTTTTCTTGTAAATTTGTTTGAGTTCATTGTAGATTCTGGATATTAGCCCTTTGTCAGATGAGTAGATTGCAAAGATTTTCTCCCATTCTGTGCAAGGCTGGTTCAACATACGCAAATCAATAAACATAATCCAGCATATAAACAGAACCAATGACAACCACATGATTATCTCAATAGATACAGAAAAGGCCTTTGACAAAATTCAACAACCTTCATGCTAAAAACTCTCAATAAATTAGGTAAAGACATTATCTTTATTGGACTGGAGAATAAGTAAACCTTCCCTTTCCTCTGGAGAAAAACCATCTCTATCTTCCAAGGCTGTTCACTATACAAATAGCCTTGAAAAGACAGTCGGGAACAGGAGGGCAGTTAGTTAGTTACCTTCCAAAATGTGCAGAAACACAATCATCCATGTAGAATTTTCTCCCAAGACTAGACTAAGAGGCTCAGGGGCTTGAAGGTTACATCCTGGAAGCAGAGGGGAAGGGAAACATTGAGAGAATTTTAATCATGGAGGAGATTTTGACTTCTTTGGTCAGCTTATTTTTTTTTTTTTTTTTTTTGGTGAACAGACTTTAGATTTACAACATTTTTAGATTCACAGAAATATTGCAAACATAGTAAAGAGAGTTCCCAGATACTCCCTAACCCAATTTCCCTTATTATTAATTTACATGGGTATGGTACATTTGTTACAGTATTGATACATTATTATTAACTAAAGTCTATAATCTATTCAGATTTCCTTAGTCTTTCCCTAATGTCCTTTTTGTTGTTGTTGTTTTGGTATCCCATCTAGAATAACACACTATATTTGCTGTCATATCTCTGTAGGATATTATTGGCTGTGATAGTTTCTCAGACTTTCTTTGTATTTTATGACCTTGACAATATTTAGGACTACTGGTTAGGTACTTTGTGTAATGCCTATCTACTGAGATTTGTTGGGTGTCTTTCTCGTAGTTAGATTGGGGTTTTGTGCTTTTGGCAGAAAACCACAAAAATAAAGTTCAATTTTTATAATATCAGGGGTATATACTATCAATATGACTTATCGCCGATGTTGACTTTTATCACTTGGCTGAGATAGTGTTTGTCAAGTTTCTCCACCATGAAGCTATTTTTTCCCTCTCTTTTATACTGCACTCTTTGAAAGGAAATAGCTATGCATGGTGACTTCTATTCCTCTACTCCACACTTAAGAAATGGGAATTTATATTCCCTTCCTTATAATTCTTCTACAAGGGGTAATTGTCTCTTTACCCCATTTATTTATTAAATCATTTATTTATATCGATAAGAACTCATGGAAATTTATTTTATACTTGAGGTTATAATCCAATACTACTTTATTCTGCTGTTCAAATTGATTCAGCTTTGGCCATTGGGAGTTCTTTCTGCTGGCTCCTTGGTCCCTTTGACACACCTCCATCAATGTAGGGTTTTTAAATTACTTTATAACTTTCTGGCACTAAAAGATGCTTTGGCTCATTTTGTATACTCCTTGCCTCAGTCCTAGAATCATTTCTCCAAAGACACTTGGTTAATTTACTGGAAAATGGTTTTAGAAACCTAAATCTGACTGCTAGAAGTGCTCTTTGCTCCTGGGAATTTGTTGTTTCTAGGCCCTCTCAGCTGACAGAACAAGGAGATATGTGTGTTTACTAACCTGTATATGTACACATGTCTATAAATATTTAATACATGAAAAATCTGTATCCATATTAACGTGAGCATGATTTCAAACTAATGTATTCAACTCTAAATCATTGCCACAAGAATTAAGGTAAACTCCTCTTGCTTTTCTATAACCTCCCATTCAATCAGTGAAAAATATGGCTCTCCCATCTACCATTCATTTACTTAGCTGTCCAATTTCAGCATACATGTATAGCAGCATCAGAATTGCTAATCTGTACCTCCAAGGGAAATAACTTTACCAACTAGAGTACTGTGCTTATGTGCAGTTCATTTTGCCTTTAATTTTACAGTCTGCTGTCATTTCCAGAGTTACTTTGGTCAGCACCTTTTCCCCCAACCTCTTCACTAAGATTATTTCATACACTTAGAATACAGTTGGATTTTATTGTCATAGTATGCATTCCTTCTTGGGAATCACCTGATAGCCTAAATGACTTTTTAAAAATTTGTGTAAATGGAGGTTTATATTTTGTGCTGTAAAGTTCTATGGGCTTTAAAAAATGTATAATGTCATAAATCTACCATTAAAGTATAATACAGCATATTTTGACCACCCTAAAATTCCCCTGTGTTTCAGCTACTCAACTCTCATTCCATCCTCCAAACCCCTGGCAACCACTGATATTTTTGTTATCTCCATAGTTGTACCTTTTCCAGAATTTCATGCAATTGAGATTATACATTTTTTCACCTTTTCATACTGGCTTCTTTTACTTAACTATACATATTTAAGGTACATCTCGGTCTTTTCATAACTTAATAGCTAATTTCTATTTACAATAAAAATAAATAGATTTAAATGTATGGATATACTATGGTTTATTTATTTATTCATCTATTGAAAAGCATCTTGGTTGTTTCCATTTTCTGGTTATTACGAATAAAGCTGTTGTATACATTCATATGCATTTGTTGTGTGAACATAAGTTTTCAAATATGTTGGATAAATATTTAGGAACATTATTGCTGATTCATATATAGTTAGCTTTGCAAGGCTATGTTAACTTTTGAAGGAATAGTCAAATTGTCTTCCAAAGTGGTTGTGGCATTTTACATTCTCATAAACACTAAATAAGTTCTTCTTACTCTGCATTTTTCTCAGTATTTAGTATTGTTAACTCCTGGATTGTAACCATTTTAATAGGTTTGTAGAGGTATCACATTGTTGTGTAATTTGTAGTACTTTAATGACAAATGACATTGAACATCTTTTCATATGCTTATTTCACATCTGTATGTCTTCTTTGGTGAAGCGTCTGAATATTTTGTCTGTTTTTGATTAGGTTGTATGTTTTCTTATATCTAAGGTTTAAATATTCTTTTTAATATTTTAGATACAAGTTCTTTGTCATATATGTGCTTTGAAAATATTTTCTTCTGGTCTGTGGCTTGTATTTTCATTCTCTTAACAGTGTATTTCAGAGAGTAGAATATTTTAATTTTAATCAAGTCCAGTATCATCAACTTTTTTCATGGATCTTGGTATTGTTACTGAATTTAATAACTCATTGACAAAGCCAAAGTCACCTCAAAATTTATCATACAATTACAAATTAAGAAGGCATGGTGTTGTTTCAAGTAAAATAAACCAATGGAACCCAATGGAGATCACAGAAACAGACCCATATATATGTGAATATATGCTTTAAGGCTTTAAGACAAAGGTAGTATTGCTGAGCAGTAGTGAACGGATGATTCGTTCAACAAAACTTACTGGGGCAAATGAAAACATTTATGTAAAAAGAGAATTATACCTCAAAAGCTACATAGTAATCATTTCCAATATGGATCATAAGTCTTAATGAGAAAAGAAAATCAATAAAACTTCTAGAAGGTAATATACATGAATATTTTTGTTGCTCTAGAGTAGATAATGATAAAGCAAAACTAACCACAAAGCACTAATAGTAAATGAAAAGACCGATAAATTGGACTACATTAAAATTAAGAGCTTTGGTTATTATTTAAAAAGCATTAAAACAACGAAAAGACAAGCCACACTTGTAGAAGACATTTGCAACACATAAAATAAACCAGGTTATTTATACATCTACAGTGTATAAATAACTTCTGCAAGTCAATAATAAAGTGACAGAATGATGTAAAAATGTGTGAGAGACTGAAACAGACACTTCACAAAAGAAGATATACAAATAGCCAACAAGCATATAAAATGGTGATCAACCTATTTGCCTATAAATGCAGGAGTGCAAGTTTAAACCACTGTGAAATACTACAACATGCCCACTACAGCTGATAAAATTGAATAGCTGTCTTAATTAACTGTTGATAAGGATGTAAAATGACAGGAATGCTCAATACACACCACTGTTGGGAATGTAAATTGCTATGACCTCTTGGGAAAACAACAGGGCATTACTCATATTTGAGTAAATGATCAAAATATATCCCAGCAATTGCTGTTGAATATGTACATGAATTTTCATGGGAGAATTATTCATAATAGTCCCAAAGTAGAAAAACCCTAAATATTTATCACTAATAAAATGGATTTTAAAATGGTGAATTATTCATACATTGAAATACTATGCAGCAATGAGAATGAACAAATGTGAAATCACCAACATGAATGAATCTCACAAATATCTTTGAATTAAAGAAAGAAACCCCACACAAAAGAATATATACTGTATGATTCCACTTATATAAGTGAAAAATAAGCAAAACTAAAATATTACTAGGCAACACAAAGGAACAAAATACTGATATATGCAACAATATTGCCAAATAATAATTGTGATACCAAAAAAAGCTGCATACAAAGCAGTATAAATGGTATGATTCCATTTGTATGAAATTCCAGACAAGGCTGGGTGCAGTGGCTCAGTAATCCCAGTACTTTGGGAGGCTGAGGTAGGTGGACCGTTTGAGCCCAGGAGTTAGAGACCAGCCTGGGCAACATGGAGAAACCCCATCTCTACTAAAAATACAAAAATTAGCTGTGTGTGGTGGCATGCATCTGTAATCCCAGCTACTCGCAGAGGGGCTGAAGCAAGAGGATCACTGGAGCCTTCGGAGGTTGAGGCTGCAGTGAGCCATGATCGGGCCACTGCACTCCAACCTAGGTGACAGAGTGATACCCTGTCTCAAAAAATAAAATAAAAAAAATAACAATAAAGAAATTCTAGACAAGGGAAAACTAATCTATAGTAACAGACAGCAGATAAGTAGTTGCCTGGATCCTGAGGTGGGGAAAGATTGCCGAGAAACATAAGGAAATGTTTTGGAGTAATACAAATGTTCTATACTTTGATTATGGTAGTGGATACAGAGGTATATACATTTGTCAAAACTCATTAAACTGTATATATAAAAGAGTGGATTTTATTGTATGTAATTTATTCCTTAATAAAGTTGATTTTTAAACAAAAGGTAAGCATAACTAATTTATGATGATAGAAGTCAGAATAGTGGTTATTGCTGGGGGTTAATGACTGATGAAATATAGGGAAGAATTCTGGAGTACTGATAATGTTCTAATCTAAATTTGGGTGGTAGTTAAAGGGTTGGTTTTACTTTATAAAAATGCATAAAATCATATACTTACAATTTGTGCCCTTCTCTATATGTATATTATCTGTCAATAAGAAATTTACATTAAAATTGTCAACGAAAATTAGCAAACATGTAAAGCAAAATAAATTCTTATAAGTTATAAAGACTGCTTGATGCTCCTTTATGAAGGGGCTCTCTGAGACCCCTGCCATTCAGCCAGTCATTCTTATTTGTGCACAGTGGAAGTCAAAGAAGAAGAGACTTCAGGTGAGTAAGGACTCTTCTATGTATGCGGCTTATAAAATAGAAATTATTATAACCACTTTGGAAAATGATGTGACATCATCTACTACATCTGAAATATATATGTATATGTATGTATATATACACATATTTTACATATCTCTGTATATAAAACCATCAATTGCTATCCTAGGCATATACCTAAGAGTTATTTTTTCATATGTTTACCAAAATACGTGTACAAAAATGCTCATAGTAGCATTATCTAGAATAACTCCACATTTGAAATAAGCTACATGTCTATAAACAGTAGGAGAGATAAATTATTTGTGATATAGTCATAAAATGAGCTTCAGTACACCAATGAAAAATCTAAAAACTGGAATTACATTAATAACATGAACAAATCTCACAAATATAATGTTGAAAAAAAGTAGCTAGAACAAAAAAAGAGTGCATACATTATGATTTCATGTATATAAAGGTCAAAATCTAGGTTACCCTAGGCACTGCTTTCTTTGAAGAGGTAGAAAGTTGCAAGAGAACATCACGCCCATCCTAACAATAAGAAGCCTCCATATATTCTATCAAATCAGAACTTTTATTGAACCATTCAGAAAGCTGGGTTTGCAAGGCAGTCAAGGGAATTAAATTCCAAAGGATGACGATCCCTCCAAGGAGAGACAGGACACACAAACTAAATTTTGGCAGAAAACAGGAGTAATAGGCATCATAGAAGCAAGTAATAAGAAATCAGCTAAACTTTTAATGAATTTCTAAAGCCCAAGTGTGGCTTATCATCTCGGTTTAGACTAACTTGGAGTCCCCGATATAGAAAAGTTCTTACTCACTTAAAGTCTCTTCTTTACTTCCACTGGGCACAAGTAAGAATAACTGGCCCAACAGCAGGAGATTGAGAGAGGCCATTCATGAAGGAGCAGCAAACCATCTCAATCCTAGGAACTCTAGCGGAGGGCCAAAAGCAAAATCTGTGTGCCTGGGGGTGGGTGGGGTGGGTGGTAGAAAACCTTTTTTTTCTACCTTCAAACACGATGAAAGGTCTGTAGCTTCTGAGGGAAGGGTGAAAGCAAAAGCCATCTGCCCATGGGGGAGGGGCAGACAAACCTTTGGGGCTGTATCCCGCATCAATACAAAGCAGAGTTCTGTTATCAGTGTAAATGGGGCAAGGGCAAGTACTTTCTTCTGTTTGAGACCTTCCAAAGATACAGGGCAAAGTTTGACTGCCAAGAGAGGGAGACAAAGAAATGCTAAGGAGACCTCACCTCAGAAAACTAGACATACAGGTTCTGAATAAGACTGAGGCTGCACGAAAAGAACCAAGGACCCCAGCTGCTGCGACCACAAGGTCAACATGAAATAAAGGGCAGCAGTAGTCTACCACTAGGGAGTGGGGGTGTGGGGGGGAGAATGCAGATTGAGAGCCCCATCGTGACACCATTGTATTAAGATTGCTAAAAGCTGAGAAAGGAGCAGAAACACTGAGGAAAACTCTACAGTGTCACCCTCTTCACAGTACACACAAATAACAGTTTGATAGTGGAAGATTTTGGAGCTGGTAACAACAACAAAATCGAAATCTAAGTAACCTACCGTACCAACTAAATTGACTAACACACTGATATCCAGCAGAAGAAGCAGATGTCAATTTCTAGACATAAATGCTAGTTACCTACTCACCTGTACTGTTCTTCTACAAATGATGTCTGGCATTAATTTAAAAATTACAAAACCATAAAAAGTCAAGAAAATCAAACCATTCCTACGACAAAAAGCAACGAACAGAACTGGACTCAAAGATGACCCAGATGTTGGTTATATAAGAAAGAAACTTTAAAATAACGACAATTAATATGTTAAAGAATCTATTGGGAAAGTTTAATATTATACGTGAAGAGATTGGCAACTTCCTAAGAAAAAAATGTAAACTATAAGAAAGAATGAAATTGAAATTCCAGAATTAAACCCAGTATCTATCAATAGGCTCATTGACAGAATAAACACCATAGAAGAAAGACAGAATAAACTGGAGATGTCAACAGAAATTATTCAAAATAAAACACAAAAAGAAAAGAAGTGAATAAAACGCAATAGGGCATTCAAGAATGATAGGACAATAACTAATTGTCTAGAGTACACATCATTGGAGTTATAGGAGAAGAGAGAAAAGAGTTCAAGGGTCAAAGATACATTTGAAAAGATGATGGCCAACAATTTTCCAAAATTAATGAAAGACAAAAATCCAAAGATCCACTTAGCTCAAGGAACACTAAATAGGAGAAAAAAGATAGCTAGTACTCCAACTGAAAAAAATCAGATAAATATAAAATCTCCAGGACAATAAGAAGAAAAAAATACATACAGAGAAACAAAGATAAGAATTACAGCAGATTCTCATACAATATGTAACCTATTTAGCTTGGCTTTTTAAAAAAATTCAGCAAAAACTATCATACTGAATGGGGAACAACTGGAAGCCCTTCCTCTAAGATCTGGAGCATGACAAGAATGTCCACTTTCAACATAGTACTGGAAGTCTTAGCTAGAGCAATCAGACAAGAGAACAAAAATAAAGGGCATCCAAACTGGAAAGAAATAAGTCAAATTATCCTTGTTTGCTGATGATATAATTTTATATTTGGAAAAACTGAAAGACTCCGCAAAAAACTATTAAAACTGATGAATTCAGTAAAGTTGCAGGACACAAAATCAACATACAAAAACAAGTAGCATTTCTATACGTCAACGGTAAAAAGAAATAAAAAGTAACCCATTTACAATAGCTACAAATAAAATTAAATACATAACAATTAACCAAAGAAGTGAAATGTCTCTACAATGAAAGCCATAAAACATTTATGCAGGAAATTGAAGAGGACACAAAAAAATGGAAATGTATTTGATGCTCATGGATTAGAAGGAAAAAATGCTTAAACTGTCCATACTACCCAAAGCAATCCACAGATTCACTGCAATCTCTATCAAAATACCAATGGCATTCTTCACCGAAATAGAAAAAATAACTGAAAAATTTACATGGAACCACGAAAGACCCAGAATAGCCAAACCTATCCTAAGCAAAGTGAACAAAACTGGAGAAATCACATTACCTGACATGAAATTATACTACATAGCTATAGTAAACAAAATACCACGTTACTCATATAAAAACAGACACACAGACCAATGGAACAGAATAAAGAAACCAGAAACAAACCCATACATCTACAGTGAACTCATTTTCAACAAAGGCTACCAAGATGCCAGCAGCATACATTGGGGAAAGGACAGTCTCTTCAATAAATGGTCCTGGGAAAACTGGATATCCACATGCAGAAGAATGAAACTAGACCCCTATCTCTTGCCATATACAAAATTAAATAAAAATGGATTAAAGACTTAAATTTAAGTCTCCAGACTATGAAACAACTAAAAGAAAACATTGTTGTTTTCTCGCCAGGACGTAGGACTTGGCAAAGATTTCTTGAGTAATTCTCCACAAGCACAGACAACTAAAGTAAAAATGGACAAATGTGACCACAGAAAGTTAAAACACTTCTGCACAGCAAAGGAAAGTCCACAATGTGAAGAGACAGCCCACAGAAACCCACAGAATGGGAGGAAAATATTTGCAAACTACACACCTGACAAGGGATTAATAACCAGAATATATAAGGAGTTGCAACAATCCCATACGAAAACATCTAATAATCTGATTTTAAAGTGGCAAAATATCTGAATAGATATTTCTCAAAAGAGGACATACAAAAGGCAAACAGATGTATTGAAAGGTGCTCAACGTTATTGATCATCAGGGAAATGCAAATCAAAACTACAATTAGATATCATCTCATCCCAGGTAAAATGGCTTATATCGAAAACACAGGCAATAACAAATGCTGGCAATGATGTGGAGAGAAGGGAACCCTCATACACTATTGGTGGAATGTAATTTAGTACAACCACTATGGAGAATAGCTTGGAGGTTCTTCAAAAAACTAAAAATAGAACTACCATAGGATGTAGCAATCCCACTGCCAGGTATATACCCAAAAGAAAGGAAATCAGTATATCAAAGAGATATCTGCACTTTCATGCAGCACTGTT
Organism: Homo sapiens; assembly: GCF_000001405.40. Classification (NCBI taxonomy): domain Eukaryota; kingdom Metazoa; phylum Chordata; class Mammalia; order Primates; family Hominidae; genus Homo; species Homo sapiens. The sequence continues at coordinate 152,097,568 of NC_000023.11, forward strand.
CACAATATCCAAGATTTGTAATCAACCTAATTATCCATCAACAGATGAATGGATAAAAGATATGTGGTACATAAACACAATGGAGTACTATTCAGCCATAAAAAGAATGAGATCCTGTCATTTGCAACAACATGGATGGCACTGGAGGTCATTATGACAAACTTTGCATGTTCTTATTATTTGTGGGAGCTAAAAATTAAAACAATTGAACTCATGCAGATAGAGAATAGAAAGATGGTTACCAGAGTCTAGGAAAGATAGGGGTTTGGGGGGAAGTAGGGATGGTTAATTGGCACAAAAATAATAGAAAGAATGAAAAATATCTAGTATTTGATAGCACAACAGGGTGAGTATAGTCAATAATAATTTAATTGTACATTGTAAAATAACTAAAGGAGTATAATTGGATTGTTCGTTAAAAGGATAAATGCTTGAGGTGATGGATATCCCATTTACCTTGATGTGCTTATTATGCATTGTGTACCTTTATCAAAATATTTCATGTACTTCATGAATATATACCCACAAAAATTTTTTAAAAATTATGCCTAAGACAAAAGTCATATACTTCAATTGTTAAAGAAGGGGAGAATATCAATTTAGAATTTTATATCTGGTGCTCTTCTTTTTCTTGTGATACGTATTTCCATTGTTTATTATACTCCATTTACCAGGGGATCAGTGTTAACTTCACCAGTGATAAGCCATACTGATACCATGTAGCCTTGAAATAATGTGATGAGAAGGGCATTTCGCCTCTCCAGTCATTCTACCCAAAACTCATAACTCTAGTCCAATCATGGTAAAAACATCAGACAAATCCTAATTGAGGGACAGTATAAAAAATATCTGACTAGTACTCCTCAAAACTGTAAGGTAATTTTTAAAAAGAGGAAAATTTGCAGAAACTGTCGCAACCAAAGGAGGATACTACAGAGACGTGACAACTAAATGTAATGTGATGTCCTGTATGGGATCTTGAAACAGAAAAAAAAAATTAGGTAAAAACTAAGATAAAATCGGTTTGCTATTTGTGATAAATGTATCATCACAATATAAAATATTAATAATAAGGAAAACGTGTGAAATATATAGGAACTCTATTGACTCTCTTCACAACTTTTCTGTAAATATAAAAAGCTGACAAATAAAACGTTTATTGAAAAAATTAAATGGAAGCAGGAAGATTGAGGAAGGGAATCAGAACTCAAAGTAAGATCAATGTGGCCAGGTGCGGTGGCTCATGTCTGTAATCCTAGCACTTTTGGGAGGTGGAGGTGGTCAGATCGCTAGAGCCCAGGAGTTTGAGACCAGTCTGGGCAAAGTGGCAAAATCTCATCTCGATTATGTATTTATATATGCATGATGGTGCCTGACTTTAGTCCCAGCTATTCGGGAGGCTGAGGTAGTAGAATCCTTTGAGCCCAGGAAGTCTAGGCTGCAGTGAGCTGTGGTCATATCACTGCACTCCAGCCTGGGTAACAAAGCAAGACTCTGTCTCAAAAAAAAAAAAAAAAATCAATATGGTGATGAATTTCTTGTGCTATTTTTGCCTCCTGTATCTCCCAGCCTGGACTCAAATGCAGCACAAATTCAATAATTGCACGCAAGTTGTGGACAGAAAGAGTGCCAAGAAAATGCCTCTATTTTTAGTCCAAGGAATAGAATACAGGGCCTCTACAGGACACAGAGAGTTGTCCAAATGCCATTATTATTTTGCTAGCTGTGTACTCAGGCAAGCTCCAGTCCTGAAGCTGTAACTTAATGGTGACAGCATCGGCAAAAGTTGTGAAGGCACCTAAACCTCTGAGGAAGGAAATCCCTTCTCTCTGACAAAAGAACATTGGTCTATGAATGAGAGGAGTCCTCCTTCGTATTTTTCTCTCTATATTCTCCTGTCACTTGGTCATCAAGGCAGATCCATTCAAGGCAAGGGGAAATCAGAGTGACTAGCCCCTTTTCTAGCTAAAAGGCCAGAAGGAGGGTCCCCTGGGTGGCAGAAAGTGTGGTAGAGATCATGGAGAAGAGGAAATGTGAGAAAGGGATCCTCTCAGGTTGTGTATCAAGTACTGGGCTCAACCTGACGTGCTCACGCAAAAATCTTACCATAAATAAGATAACAAAGGCTTGGAAAACTGTTCTATTGGTAGATCACTGTCCAGGTTTCAGTCACAGGGCCTTGGGTGGTTTACAAACACTGTAGATCCAAATATCATTGCACCGAACAGCAGCAAAATACATATACTTTTCAAGTACATATGGAACATTCACCAACATATATTCTAGGTCCTAAAACGAACATCAAGAAATTATCAAAAATTCAAACCATGCAGAGTATAGTCTCTAAACCTACTGTAATCAAACTAGAAATAAAACAATAACAAAACAAAAGGAAAATGTCTAGACATTTGGTTGTTAAACAGCACTCTTTTAAACAAGCCTCTTAAATCAATGACCTAAACAGCGGGTCTAAGAGAACGTCTCAAGGAAATAAAAAATGCACTGAACTCAATGAAATTGCAAATGCAACATATTAGAACTTGGAGGATGCAACTGCAGCAGTGTTTCAAGGGAAAATTAGAGCGTTTAATGCTTAGATAAGAAATAATACAGCTCTCAATGCAATAGTCTAAGCTTTTCATCTTAATTAAGAAAAAAAAAACAGAAAAAAAAGGTAACAGCAGAAACGAATGAAATGAAATGTGAAAATAAATAGAGAAAATCAAGGAACCCAAAAGCTGGCTATTTGAAAGAAACAATAAAATTCAGAAAGCTCTAGACAGACAAAGTAAAAAGAAAAAAAGAAGAAGACACAGATTACCAGTATCAGGAATTAAACGGGAGATATCATTACACATATTGTGAAAATAGAAGGATAAAAGGAAATAATAAAATCAAATTTATTTACTTAAATTCAAGAACTTAGATGAAATTGAATAATTCCCCCAAAAATCAAACACTACCAAAATTCACCCTAGAGAAAACGAAAAATATCAAAAGAAGTAAAACTAATGAGGAAATTGATGCCATAGTTTAAATTTATTTGAAAAAGAAACCTATGATTCAGATGGTTTCCCTGGTGATCTCTCCCAAATGTTTAAATGGAATTAACACCAATTCTACAAAATCTATTCCAGAAAATAGAAGAGGAAAGAATATATCCCAACTCATTTTACGAGGTTAAGATTACCCTTGTATGAAAACAAGGCAGGACAGTACACAAAAAGGAAAACTATAGACCAATACATTTTGAGAACATATAATGATGACATAATCCCCTCCACCCAAATACCAGCAAATGCAATCTAAGAAATCTATAAAAAAGGATAATGCACCATGACCAAGCAAGGTTTATTTAAGGAATGCAATGCTAATTCGACACTTCACAACTGAAACAAAGCGAACCACAATGTAAGCCACCACACTAACAGACTAATTTGTCTGTTAGTGTGGTGACCATATCAGTTGAAGGAAAAAAAACTCTCTTTGACAATATGCAGCTTCCGTTTGTGAAAAAACCCTCAGAAAATGAGAAATAAATTAAATAAGAACTTAACCTCATAAAGGGCATATGCAAAAACACTACAGCTAATGTCCAACTTTATAATAAAATACTGAATAAAGCAAAAGAATATATACGAATAAATACAGCAAGGAGACTGGAATAAAATATATAACATCACCTCCATTCTCAGGGGCATAATTGTCTATGTATAAAATCCCAAGAAAATGCCAAAAAAATTCTACAACTAATAAATGAGTATAACAAAGTGGCAGGACACAAGGTCAATGAACACAAATGAGTCATATATCCATATAATGAAATGTAGAAACCAAATTTATAATACCATTTCACTGACACTGAAAAAAGAAATATTTATATATAAATCTAAATATTGTATATGGTCTATATGCTGAAAACTACAAAACTACAAAATGCCAATGAAAGAAATCATAGAGCACCTAAATAAATAGATAGGGACACTTTGTTCGTGGACTTAAAGATTCAACATGGTAAAGAGGTCAATCAATTCTCACCAAATTGACATGTAGGTTCAAAGCAATGCCAAATAAAATTCCAGCAGGAATTTTTGTATATATAGACAAACTGATCAAAAAATGTAGGCCCGGCGCCATGGCTCACACCTGTAATTCCAGCACTTTGTGATGCCCAGGCGGCTGATCACTTGAGGCCAGGAGTTTGAGACAAGCCTGGCCAACATGGTGAAACCCTGTCTCTATTAAAAATACAAAAATTAACCAGGCAAGGTGGCACATGCCTGTAATCCCAGCTACTAGGGTGGCAGAGGCAGGAGAATCGCTTGAACCCAGGAGCTGAGATTGCAGTGAGCCGAGAGTGTGCCACTGCACCCTAGCCTGGGCAACAGAGGGAGACTCGGTCTTAAAAAAAAAAAAAAAAAGACAACCCTCTACCCTGACAACATTTTGCAGGAGGGCTAAAGAACTAGAATCATTAACATAATTCTGGAAAGGCAGAATAAAGCTGGAAGAATCATACTACCCTTTTTTTCTTTATTCCTTTTTTTTTTTTTTTTTTTTTTGATGGAGCCGCTCTGTTGCCTAGGCTGGAGTGCAGTGGCCTGATCTGGGCTCACCGCAACTTCTGCCTCCCAGGTTCAAGCGATTCTTGTGTCCCAGCCTCTGAAATAGTTGGGATTACAGGCTCCCGACACCATGCCAAGCTAACTTTTGTATTTTTAGTAGAGGTGGGTTTTCCCCATGTTGGCCAGGCTGGATCACCTCAGGTGATCCGCCCGCCTGAGCTTCCCACAGTGTTGAGATTACAGGCGTGAGCCACCGCGCCCGGCCTCATACTACCCAACTTTAAAATTAACACTAAGACTATAGTAATCAATAGAGTGTGATATTGGGTAAGGGGTAGACATATAGATCAAGGGAACTGAATAGAGAACCCAGAAATAGAACCACACAAATATAGTCCATGGAGTCTTTACAAAGAACTAAGGAAATTCAATTGAGAAATGTTGGTTCTTTCATTGAATTTTATTAGAACAATTAGACAACCATATGTTAAACAATGAATCTCTAACTAAACCTCATATTTTATACAAAGATAATATATCTAAAAGATAAATGAAAAACTATAAGCAGTTTGAAAATAAAATACAGGAGAAAAAACCTTTTTTTTTAAACATTTATTTTAAGTTCCGGGGTACATTTGCAGGATGTGCAGGTTTATTAAATAGGTAGATGTGTGCCATGATGGTTTGCTGCACAGATCAACCCATCGCCTAGGCATTAAACCCAGCATCCATTGGCTATTCTTCCTGATACTCTCCCTCCCCTTCCCCCAACAGGCCACAGTGTGTGTTGTTCCCCCATGTGTCCATATGTTATCGTTCAGCTCCCACTTATAAGTGAAACCATGTGGTGTTTGGTTTTCTGTTTCTGCGTTAGCTTGCTGAGGATGACGGCTTCCAGCTCCATCCATGTGCCTGCAAAGGACATGATCTCGTTCTTTTTATGGTTGCATAATATTCCATGGTGTATATGTACCATATTTTCTTTATCCAGTTTCTCATTGATGGGCATTTGTGTTGATTCCATGTCGTTGCTATTGTGAATAGTGCTGCAATGAACATACGTATGCGTGTGTCTTTATAATAGAATGATTTATATTCCATTGGGTATATACCCAGTAATAGGATTGCAAGGAGTCACCTTACTGTCTTCTACAATGGTTGAACTAATTTACACTCCCACCAACAGTGCAAAAGTGTTCCTTTTTCTCTGCAACCTCGCCAGTATCTGTTGTTTCTTGACTTTTTAATAGTAGCAATTCTGACTGGTGTGAGATGGTATCTCAGTGTGGTTTTGATCTGCGTTTCTCTAATGATCAGTGATGGTGAGCTTTTTTAAACGTTTGTTGGCCACACGAATATCTTCTTTTCAGAAATGTCTGTTCATGTACTTTGCCCACTTTTTTTTTTTGAGATGGAGTCTCGCTCTGTCACCCAGGCTGGAGTGCGGTGGCATTATCTTGGCTCACTGCAAGCTCCGCCTCCCGGGCTCACGTCATTCTCCTGCCTCGGCCTCCCGAGTAGCTGGGACTACAGGCGCCCGCCACCACACCTGGCTAATTTTTTTTTTTTTTTTTTTTTTGTATTTTTAGTAGAGACGGGGTTTCACTGTGTTAGCCGGGATGGTCTCGATCTCCTGACCTCGTGATCCACCTGCCTCGGCCTCCCAAAGTGCTGGGATTACAGGCGTGAGTCACTGCACCCAGCCTACTTTGCCCACTTTTTAATGGGGTAGTTTGTTTTTTTTTCTTGTAAATTTGTTTAAGTTCCTTGTAGACTCTGTATAGTGGACCTTTGTCAGGTGGATAGATTGCAAAACTGTTCTCCCATTCTGTAGGTCGTCTGTTTACTCTCATGATAGTTTTTTTTTTTTTTTTTTTTGCTGTGCAGAAGCCCTTTGGTTTAATTAGATCCCATTTGTCAATTTTAGCTTTTGTTACGAAATGGCGAATTACCGTTCTTTTCACGCAATGTCTTTTGTGTGTGAAAGATAAACATATAAACATAAGAAGTGATGTATTGCAAAGACGTTAAAGAAAACACAGATTATTGTTATGAAAATATTGCATCCTTTTTATGAATGTCAGTACTTTAAAAAGTACATATTCAATAGTGACTAGGAATTACTGACATTAATGACTGAGAGACATATTTTTAAAAACATTATCGTAAGTTGTTACAAGAGACATATAAACAACAAACTTTTGACAAAAGACATAAACAACACTATAAAAATGAAAGTTATTACAACAATTCCTTCTGCCACTATTACCTGCATACAATCCTTCCTATAAATATTAAATTCAATCATGTCATTGGGAATATGGCTTAAATATAAATATAATTTTCCTTTTAAAAATAAAAGTTATTACGTTTTCTAGAGAAAAGATTTTAAAAACAAGATAGATTATTACCTGTGAGCAATTGTATTTGAAAGTCTGAGATAAGTTGGATGACTACGCATAGTTTACTAATTGGATTTCAAAGTCTTTTTGTTTTTCTACAGTTACATGAGCAGCAAGCATGCCAGAGGCTGAGTAGAATTCATCAAAAGGCCGATCAATATTTCAAACAAACCATCTAGAGAATATGTGTTTATTTTTGGTAATCTAAACCACATTTTAAAATATTTACAATATTTTATTATAATGCTAATTCATATGCACTTCAGAGGTGTTAGAAATATTGAAAGCATAAATAAGAGAATAAAAACACTTATATTTCCATAAGCAGCAGAAAGCCATTGTTAATAGTTTACTGTATATACTCCCAGTTGTATGTAAGTATGTCTCTTTGATATGTACATGTGTTCCATAGTCTTTCAATCTGGCTTTTATTTGAGGAAGTTGATATGCTAGGGCATTTGTCAAGCAAAGATCATTTAGGTTCTAAATTTGTAGTATAGGACTCCTGATTCTGGCCAAGATGGAGGAACAGGGACCTAATTTATAAACCCATCTGAAACAACTAAAAACCAGGCAAAATATGTGAAACGGATTTTCAATTTATCGGACATTAGGCAAAGAAGACAGTGTTCTCTGGGAGATAAAAAACAAGTGAGTTGAGTCCTATGATTGCACAAGCTTACCGCCTAAAGAGACATTGTAGATCACAGTGCACAGAAGGGGATCCTGATTGTCTCTTTGAGTTAAGAACATGGAGCTGAGAGTATAGGCATGCCAAGATGGATAGTACCTGTAGGACAAAATTCTAGAAAGGAAAGAGTTTCACAGAAATAAATCTATAAAGATTATGCAGGTCTTGGAATTATTCCTGCTCCCATTAGTCAGAATGGAAAATCTCACAATTCATGGGGCATTGGTTAGAGTATACAGAATAATTTTGCTTTAGAAGTGCAACATTGACCATAGACTAAACATTGATTTTATCTCACTTAAAGTTCAAAGGCAAGATGCAGAACAATCCTTCTCTTTCCAATAAATTTAGCTGAGTTTCACAGCAAAGCTCAAGAATATTATTTATTTATAGAAACACAAAAATGCCCAGCACTCAACAAGGTAAAATTCACAGTGTCTGACATCCAATGCCAAATTGCCAGGTCTTGAAAGAAACAGAAAAGTAGGATAAAAATAAGGAGAAAAATAAATTAAATTTGAACTAGAAAAGAGACAGATGATAAAGTTAGTAGACAAGAACATCAAAAGAGTATTCCATATATCCAAAAAATAAGAGAAAACTTTAAACATATTAGTGTAGAAGATATTAAAAAAGACCTAAATAAACTTTGAAATGTGGAAGCTACAATGTATGATTTGAAAAAAAATACACTGATTTGGATTAATGGCAGATTGGACATGTAAGAAGAAAGGATTGATGAACTTGAAGATATAGCAGTAAAACTTTCCAGAATGAAACAGAGAGAGAGAAAAATAAATGAAAAAAATGAATAGAGCATTAGTGAGTTGTGGGGCAATTTCAAGTGGCCTAATGTACAGATATGTGCAGACTAAAGCACAGAAAAATGAGGGAACAGAAAAAATTTTTGATAAAATAATGCATGAAAAAGCTTCAATTTTGATGAAAACTCTAAACCCACAAATCCAAAAAGCTAAACAAATTTCAAGAACAAAAAATATGGAAAAAAAACTATACCAAGGTTCATGAAATTTAAATTACTTGAAACCAATGATAAAGAGAAAATCTTAACAGTATCAAGAGAAAAAAGACAGTTTAGCTGCAGAGGAACAAAAATAAGGATAAGAGTAGATTTCTTGTCAAAAACAATGAAACCAATTGGACACAGTGGCTCGTTCCTATATCAGCCTTTTAGGAAGCCAAAGTAGGAAGATCATTTGAGGCCAGGAGTCCAAGACCAGCCTAGGCAACAGAACAGGACTCCATCTCTACAAAAATAATGAAAAATCTTAAAAAAAAAATGTTAAATTCAAAAATAGAAATAAAAAAACAATTAAACCAAGATGAGTGTGGAGCAACCTCTTTAAAGTGGTGAAACATAAACAAAACTGTTAACCTAGAAATCTATATACTGTGAAAATATCTAGCAAAACAGAGGTGAAATAAAGGCTTTTCTGAAATGAAAAACCTTACATAATTAATCACCAGATAGGAACCACAAGAAACATTAAAGGATGTTTAAAACAAATGTTAAAGGAAGTCTTCCAGGCAGACTGAAAAATGATACCAGATAATCTGGATCTAAATAAAAGAATGAATTGCATCAGGAATTGCAACATCATGGATAAATATAATCTCCATATTATGTACATGTCTTTAAGAAATAGTTGACTATTTAAAGTAAAAATAATCATACTGTATGATGAAGTATATAACATATGTAGGAATAAAATGTGTGCCAATAATAGACAAAAGGCTAAGAGGGGAGAAATGGAAATCAACTGTTGGTTTTCACGTGTTTGACTCTTCTGAGTTCCAGTGGCTCTGGCCAGCTGTCGTCCTGTTTGTACTCAAGGCCCTAGCACAGTAGCCAGGTGGGCCTACATATGCCAGACATTGAAGTGCCGCTCTTCGTTTAAAGTGTGAACGCAATGTCACTGGAGGGGATGCTGTGAACTCCACACCCAAATTACCCTTCTCTGTTAAATAAGGAACTCGTAGGCATCACTTCACCCTTTGTCCTTAAAGGGAATTAAGCTCTACATATTTAATAGATTTTAGTTGAGATTAGGCAATCTGAATATCAGTCAAGGGGATTGTGTGCTGTACTGGGGGAGCAGAGGCAACATACATAAGAAAAATGTACCAGGCTCTCCTCTCTTGTTCAGGGTGCTTTTATGTGATCTAAGAATACTTTCACAAAAAGTGAAAATGCCCATCATGTTATTTGGTGCTGATAGGTGACAAGGTAAAGGCAGTACTAGGGACCCCTTTCCTAGAGAGTTTGAAGCAGGGCTAGGAATGAAGGTGAAGACAGGGATTGGGGTCAACGGGAATGAAGAGCCTATGCAAATCCCAAAGGGGAACGGTGAGTTGGAGGGAGGGGAGTGAGTCCCATGCTGAGAATAAAGAATACACAAGTGAGCAGGAGGATAGTGTGTTCCATATGTGTTTAGGTCAGTGCATGGGGTGCGGGGAGACAGTGAAGAGCTTGGGAAATCAGAAATGGAATTGTAGCATATACAGAGAATGGAGTTTGGAAGGTCACAAGTTTTTGGCAGTGCCTGGCAACAAAGTTGAGATTCTGTGCAGTAGAGAGAATGACATCCACACAGAGAGATGCCTGTTGTAGGGCATGAGAAAGTCCATATCTGAGGAAGGGCATTTTGCACAGAGCTGCCCCAGTAGTGCTCAGGGGTGTCAGGGTGGCCCAATGCTCTGAGGGAAGAAAAGGTGCTGGGTGGACAAGACTATGGGATTAGAGTCCTCACTTCATCCACACTGCTCTGTCTTCCCCATGTTCATGGACTGGAGTTTTGTGGAAGGCTTCCATTGGAATAAGGGTTTGCACATCTAAAATTTTGAAAACCACTTTCCACCAACCAGATACAGAATACATCATGAAGTACTGACCCCCAGGTACTTGGACCTGGGATTGCTTCTTTCCCCTTGCTCTGGTTGTCATGATCATCTTTATTTAGTTACTATAGAGAGGCCAGCTGCCAAAAACAGCACACTATGTTAGAGGAGATAAGTGTCTGGGTATTAGTAATTATACACTTAATCTTGGACGACAGATGCCAAGAGCACTAAAAGTAACATGATGTAACAGATACGACATTGAAAATATGATATATAAATCTATATACAACATAAGCCACCTCAAATATATATGCAACTATATGTATTCACGCAAATGTATTTACACATATGTATATGTTTATACAAATGTACATTTATATACATAAATATATACATATATTTGTACATATACATACGTGTATACATGAAGATATACATATATCTTTGTATATATGTATATATACACGAATATGTATATACGCAAATGCATACACACATATATAGGAAGCACTCTCTATTTGGATTTCTGGAAGTGTTCTTCCTCCCTTTCCAGCCTCCTGTACACTTCCTTCCTTCATTAAGCTTAGAGTAATTTTGATTACCAAATAAATGTGTTTTCAAGAGACAGAATGACGTCACGTAGCATGTAAGCCAGTATCTACACAATAATCACTTGATTTTACCTTAACCTATAGCCTCAAAATACTTCTACTCATGCAGCCAAACCTAATGTCCAGCCCTGGCACCTATCCAGATAGACAGACCCATTTTCCTACTGCTCATGCGACAGCTCCACATGGACAGGCTACAGCACCTCTCTGACTGCATAATACACACAGATCTCATCCTCCACACTCTTCCTCATCAAGTCATCACCAACTTTTCCTCCTCCACTCTCACTCTCAACTAAGGGCACAGCATCATCTAGAAATCAGATCAATAGAGATTCTCTCCATCAGTTCCCAGTCCCTCACTTCCTAAAATGCTCACATGTCTTTCCACCTCACCATCTCCCCTACACCCCTCACACAACGAATTAAGGGCCTAGCCACTTCCTTTTGTTTTGTAGAGTTAGTGTGTCCTCAGCATATGTTCAATAAATGTTTGCCGGATGAATGAATGCATGCATGAACCAATGAATGAATGAAATTACCAGGCATGGGAATTCCCTAATTCAAATCTTGGAATCTGCCCCACCTGGGCCTCCTGCCTCCATGAAGAAACACATAGTTCCCTCACCTGTGCTCACTTGAGGTCACAGTTCTCATGGAAACTACAGCTGAGAGTGTCACTGTGGACACCTCCTCCCCAGGGCCAAACACTGACATGGAGATGAGGATGCTCCCAACAGGACCAGTGCATGATACTTCCTGCATTGGACCACGCAAGTCCATGTCAGCTTAACAATGGAGAGTGCCATTTCCACGGGGGTTCCATCTAACCTTCCCATGTCCAGACATTGGACCAGCCCTCTACCCTAGACAGTGTATGGTTGAAACATAGGCCAGCGATCACAGCCCCAAGACTTCCGCCCCCTTGCGTGCCAAGATCTCAGAAGCCACTGGAGTCCATGGTGTTCCTGGCCCATCTTGGCTGTTGGTCATCAGTCAGCAACCCACTCACATAGCCCAGCCTCTATGAAGGGTCCACAGGAGATAAAACACCAGCCCCCAGTAGGCATGAAGACAGCACTCAGCCCTGAGACACTGGCAAGGTTGCAGAGGAGCATTGGAGTGGTCAAGAGAGGTAGCTCACCCAGAATGATGCAGGGAGCCAGCCATACTCTTCCTGACAGAGGGAAGGTGATTCTGAGGGAGGGTACAGTGTCCTGCACGCCACTGGTGCATTCAGCCAACAAGCCTGTCCATTCAGATCACGTGGCCCCTTCCAGTTGGTAATGATGGTCCCTGGATTTCCCAAGCCTATTCTTGTTCATTGTCCTGTTCTCCCCCTCCCTTCCCCCTTCTTTCCCTCAGGTCCCTGCCCCCACCAGGCTGAACTCTGGATTCAGAGCTCTGATTGCCAGCCTGCCTGGGGCTCTGTGGTCCTGGTTTCGCATATGGTCTCTCTCATGGACTCTGGCAATTGCTCTCCCCTGGATCCTCCCAATGCCCCTCACGGGCTGAGGGTCTCCTGTCTCTCTCCTTCCTAGGCTCTTGTTCATTCTGACCAAATCTTTCTGAAAGGAGAGGAGAAATCTCCTGTCCACATATCAGAATTTCAAATCATTTTTAATTTTTTAAAAATGTTAATTGGTACAGCATTTTTGCAATGAAATTTTAGAAATATTTATAAAATGCTAAACTATTTATACCCTTTTCATTTTCACCCAACGTCGATGTTAATACATTTCTTATAAGAAAACATTAATGTTTGCCCAATAATACATATTCGAAGATGATTTTATTCTATTCATCATACAGCAGATGGGAAACAACTGGTGTCCATTAGGAAGAAAGAGTTTAATTAATTATGGTGCATGCCTACTTTAGAATTATAGAAATTAGTTTCAAAAGAGAGATCTATATATATATACACAGTTGTGGAAAGATCCCATATCCATTTTATGAAGTGACAAAGGCTAGTGGCAGATCAATATATACATTATCATTCTTGTGTATTAAATAAAAACAATATATTGTTATAGCTTATCTGTCAATTAATAGCCTAGAGTCAGTTTTAAAATAATACATACCAGATTGTTAATTGTGGTGACCTCTAAGGAGGGGGATAAACTGTGGAGGAGTTTTGTAAAGGGGAAAATTGTGAATTATATACACTTCTATAATTTTTGCAATAACAATATGCAAACTGTTACCTTTGAAATACAAAATATTTATGCTTAACAGAAATGGTAGCTATGGTAGTTACAGTAACTGCTAGCTGATGCATCAGAGAAATGCTGAAATTTGATTGGCATGACACAAGTTTATTTTATGCATACATAATTGGTGATACAGTTTGCCAGGGGCTCTATACTCTCATGTGACCCAGGGATCCATGCTACTTCCACTTTGTGATTCCATCATCTCATCTCAAGATGAAGCTGCCATGCTTGCCATTGAAAGGAGGGAGAAAGTGGAAAATGGCACAGTCGCAATTCCTGGATGTGACAAACAATGCTTCTGCTCATGTTTCAGTGGTAAGGGGTTGTCACACTACTCTTCCTAACTGCAAGTGGACTTTACTGTTCCCATGTGTCCAGACAGGAGAGGAAGACAAGATGTGGGTAAGTAATATAGCTTCCCCCATAAACTGTTACATAGTAAGTGCTCAATAAAAAGCAACTATTATAATTTGGTGTTACACAATCCATCTCATTTCTAGGAGGAATTTCTAAGAAGGCCAAATTTGCCTTGAAGTTCTCCAGTTTGTTCAAGGGTCTAGTATGTCACAGATGCTTTCTAATATAGGATCACAACTGTCCAAGAATCTTGAAGTTCTCAGCAGGAAGGCTTATCTTTGCAACACCCTTTATTTTTTTAACTTTTATTTTAGGTTTGAGGGTACATGTGAAGGTTTATTACATAGGTAAACACGTGACACAGATTTGTTATACAGATTTTGTCATCAAGGTATTAAGCCCAGCACCGAATAGTTATCTTTTCTGCTTCATTCCCTCCTCTCACCCTCCCCTCTCAAGTAGACCTCAGAGTCTGTTGTTTCCTTCTTTGTTTTCGTAAGTTCTTATCATTTAGCTCCCACTAAGTAGGCTGAGAATTTTTTCCTCCATTTGATTCTTGATAGAAATCATAACCTGTGAGTTTCTGCTACTCTGCACATGACTGAACACCTGTCAGGCGCCTCTAGGCACACTGAAAGCCAGTATTTTTCCATGGAGCAATTAAACAGACAAGAGGCAGTAGAAGGCTGCTTAATTATTCCTTTTTCATCAAAGCTGACATGTATTCCAAGGAATTAGGTTTCACCTCCTGGGGGACTCCAGAGATTTAGGAATTTAGCCTCAGTAAGTAGATGTTTGTTCCACTGGGATTTCCAAAGTGTTTCCTCACCTAATACTCATGAGGGAAGCTTTGGTTTTTGACCATTCATCTGTGCATGTGTTCAGAGGTGAATTCCAAATCAAACACCCTGTAAAAGTCTGATTGCAAGTATCAAGGTGGTTCCAAACTTCGTGTAACTTCAGGGGGATATCCTGAGAACTAACAGATAATATGGCAAATCAGACCCTACTCAATCCCTTAGGAAAACACTTGGAGACTGTGTCGAAGATAACCAGAGTGGTACCCAGGTGTCCAAAAGTCACTGTCCCATGTGAATGTTTATATCAAAATGGTTGTTGCTATCACATGGCTTCCTGGGTGAGAGATGGGACAGCCAGAGGACTTCTACAGGGAGAAGAAACGCTCCCTGTCAGGAGGAGAACAGGTGATTCTAGGCTGTTCTGTGGGGACCAATGACAAGCTGGTCAGCAGGCCAGGTTCCAGAGTCAGACAAAAAATATGGAAGGGACCAGGGGAAATGTGCTTTAATTCCGGAAAGTGCTGGGAATGGACAGAAATGGCCACATCTGGGCAGAGTCAGGTCTTGAGGAACCCAGCATACACCAGTCCTAAATGGTGTTTGATTCTCATTGCCACCTCCAGGTCTGCTTTTAGTATGTTGTGCTCAAGGTCCTTCTTTTTGTCACCTGAGCGACATGGTGCAGTGCTGAGAAACGAAATGAAGTAGCAGTCAGGAGGTCAACCTCGGGCTGGGGGGAGTGGGAGCTGCATGGGCTCTAAAGGAATTCACACCAGGGGTCTGGTTCCAGCCCTGTTCCTTACTAGCCACGTGATCCTGGGAAATACCCAAGAAATACCCTGTTATTATGTCCCAATTCACAAGCCCTGTGAGCCTTGATTCTTTATCTGTAAGCAGATGTGATAAGCCCTGTCTAGTAGGACAGTTGGAGTGTGTGCAACGTAGGTGAAGCACCTGGCTCAGGGCCTATTGTAAATTAGGAGTTTAAAGAGTGGCAGATGCCTGTTATTTCTAACATTATTTGACCCCAGGCCCTAGGACTCTGGGATTTTGCTGTTGTCATTCTTCTCCGAGACTTATCAGAGAACATAGAGCTCAATAGGACATGGAATAATTAGACAAAAAATGAAGTTTCATCCATAAAATTCAGTAAGTGGTTACCTCTTAGAAAATGTACTTCAAAATTTGAGTATGCGGGAGTTTTTCCCAGCCAGATGCAGCTCAAAGCTCCTTGAATTTGAGTCAGAGACTAACTGTTTCCCTCGCTCCCAGATGCTTTTCCATGCAAATCACTATTTTCATTCATGTTTTCACCACTTTGCTTACAACTGGTCAAATTGCACTTGAGATAATCTAATTAAAATTCATTTTTAATAGAGTCATCTCTAGTTCTCCCAGTCAGGCAGAAAAGTACCTGGCCAGTGGCTTCTGGGTCTCCTTTCCAGGGAGATTTATGCTTCTCTCTCAGGAAATGCTTTCAGATGATGAGTGTCCATCACCTAGCTCTTGCACTGTGTTCAACAGCACTGGGACTAAAGCACAAGATACTTTCCATTCCTGCCCCACTCCTCTCTGTTCATCCACCATCAAAAAAGAACTGTTCAGTTTTCCATTATGAGCTTTTCTCACACTCTCTGAGAATCTGGCCCTGGACCCCCCCCCCCCCCCCCGCCGATTCATTAGAATCAGCTCCCTCCGAAGAAACTGCAGTTTCCCAAAGTCCAAAAGGCCCCACACAGGGCATTTACCTCTGGACCACTCTCACCTGGAGCCCCACACCCTCACCCCTTTCTTACTTTTTCTCTACATCTTAGAGGGCACCTCTCCACCTTAATTATATGACTGCTGCTCCTAGACTTTACTACCCTGTGGGTAGGGGTGAGTCTGGCTTACCTTAGCATCTCCACTATTAACCCAGGGCCTTCCACAGAGCAAATGCTCAGTGCATAGAGAATAAATGAGCCAGTGAACAGGGAGAATGATTTATTCAGATTTAATTTGTCTTACATTCTCAAAGAAGCCAAGGAAATCCAGGTATGCACATTTTTTAAAAAAAATTTTACCGAGTAGACTGAGTATAAGGCAAGAATTAAATATCTTTTAATTTCTTTATGTCATCAGTTTTACTGCTCATTCACATTTCTAAATGAATACTTATTCCACTGCTGTAACTATGTCCCAATTCACAAAATGGAATGGATTTCCCAATCTGAATAAAAAACAAGACTCTTACTCCTAAACTATATAAACAGCACTATGTGTGACTACTGTCATTCATAAATTTGAATGCTGAAGTTCATTCAACCACCCATTAAAAGGAACATTTGAACAATTCCAAAAGGAAACAAAGACAAATCTCAAAGTCATCCAATAGAACAGAAACCCACTACTAAGAATGTTGACTGCTCTCTTCAAAGAGAGAAGAATGGGCCTCATGTCACATTAAGGCAGGGGAAACTAGTGGACGGAGCCCTGGAAGGT
The DNA here is from genome assembly GCF_000001405.40 of Homo sapiens. Classification (NCBI taxonomy): domain Eukaryota; kingdom Metazoa; phylum Chordata; class Mammalia; order Primates; family Hominidae; genus Homo; species Homo sapiens. The sequence goes on from NC_000023.11 coordinate 152,114,553, forward strand.
GCACTGGCCCAGCCCCCCTCGCAGTGGCCCTGGCTGCAGCTCATGCTCAGACTCCCTCTTCCTCCTCTCTCAAAGCTGCTTCATGCAGGGATGGGTAGGAAATGAGAACTCTTGCATTGACCCTGACCACGTGCTCCAGTACTTTCAAGCAGCGAGTGCCCTTGGACCCCACAGTAACTCATAGCATATGGGATCACTGCTGGGCACCTGCCGGTACTCCAGGTAGTTTTCCTGCACCAAATCTTGGGTGAGCAGCTTCCTGGGCTCCCCACAGACACTGTGCTCCCTCCCAACATACACCTTCATCACACTCAGCTCCTCCCAGATTTTCTCCTCAGGGACGCATTTGCCCTCCATTGCAATCATGCCCAAGACGATTATCAGGAGGCCCGTCTTGGGCATGATCTGATTATTATCAACCACCAGGCCATCATAGGAGTCCCAGGCAGGTGACAAGGGTGTAGGTGTTGCTGGTGGGGTCCGCTTCCTTCACGTCAATGCCAAAGACCAGCTGCAAGGACTCGGAGGCTTTGCCGAAGATCACAGGAAAGCAGCGCTTGTAATTTTTGATGACTCTCTCCAGCATTTCTGCCTTTGTGACCGGCTCCTTGACTTAATACTTGAGGAGCAGAAAATGAATCAAGTCAGCCACCTTCTTACTGAGTGCTGCTCGGAACACAGACTCTGGGTCAGGGGAGGTGCTTGGCCCCTCCTCTTCTTGGTTGCTGGAGCCCTTAATGGATTGCCTCCATAGAGTGAAATCGATGGCAGTGGGGATGGCGGAGGCTCCCTGAGGACTCTTGAGAGGACCTGGTGACCCAGCAGCAGGCACCTCCCCCAGGGTGCCTGGGACCAGAGGAGAGGAGGAGGACACAGCCTCCTGCTCCTCAGTAGTGGCAGCCTGCACACCCACCAGGCCCAGGGCCTCTTCTTGGGTGTCAAGGCCTTCCTCAGGCTTGCAGTGCTGACTCTTCTGCTCAAGAGACATGACGACTCTGGTCACCGCAACAGGCAGGAGTGTGGGCAGGAGCTGGGCAATGGAGACCCACTGGCCTGGAGAGAGAGGGAGCATGTGAGAAGCCTCAGCTAAAAACTGAACCTTGGAGGCTCTAACAAAGGCTTACTTACAGATCTTCTCCTTTGGTGCTCCTCTAGGGCCTCCTGGGGATCCTCTGGAGCTTCCTGGTGATCCTGGTCAGCCTGTCCCCTGAGAACCTGAAGGAAAAAGTGAGAGGGCACCTCAGGGTACACAAGCAAGCAGAGGCTGATTCTGCAGGACTGACAGTAGAGAGGGTGAGGCCAGGTGCTCTGGAGTCCCATATGTTCTGGGGCGATGGGGGCCATTAGTGTGCATTCAAGGCAAACGTTCACTGCTGGCACTAGACGTCTGCATCTCCTCTGCTCTGTGACCTGAGGGCACGGCCTCAGACCAAGGCCTCAGTGTCTGTTTCCTGGAGCTCCTGGAAGAGGAATGCATGGGCCCTCAGGGTGCAGACTGCAAGCACAGCCTCAGGCCCCCAGTGCTAACAGGAGGGTAGGCTGGAATCTGTGAGGTCTCCACCCTCTTGGGGTGAATGGTCCCCTCTGTGCTCACACAGGGCCCTCACCTTTCTCCTGGCAAGGCCTGGATCCCACCCTTTTGCTGGCCTGAGAAACTCAGATTAAGAGCTCACATCCCTGATAGGGAACAGGACATGAGGAGACTCACATCTGGCCACACGTGCCCAGGTCCTCTTGGGAAGGACAGGAAGAGATGCTGAAATGCATTGGAATTCATGTGTCCTGGGTGAGGAACCTGCTTCGTTCTTACCTTGTCTCCTGGCAGGGCCTAAGACGCTCCCTCTACTGACCTGAGTGCAGACCCCTCGACAAAGACCTCCCCATCCCTGACACCAATGATCCCAGGGTAAGTCGGGGGGACTGCAGCAGACAGCCCTGCCCATGCTCTCTGGAGTGACAGCAGGGGCAGGGCAGATTTCCGTGAGGTCCTCATCTGTGTTCTGGCCCAAGGGTGCCCTCAATCGTCCCTCATGTTCCTCACCGGAACTACTGACAGATCCTGGGACCACTCTGTCTATCCACCAGATGGGGGCCCCTGTGTTGACCTGAGTCATCCTCGGAGAACAAGTTCCTCACCTCCCCGAGATCTGAAAACAGGAATGAGATGGAGCTACATCCTGTCACCCCCACATGGGGTGTCCAGGTATGACCCCTTTGGTTCTGGGGTGAGTGTTTCTATGGCCTCCTGTGGGTTACTCTTCATCGTGATGGGGCCTGCCATTCCTCAACCTGAAACCCCCTGAGATGAGCAGATAGCTCCCCTTTACTGCAAGACCCCATCACCCTGAGGGCTCTTCAACTTCTTTCCTGTGGCACAAATGAGGTTGGCACATAGGGCTATCCTTGATTTGGTCCCCTCTGAGCAAAAATCAGGGGACAGCCAGACTCTGTGGGGTCCCTTCTTTCTGAGCCAAGGTATCCCCAATCTTCATGAATGGGGCACACATTGGGGCCTGCAGATGCTGGGACTCCTCCCTCTGCTGACCTGAGTCACCACTGCTCTGACCACAGCCCTCTCCTCTTTGTCACCCAGAAGGTGCAGCAAGCATGGGCTACAGGTGGCCACTGTGCACTGGACCTCCCAGGGCAAAGGTCCCCATTGTTCTGGACTCAAAGGTACCCTGAGTCCTCCCTCTTCTTCCTCTCCTTGATCCTGGCAGGGTTGGGCCCCACCCTCTGCTGACGTGAGTCTCCATCCCTCTGATTCCCGAGGATGAAAGAGGAGGCGCCTCAGTCTCAGACAGGGTTGGAGTGGACCCCCTATCCTGAGGACCTGGGTTCCCTGAGGCCTCCCTTTACTCCCAGCAGGGCTTGAGGAGCAGAGACTCCCCTGAGGCCCTGCTCATGATACTAAGCCCTTTCCCTCCTTCAGCCCTGGATGTGGACGTCAGAATGGGTGTGCCTGTCTGTCATTCCTGGGGCTTCTGTGGGTTGACTGCAGGGAAAGAAACAGATTCTGCCAAGATGGGGTAGGGTGTGGGGATGGGGCTGGGAATGCAAGTAGAGTGGGTATGGGGTTAGGGATGGGTATAGGGGTTGGGGTGGGGGCCCTCAATTCTCTCTCAGGGTCCTGATTTTGATGCCTGACAGAGCCTGGCCCCTGCCCTCTCCTGACCGGCCCTTCCCTGGTCACACCAAGGTCTGACTCCAGAGTCCCTTGTGGCTTAAGTGGCAGTGGGGAGGGGGGAAGGTCCAGCCTGAGAAGTCTGCCCTGGGTGGTCCAGGGCTGGCAGCAAAGGTAGTACTGGATTATTTGGGGTTCTCTATCTGGGTGAGGGCTTCCTCATTCCTTCCTCGGGGGTCTCACCTTGCCTCCTCACAGAGCCCGGGCCCATTCCCCTCTGCTGATCTCAGTCGGCTTCTCAGAACCATGCCCTTGATTCTCTCTGACCCGCAATGCACAAGTCAGCAGCATCACATCCGGCCCCCTAGGGCTTCCCTGGGTTGAAATCAGGGGCAGAATCGGATTCTGCCAGGATAGGGGTGGGGGATGTGGGATAGAGGTGCCGGTAGGGATGGGGTGGGGGAATGGGGGGTGTAGGTGGGGGACGGAGGTAGGGACAGGAATAGAGTTTGGCGTGGGGGTAGCCTCAGCTTTCCCTTAGGTTCCTGACGTTGTTTCCTGGCAGAGCCTGGGAGCTGTCCTCTCCTAACCAGTCCTGCCCTGGTCATACCAAGCTCTGTCTCCTGAGTCCCCTGCGGCTTAAGCGGTGGGGGACTGGGGGTGGCCCAGCCTAAGGAGTCCTGCCCTGGATGGTCCAGAGCTAGCAGCAGGAGAGGTGGCACTGGATTATTTGGGGTCCACTACCAGGGGTGGGATACTCCTTAGTCCTCCCTCAGCATCTCACCTTGCATCCTCACAGAGCCAGGGCCAGCTGCCCTCAGCTGATCTCCAGCTGCCCCTGAGAGCGAGGCCCTTGCTTCTCTCCGACCTCAAATGTGCAAGACAGTGGCACCACATCTGGTCACCCAGGGATTCCCTGGGTTGAAAGCAGGAGCAGAACCGAATTCTGCCAGGGTGTGGGGGGGTGGGAGGGTGAGGAGGAGGGTCAGGGGTGGGGAAGATGGGAATGGTGGGAGTAGGGATGAACGTGGTGGGGAGTGGGCAGGATAGGGTTTCTGGTGGGGGATAGGGGTTCTGGTGGGGGATGGAGGTGGGGATGGGGATGGAAATGGGGATGGGGTGGGGGATGGGAATGGGGGTTGGGGGCCCTCAGCCCTCACTTAGGGTCCTGATGTTGATGCCTGGCAGAGCTTGGCCACTGCCCTCTCCTAACCAGCCCTGCCTTGGTCACACGAAGCTCTGACTCCAGAGTCCCTTGCGGCTTAAGCCACAGGGGCTGGCAGGGTGCAGGGAGTGGCCCAGACTGAGAAGTCCGCCCCCAGGTGGTTTAGGGCTGGCAGCAGGAGTAGTGCTGGATTATTTGGGGCCCTCTATCTGGGGTGGGGGCCTCCTGAGTCCTCCCTTAGAGTCTCACCTTGCCTCTTCACAGAGCCTGGACCCACTTCCCTCCACCAATCTCAAGCCGCCACTCAGAGCGAGAACTTCGCTTCTCTTTGACCCCCAACGCCAAGTCAGTGGTGTCACATCCGGGCACCCGGGGATTCCCTCGGTTGAAAGCAGGGGCGAAACCGGATTCTACCAGAATGTAGGGATAGGGGGGTGAGGGTAGGGTAGATGAGGGTGGGGGTGGGGTGGGATGAGAGTAGTGGGGCCTGGGGAGGATGGGGGTTCTCATGGGGGATGGGGTTAGGAGTGTAGATGGAAATGGGGATGGAGTGGGGGATGGGAATGGGGGTGGGGGGCCTTCAGCCCTAACTTAGGGTCCTGACGTTGATGCCTGGCAGAGCCTGGGCCCTGCCCTCTCTTAAGCAGACCTGCTGTGACTCCAGAGTCCCCTGCGGCTTAAGTGGCAGGGTTGGCAGGGTGCTGGGGGGTGGCCCTGACTGAGAAGTTTGCCCCTAGATGGTCCAGGGCTGGCAGCAGGGGCGAAGCTGGATTATTTGGGGCCCTCTATCTGGGGTGGGGGCATCCTGATCCCTCCCTCAGCCCTCACCTTGCCTCCTCACAGAGCCTGGGCCCACTTCCCTCCTCCAATCCCAAGCCGCCTGTCAGACCAAGAAGCTCGCTTCTCTCTGACCCCCAATGCGCAAATCAGTGGCGTCACATCCAGGCCAGGGGCTTCCCGGGGTTGACAGCAGGGGAAGACCCAGATTCTGCCAGGATGGAGCTATAGAGGGGTAAGGGTTGGGGAGATGAGGGTGGGGATGGGGGAGGGATGAAGATGGTGGGGACTGGGGAGGATGAGGGTGCTGTTGGGGAATGGGGGTGATGATGGGGTTGGGAATGAAGATGGGAATGGGGATGTGGTAGGGGATGGGAATAGGGAAGAGGGGCCCTCAGCCCTCCGTTAGGTTCCTGATGTTAATGCCTGGCAGAGCCTGGACGCTGCCTTCTTCTAACCAGCCCTTTCCTGGTCACACCAGGCTCTGGCTCCAGAGTACCCTGGGGCTTAAGCCACGGGGGGCTGGGGGCGGCCCTGCCTGAGAAGTTGGCTGGCAGCAGGAGCGGTGCTGGATTATTTGGGGCTCTCTATCTGGGGTGAGGTGTCCTCAGTCCTCTCTCAGCGTCTCACCTTAACCCCTCACAGAACCTGGGCCTGCTTCCTTCCACCGATCTCAAGCTGCTCCTAAGACCAAGAACCTGGCTTCTCTCTGATACCCAATGCGCAAGTCAGTGGCATCACATCCGGGCCACCTGGCGCTTCTGTGAGTTGACAGAAAGCGGGGAACCGGATCCTGCCTTAATGTGGGTGGGGGTGGCGGTGCGGGGTGGCAGTCTTGGTGTTGAGTATGGGGTTGGGGGTGGCAGTGGTGATCATGGCACTGTGGGTCGTGGTGGGGGTGGGAGTGGGGGTGGGGAAGCCTGCCATTCCTCAGGGTGCTGACGTTGATACCTGGCAGAGCCTGGGCCCCTGTTCTCTGTTGATTGTGTCTGCTTCCCTCAGACCAAGTTTCTGACTCTGAGAAATGTGGTCAACGTGACAACATTGCCAGGGTCTTCCAGGGCTGACAGGAGGGGCTGAGCTGGATTCTGTGGCCCCTCACTGTGGGGGTGGGTGGACCCTCAGTCCTCACTCAGGAGAGTCCCCCTCCTGGCTCCTGGCTCTTTGATGAAGTGATGGGTGGGAGATGCTCTGTTTCTGTCACCTCTGAGCATTTGCCCAGCCGCACCCCCTGCAGAGCATGGTTGCGGGTACCAGGCCAGATGGTCCCTGGGGAGCTGCAGCACCCGTGATTGTAATGACCTCTGGGAGAAGACACACATCTTCTCACCGGGGTTCCTCCCCAACCAGAGCTAGACTTTGCAAACTTTTTGTCCTAAATGATTCATTCTCTCCATCAAAGAAATATGTTTTACATATTTTCCAAGTATATATGTAGGTAGCAATATATATATTTATTTATGTGAAAGAATACGTACCCTTAGTATGCATGATTCACTCTGACATTCTATTCTGCTTCTGTTCCATTGTTTATATTCTGTTGAAACAATATTTTAAAACGCAAATCCTTTCCCACTATGTTGGTTACAGATCGTTATTAGCAGACCTCCGGAGCCACACTGCCTTAACCAACACAGTTTTCCTGGAGTTCTGGTTTTACTCTGGGGCTACTGACATTGTGTTTTGAGGTGGTGCTTCAGATTGTGCAATGAAGTGAGGTGGAAATTTAAAAATGTTCATCCTATTCGTTCAGTCATCTGCCGTATAGGCAGGCTGCAGACCTCCCCTACATCTCTGCTGCTGACCCCCTTCCAGCCAACACTGTCCCAAACACAAGTACCAGTTCAACACAGTCTTCAGTCTCATCCAGGGTTTTCTCTGTTTTGTTGCTTAGATTTTATTGCTGATATTGTTTTTTTTTTTCCTCTTTCTTTTTCCCTTCTATAATTTTCCAGGGTTGATTTGGGAAGCAGAGAATAGCCGCCCAAATTTGATTGTAATTTTGGCGGCTACAGGTAAGGCACTAAATTGTAAATAATTTAAGTATAATTGACATTTTTACAATGTTCTGTTCCCCATCAATGAACAGGTTATGCTCCTCTTTATTTCAGACCCTCTTAACCTGAATCTATCAGTATACTTTGATAGTTGCCTCTAGAAAGACCTTATACATTTTTGTTAGGGTTCTTTTCAGGTTAATTCTTGGATTTTGTTACTACTGCAAATGGCATATTTTCTATTGTTTGTTCTAATTAGGTATTGCTTTCGCATGTCAAAGATTTTGACTTTGCTATAGTAATGTTACACACCTCTTTCTGAAAGCCCATTCACCTGAATATTCCATTTGCCTATTCCTTTGAATTTTCAAGACCGATAATGACATTATCACTAAACATTATGTATTTTTCCAATATTCACAACCCTTATTTATTTTGATACTTATAGCTCTGACTTTGTGTCTCAATGATGATTTAAAACATAGAGATAATAGCCTACATCTACTTCTTGCTCCTGACATTAATGATAATTCTTTGAACGTTTCACATTTAAGTATGTTTGCTGTTGATTTTAGGAAATAGAAGTTATCTTTCAATATAGGTTAACTAAATATTTTTACCATGAACTCATCGAATTTCTTTCAAAAGCTTTTTCTGTACCCATTAACACAATCAAATTTTTTTCTACTCTATTTTGTATGTAAAGAATTACAATGAAACTTTTTTTCCTAATGTGGAATCATATTGTCTTTCCTTGGGCAGAGCCTGTTTGTTCATTTAATATTCTACTAATTTACATAGAATAATTGCTGCTATGTAACAGAGCTTGCTTGATGTGTTTTTTATATCGGGGTGGGAGGTGGTCCTCATCTGTTTTTTGAATCCAAGAGGGCTCATCTGGGAGAACAAAGTGAACAATTGCCTATATTTTGTGTGCATTGGAAGAGCTGAGATAAGATGGTGGTTAGTTTCCCCTGATTATTTAGTAGAATCGGCCTCCAAAACTGACTAACATGGAACGTTTGAGGGTGGCTTGAGCTTTGAATAGTTTGAGCTTGTATAGTTTCAGTTTGTAAAGTTTAATTAAGGTTTTCTTTTTGGATCAATTTGGTCACTTGGTCACTTATTTATTTATTTCTACAAAGTGATCAGTTTCACTTATGATTTAACTTTTAGTGGAATGATATTTATGATAAAAAATGTTTTATTAGGGAAAGCCTCAAACATACAGATTAATAGAGAGACTAATATAGTGAACCCAGTGTAGATGACTCTCAGCATCAATAACCTTAACTACACGGCAAACCTGTTTCCAGTTAGACACTCACCTACCAGCACCTAAGCTGCTGGAGTAACGTGGAGCAAGTCTAAGACATCATACGATTTCATCTCTAAATAATTCAATATGATATTTTTAAAAGATAGGGACTTTGTATTAAACAAAAACCCAATATTATTTTCATTTCTAAAAAGTAAATAAATGATTATCAAATGTTCAACTGTTTTACACACTTACCTGGTAGACTTATACTTTATAAAAATTGTGTTTCTTTGTATGAGTACCCAAGTATAATATTATATAGTGATTTTTTGGTCATACTCCTTAAGTCTTCTATCATTTGTAGGTCCCCTCCACATGACCTGTTTTCTTGCCACTGTTTTGTTGTTGTTGGAAAGAAACAGATCTTGTGTTCTTTCCAGTTTTCCATAGTCTGGATTTGGCTGAATACAACACTGTGATGTCCTTTATCATATTCTTTAGCCCTCCATTTCTAGGACTACAAGATGCTCTAGGCTCATTGGGTTTATGCCCTGCCCCAGTCCTAAAATCAGCCATTTCTCCAGAGATCTGGTTCCTTTTAATAGGAAATGGTTCTAGAAATTTACATCTGGGTGCTAGGTGTGCTCATTGCTACTTTTGCTTTTGGTGTTGAATTTACAAACTTTTTACCAAACTTAAAGTAATGTAAATTTTCTCTTATTTTCTTATAGAAGTTGTATAATTTTTGCATTTTGCATTAGGTCTATGATGTAGCTTGAGTTAATCTTTGTGAAATACCTAAGGATTTGTCTAGGTTATTATTATTATTGTTGGTGTATAGATGTCCAATTTTTCATGCACCATTTGTTGGAACAACTATACTTTCAGCATTATTGCTTTGTTATAAATCACCTGAATATATGTGTGCAGGTCTATTTCTGGGCTGTATTCTGTTTTTTTAATATATGTTCTTTATCCATTCACCAAAAGAAATACATCTTGGATGCTTCTATTTTTGGTGATTATGAAATAAGCTATTGTACACATTCACATACAAATTTTTATGTAGGCGTAAGTTTTCAAATCAGTTGGGTAAATACCTAGGCGTAGGACTGCTGAATCTTATCGTAAGACTATGTTCAGTTTTTTTAAGAAAATGCCAAACTGTCTACTTCCAAAGTGGCTGCATCATTTTGCATTTCCACCATCAATGAATGAGAGTTTCTGTTGCTCCACATCTTCACTAGCAATTGGTCTTTTTTTTATCTTAGACATTCTAATAGGTGTATAGTGGTTTCTCATTTTAGTACACAATTCTCTAATGACAAAAGACGTCCAGGACTTTTACTATGCTTATTTGCCATCTGTATATCTTCTTTGGTGTACTGTCTGTTCAGATCTTCAACTATTTTCGTTTATTTTCTATTGTTGAGTTTTAAGAAGTTGTGTATATTGTAGAGACAAGTTCTTTATCACATATGTGTGCTACAGATGTTTTCTGCTAGTCTGTAGCTTCTGTTTTTATTCTGTTAACTCTGTTTTTTGAAGAGCATAAGATTTTTATTTTAATAAAATCCAACTTGGCTAATTTTTCCTTCATTGATGATACTTTTGGTGCTGAATTTTAAAACTCATCATCAAACTCAAATTTGTGTAGATTTTCTCTTACGCTTTCTTCTAGAAGTTGTATGGTTTTTGCATTTTGCATTAGATCTATGACGTATTTTGAGTTGATCTTGTGAAATTTTTAAGGATATGTCTAGGTTATTATTATTATTATTATTATTATTTGTGTCTAGATGTCCAATTGTTCAGGCACCACTTGTTGGAAAAAACTATACTTTTACCATTATTGCCTTTGTTGCAATTCACCTGACTATATGTGTGCCAGTCTGTTTCTGAGCTCTATTCTGTTTTATTAATCTATGTGTTTATTCTTTGCTAATGGTTATGTCCTCTACCGCATTCATATTTTGAATCCCTCAGCTCCAGGGTGTCTGTATTTGGAGATGGGGCCTCTAAGGAAGTAATTAATATTGAAAGAGGTCATAAGGGTGGGGCCTTGATCCCATAAGATTAGTGTGGTTATAAGGGAAGCAAGAAAGCACTCTTGTGCTTGCATGAGTTCTCTCTCTCTCTCTCTCACCCTCTCCCTCCCTCTCTCTCTCACTCTCTCCCTCCCTCTCTCTCTCTCTCCCTCCCTCCCTCCCTCCTTCCCTTTCTCCCTCCCTCCTTCCCTTTCTCCCTCTCTCCATGCACATGCACAGATGAAAGGACAAGAATGAACATAATGAGAATGGGCCATCTACAAGCTGGGAATAAGAAACTGACCCTCCAGTCCTTTATCTGTGACTTTTAGTCTCCAAAACTGTGAAAAAAAATAATTTCTGTTGTTTCAGCTAAATAATCCATGCCATTTTGTTATGGAAGCCAAAGCTGACTAAAACATAACCACAGGTTATAAAACTTTTCTTCTGTTTTCTCCTAGAAAAAAAGTATTTTTGACATTTAGGGCTATGATTCATTTTGAGTTACATTTTTGTATGGGGCAAGGTATGTGCAATGGTTAGTTTTATGTGTTAGCTTTTCTAGGCTATAGTACTCAGTTGTGTGGTCAAACACTAGCCTAGCTGTTGCTGTGAAGGTATTTTGTACATGTGATCAACATTTACAATCGATTTTAAGTAAAGCAGTTTACCTCCATAACGTGGGTGCGCCTCATCCAATCAGTTGAAGGTCTTAAAAGACCGAGGTTTCCTGGAGAAGGAATTCTACCACAAGATTGGAACGTAAAAACGCTGTGTCAGTTTCTAGCCTGCTGCCCTGTCCTACAGATTTTGGATGTATCAGACCTCATAGTCACCTGAGACAATTCCTTAAAATATCTTTCTTTCTCTCTCTCCCTTTATAGATAGATAGATAGAGTATGGATTGAAATTTAGTTTTGCATATGGATATCCAATTGTTTCAGATCAAATTGTTGAATATACTATCATTTCTTTCCTCTAATCTTCATTTGCATCTTTATCAATAATTAGTTGTCTATATATACATATACATGTGGATCCACTCCTGGACTTTATTCTCTTCCATTGATATACTGCTATAATTATGACAGTTCCACACTATACTGATCATTGCGAGTTTATAAGCCTTGAAATGAAGTAGGGTAACTCCCCCAACTTTGTTCTATTTTTTAGTTTTCTTTGACTATTCTAGGGCCTTTGCACATCTATATGAATGTTAGAGTCAGTCTCTCAATTTATATTTTAAAAATCCTGGAATTTTGATTTTTATTGCATTGAATATGTCAAAAACTTTGAGGGCAAATGACATCTTAATATTCAGTCTTTTGACTCATGAATAAAGTGTATGTCTCTGTTTACTTAGATTCTAATTAAATTTATCTCTCTAATGTTTTATAGTTTTCAATGGATAGATCTTATACATCTTCTGTCATATTTATCCATTTAATATTTATTGTCTAATGCTATTTTAAATTGCATTGTTTTTGTCTCAGTTGCCAATTGCTCATTGCTAGTGTAAAAACACAAGTATAATGATCTATATCCAGCAACATTGCTAAACTCTTATTAGTTTTAGAAGCATTTTTTTGATAGATAGAATTGTCCGTATATACTCTTATTTTCTGTAAATAAAGACAGTTTTATTTGTCCCTTTCCAATACGAAGGCCTTTTAAAAAAACTTATTACACTGGACAGAACCTCAGGCACGTTGTTGAACTATTCTTCTCAACACCACCCTTTTCCATGAACTCGTCAGTCTTAGGTTTTAGTTTCCTACATGCAAATATCCTGCGTAATTTCTGGCATGAAAATCTGCCTCATTCACTCTACACTGTTAAAATCCAAGCCTGGGTACCACATCTACTGAGATGAGCATAACCCTACAGTTGAAACAAGACACATAAGATGTCCAGTGGAGCAAATGTATTCACTGGAGTTTGACAGCCTGAATGCAGTGATTTCAGACTGGGGAAAACTGAAACCCCAGGAGACTTCTGTGGACACTTTTCCATTGGTAGGATGGGAAAGTTCCTTGGTGGTATCCAAGTGAGTGGTCTTCAAGATGCATAAGAGAAATTTTTAGGAGTGAAGTAGGATGATTCACATCTACACATATATTTAAATACAGTCAGATTACCTCGGAGAGATTTCCGGTAAGATGTACAAAAACTAGATAATGGTGGGAGAAAACAGAAGGAAGCACTGAAGTGGGGTGACTTTGGGAAAAGGCTTAGAGGAAATACTCTCTCCCTGCCATGTGACCCACCCAAGTTGAACATGGGAGGAAAGGAGCACCGCTACTCAGTTTGGGAAAGCTCTTTAGGAGTGCTAAAGAAATGTCCCCTTTTTCTTCAATCAGAGCATCCTGGCTTTGTCATCAGACTCCCCTCTTCCCTCTCTCCATACCCCTTCCCCCCTCCCACTCACGACAATGTCCTTATAGTGCTTTGTGATGTCTAAGCCCCTCACCCCTCAGAGCCACCATTGGCTGGGTAGTGGCTTGCTGATCCATCAAAGCTCACAGGTATGGCTTTATTGTCACGGTGGAAGGGGGTGTATATATAGGGAGGCCAGGAGGCATGGAGTAGACGATTGAGAGACACTGACATGGTGAAGATGACCAGGAAACCACAAACCTCCAGCCCAGGTGTCAAAGAACAACCACCTGCCAACACCAAAGGGGCAAGGAACAGGAAGGCCCCCTGTCAAACTAAGTCTATAAGTCCTATCAAGGTGAGAGAAGCTCCTCTTAGTCTTCCCCTTGACTCCTCCCTCCCAAGACTCCTACCCTGTCCTACCCTACCCCCACCTCAGCCAGTACCTCTTCTCCTGAAGCCCCTGTTCCCACCCCTCCTCCATTCTCTTCCCCAAAATCAGTCCCCTTCTGTGATCTCCCTGTTGTCCTTTCAGGTTCCTAAGACAACCAGGAAGGGAAAAGGAAACCTTTTAGGGAATTCCAGAAAAAAAAAAAACAACTCTCCCAAAAAAGATCTCTGCTTCAAGAAAACCTGAGGAAGGAAGCGAGCCAAAACTATCCAGCCCCTGTGACCAGCTGAATGAGGAACTTAATCAAAATTAGCCACAGCAGGACCAAAGCAAGGAGACCTCCAACATCCCTAGTGTCTCCCCGGGCAGCCAGTAATTTCAGGGCAAGACCAGAGAACTCAGATTTACCTGAAAAGTCTCCAGAGGTCTAACCCCAAATAAATAGCCAACAGGGTCTAGAGTACGTTTTACACCCCACAGGGTACACCCCACGGTGATCAAAATAAAAAGAACCTGTTGTAAAATGGGGTGTGTGTGTGTGTGTGTGTGTGTGTGTGTGTGTGTGTGTGTGTGTTCTAGGATGGTGGGGAGGGAGGAAGGAGGGGAGAGGTGGGAGTTTGGGAAGGGAGGAAGGTGGGATCCTCTTCAATTTCTTTAAATTCAACTTGCTCTTCTTTCTTTAGTTTCCTAGAGTGAAAGTTTTGGTTATTGATTTTATATTTTATTTTCTAATATAAATATTTAAAATATGCTATACATTTTTCCCAAGGACTACTTTAGCTGAATCCCTCAAATTTTTGTATGTATATTTTTATTTTCATTCAATGTAATGTATATTCTAAAATTATCCTAAGAATCCCTCTTTGATCCATAGATTACTTAGGAGCATATTTTAAAATTTACAACATTTGAGCATTTTTCAGTTATCTTTGTGTTTGATTTTGAGCTTAACTACATTATGGTCTTCAAGAAGCATCTTAAAGAATATGCTTTTTATTATTTCTAATATTTTCAATTTGTAAGGTTTGTTTTATGGCCCAGAATACCATCTAGCTTGGTAAATATTTTATGCACACTTGAGAGGAATGTTTATTCTGCTATAGTTGGATGCGGTGTTTTTGTTTGTTTGTTTGTTTGTTTGTTTTTAATTTTAATCAGGTAATCTATATCCTTCCTGGTTTCCTGCTTACTTTTTCTCTGAAATACTGAGAAACAATTCAGAGAGTTTTGACAAATATATAGTCCCATGAAATCACAACCACAGTGAAGGCGCAAAATATATTCATCATCCCCAAAAGTTTCTTCCTGTGCTTTTGCAGTAAAACCACTCCTTCAGTAGAAGTGACCTGAGGTGAGCAGAAGTGAGCATCTGCCAACCATGAGCACTTTCCCTATTAACAAAGGCAGGTGGGCACAGAAAGTGGCAGTTGCTTTCACACACAGGCAGCATTGAGGAAGAAAATCAGATCAATAGTGTCATAGAAGGCCAGCTTACTGGCCTGGTCATAGGCTGTCCCTCCCTTTCTTGTGTAAGGCCTGCCTCCAAGTCTGGCTCTGCCTTCCTGGCCTCCCTGGCTCAAATGAGTGACTCATACCACCTCACCATCTCCCCTACATCCCCCACATACTGGATTAAGGGCCTTATCACTTTGTTTTGTTACCTCATGTTTCCTCAGCATGTATTCAACAAAAGTTTGCTGGATGAATGAATGAATGAATGAATGAAATTACCAGGCATGAGAATTCACTGATTCAAAGTGTGGAGCCTGCCCCTGTGTGGGCCTCCTGCCTCCATGAAGAAACCCACAGTTCCCTTACCTGTGCTTGCTTCATTTCAGAATTCTTGTGGAAAATACCACGACAGGGTCACTGCAGACTCCTTCTCCTCAGGCCCAAACAGTGTCTTGGAGGTGAGGATGCTCCCAACAGGATAGTGCATGATGCTTTTTGTGGGGAAAAGAAAGAGAGATCAAATTGTTACTGTGTCTGTGTAGAAAGAAGTAGACATAGGAGACTCCATTTTGTTCCGTACTAAGAAAAATTCTTCTGCCTTGGGATGCTGTTAATCTATAACCTTACCCCCAGCCCCGTGCTCTCTGAAACATGTGCTGTGTCCACTCAGGGTTAAATGGATTAAGGGCGGTGCAAGATGTGCTTTGTTAAACAAATGCTTGAAGGCAGCATGCAGGTTAAGAGTCATCACCACTCCCTAATCTCAAGTACCCAGGAACACAAACAGTGCGGAAGGCTGCAGGGACCTCTGCCTAGGAAAGCCAGGTATTGTCCAAGGATTCTCCCCATGTGATAGTCTGAAATATGGCCTCGTGGGAAGGGAAAGACCTGACCATCCCCCAGCCCGACACCCGTAAAGGGTCTGTGCTGAGGAGGATTAGTATAAGAGGAAGGAATGCCTCTTTGCAGTTGAGACAAGAAGAAGGCATCTGTCTCCTGCCTGTCCCTGGGCAATGGAATGTCTCGGTATAAAACCCGATTGTATTTTCCATCTACTGAGATAGGGGAAAACTGCCTTAGGGCTGGAGTTGGAACATGCGGGCAGCAATACTGCTCTTTAAGGCATTGAGATGTTTATGTGTATGCATATCTAAAGCACAGCACTTAATTCTTTACCTTGTCTATGATGCAGAGACCTTTGTTCAGGTGTTTATCTGCTGACCTCTCCACTATTGTCCTATGACCCTGCCACATCCTCCTCTCTGAGAAACACTCAAGAATGATCAATAAATACTAAGGGAACTCAGAGGCCTGCGGGATCCTCCATATGCTGAACGCTGGTCCCCTGGGCCCCCTTATTTCTTTCTCTATACTTTGTCTCTGTGTCTTTTTCTTTTCCAAGTCTCTCGTTCCACCTAACGAGAAACACCCACAGGTGTGGAGGGGCAACCCACCCCTTCAGCTTTTTGCATTGCATCCCACATGTTCTGTCAGTTTAACAATGAAGGGTGCCATCTTCACAGGGTTTCCATCCAACTTGCCCATGTCCACACCTTTGGCCAGCCCTCTACCCCAGACAGTGTCTGGTGGCAACACAGGCCAGTGATTGCAGTCCCAAGACACCTGTCCCCTTGTATGCCAAGAGCTCAGAAGACACAGGAGGCCATCTGAGTCAGGGACACCAGCTGGATCATTTTCAAGGCATGTCCACACAAGCCCTTCATCTGCAGAGTCTGAGCTGATTAGTCCCAGGTCACTTTTCCTCCAATTTCCCCTCCATGCAGCCCCACTACCACCTTCCACTGATCATTGGCATTCCTGGTGAGTCTCAGCTGTTGATCATCAGTCAGCAACCCACACACATAGCCCAACCTCTATGGAGGTTCCCCAGGGGATAATTCATCAGCTCAAGTAGGCATAAAGACAGGTCCCAGCCCTGGGATGCTGGCAAGGGTGCACAGGACCACTGGAGTGGTCAAGAGAGGTAGCTCACCCAGAATGATGCAGGGAGCCAGCCATACTCTTCCTGACAGAGGGAGGGGAATCTTGAATGAGCATAAGGTGTCCAACATGCCGCTGATGCATTCAGCCAACAGGCCTGCCCATTCAGATCACACAGCCACATCCTGTTGATGATGATAGTGTCCAGATTTCTCAAGCCTATCCCTGTTTGTTGCCGTGTCCTCCTTCACCACTTCCCACTTCTCTCCCTCAGGTCTCTGCCCCCACCGGGCTGAAATCTGGATTCAGAGCTCTCAGTGGCAGCCTGCCTGGGGCTCTGTGGACTTGATTTCACATGTGGTCTCTCTCGTGGACTCTGGTAATTGCTCTTCCCTGCATCCTCCTAATGCCCCTTGCCAGCCGAGGGTGTCCTGTCTGCTCTCCTTCCCCGGCTCCTGACTAAATCCTTTGAAAGCAGAGGAGAAGTTGAAAGGCCCTTTCAACATAAATTTCTACATAAATTTGACTTTGGGCACTGATATTTAGACATCTGCTATAAGAGAGATTTCCAGGAATGGGACAGAACACTCAGAGTACTTCTGCAGAGTGTAGGCATGCTCTGTGTCACAGGGTGAGCAGGCGATTCTAGGCTTCTCTACTGTGTTCTGGGCACAGCCTTTAGCAGAGACCACAGTGACAAGCTAGGCAGCAATCCAAGTTCCAGATTTGGGTAGGAGGGAACACTGGGGACAACCAGGGGAAGGGTGCTGTAATGTGGGGAAGTGCTGGCTCTGAACAGAAATGCCAGCTCCTGGGTACAGTCAGCTCTCAAGGAACCCTGGGGATTGACACAGTAGGTCCCTGGATTAATAAGGTCCACAGGCCACCCTGAAATGGTGTTTGATTCTCATTGTCACCTTCTCTAGGCCTACGACTGCTACCTTGGCCTCAGAGTCCCTATTTTTGTCACCTGAGAGACATGGTACAGTGCTGAGAAGAGAAATGAAGTACTATTCAAGAGGTCGGCCTCAGGCTGGGAGGAGTGGGAACAGCATGGGCTCTACAGGAATTCAGACCCACCAGGAGTCTGGTTCCAGCCCTATTCCTTACTAGCCATGTGATTCTGGGAAATGCCCAAGTCCTGTGAGCCTTGGGTTCTTTATCTGTGAAGCAGGTGTGATAAGCCCTGTCCATTAGGACTACTGGAGTGTGTGCAATATAAGTGAAGAACCTGGCTCAGGGCCTGGCATAGTTAGAAGTTTAATGAATGGCAGATGGCTGTTATTTCTAATATTATTTGACCTCAGACCCCACCACAGTCTTCTCTGGAATTTTTGTCATTGTTATCCAGTACATCTCAGAATATGCAGCTCAGTGGAACATGGAATCCCAAATCAGTCACAAATGTTGCTTCACATATAAAACTCAGTAAATTTTCCCTCTTAGAGGATATATTTTCAACATTTCATGTGCAGGAGTTTCTCCCTGCTGGATGCTGCTCAAAGTTCATGGAATTTGAGTCAAGTATCAACTCCTTCCCTCTCTCCAAGGTTCTTTTCCATCCAAATCATGATTTTCATTCATTTCATCACCACTCAAAATCTAGCCCTTGCTTAGTGTTGTTCAAATTACACTAAAAATAACCCAATTAAAATGTTTCTCTAATGGAGTCAGCTAACTTCTAGGCATCAATTCATAGGCTTATTTATTATGAGATCCTTATCTCTCAGGAGACCCTTGCATATGATGGGTATCTATCACCTAGTTATTTTTTTAATTTAATTAGGAGTTCAACTGCACTGAGACAAGAGTGCAGAACACCTTCCATTCCTGCCCCAGGTGGACTCCTCTCTGTTCATCCACCACCCAAAAGGAACTGCTCAGAGCAGTTTTACATCCCAGGATTTGCTCTGTCAACTATGTGAGGCTCTGACCCTGGCACCACCCAGCTTCTTTGGATTCATCTTCACCAGAAGGAACTGCAGTTTCTCAAAGCCCCAAAAGTCCTGGCTCAGAGGATGTACGTGACCACTCTCACCTACAGCCCAATACCCTCACCCCGTCTTACTTTTCTTCTGGGTCTTAGAGGACATCTTGCCACCTTGTTACTTGACTGCAGCCCCTAGACTCTACCACCCTATGGGTAAAGGTGGTTCTGGCTTAACATTTCCACTACAGACCCAGGGCCTTCCACAGACCAGATGCTCAGTGGATGTTTGGGGAAAAAATGCACTAGTGAGCAAAGGTTTCATTTATTACAGTTTAATTTCGACTTAACAAGATCCAGGGATATAACTTTTAATTTTGCAGGATGATAAACTAAAAATAATAAAGAAATAAAAATACTAACACTTAAAATTATTTTCTCTATTTTACTATTTTTTTCATATTTCCAAGAAAATTACTATTCCAATTCCATGTTATTTTATTACAGATTACAAATATGATGGAAGGGTTCCCAATTTGTTTTACAAAATAGCAAAACTGTTTCTTAAACTGGATAAACAGAAACGAACGTGTGACCTTAGATTCTGAAGCTCATAAACATTCTAGTAAAAGTAACAACATTTTAAAATACCAAGAAGAGGCTGGGTGCAGTGGCTCACACCTGTTATCCCAGCACTTTGGGAGGCTGAGGCGGGCAGATTACCTGAGGTCAGGAGTTTGAGACCAGCCTGGCCAACATGGTGAAACCCCATCTCTACTAAAAAATACAAAATTAGCCGGGTATGGTGGTGCACACTTGTAATCCCAGCTACTCAGGAGACTGAGGCAGGAGAATCGCTTGAACCCAGGAGGCGGAAGTTGCAGTGAGCCGAGACTGCACCACTGCACTCCTGCCAGAGCAATAGAGTGAGACTTTGTTAAAAAAAAAAAAAGAAGAAGAAGAAAAAGAAAATAAAATACCAAGAAGAAAAGAAAAGAAGTCCCCAGGTTATCCAAAGAAAACAGTAAGACAAAGATGTTATGCACTGTATTTTCCTCAGCCTCAGCCTGGCCCTCCACCACATACATCATTGATTTCCATTCTCATTTGTTTTCATAAATTAAAAAAAAACAAAAACATAAACAAAAACTGACATGTAATTGTAGATATTTATGAGGTACAATTTGATGTTCTGATTCATGTATATGTAGTATAATGATCAAATCAGGTAGTGTATCCATCACCTCATGCATTTATCATTTCTTTTTGGTGACAATATTGAAAAGCCTTCCTTCTAGCTGTTTTGTAATATACAATATCTTAATGTTAACTATAGTCATCCTACTGTGCAATAGAACACTAGAACTTATTCCTCCTATTTAATTGTAATGTAACTACTGCTCTACTCTCTACTTCCATGATACCAACTTTTTTTTTTTTTTTTTTTAGATTCCACATATGAGTAAAATCATGTGGTATTTGACTTGCCTTTTAAAACACAGTGAAGAATCTGTCTTACTTTATTCAGGGTAGGAGAAGCTACCTGTAGCGCTAGAACTTGCACTGGCCATGGCAGTAGTATCATCTGTGGTGGCAATTCTGTCCTGGGCTCTCTCTTCCTCATCTTTCAAAGCCTCCTCATACCACAGTGGGAAGGATCTTGGATCACTCCCATTTACCTTGGCCAAAAATTTCAGGAGACTCATCTTCCTAATTTCAGCATGAGCCCTTGGACCCCACAGAAACTCATACCGTGCAGGATCACTGCCAGGCACCTGCCGGTACTCCAGGTAGTTTTCCTGCACCCAATCTTGGGTGAGCAGCTTCCTGGGCTCCCCATAAATGAGGTGCTCCATCCCATCATACAGCCCCATCATATTCAGTGCTTCCCAGATGACCTCCTCAGGGGTGCAGTAGCCCTCTATGAAGACTATGCTTAGGATAAGTATGAGAATGCCAGTCTTGGGCATGCTCTGGACATCACTCAGCATCCCATCATAGGTGAGGCCCAGGGAGGTGACAAGGACAAAGGAGTGGCCAGTGGGATCCACTTCCTTTACATCAATGCCAAAGACCAGCAGCATGCACTCGGAGGCTTCACTAAACAACAAAGGGAAGTGGTCTTCATAATTTCTTATGACACTCTCCAGTATTTCTGCCTTTGTGATCGGCTCCTTCATTTGATACTTGAAGAGCAGAAACTGCACCAAATCAGTCACCTTTTCATCTATCTCACTTCTGGGTAAAGACTCACTGTCTGGCAGGACCTGTAGGGTGCTTGGACTCTCCTCCTTTTGGCTGCTGGAGCCCTCATCAGATTGATCTAATGGAAGGGAAGCAACGACCGAGGGGGAGGAGCAGGCTATCTGAGCACTCTGGGGAGGATTTGGTGTCTCATCATCAGCAGAAACCTCCTCTGGGGTGCTTGGTATTAGAGGATAGCAGGAGGAGGAGGAGGAAGAGGAGGAGGAGGGAAAAGAGGATGGAAAAGAGGAGCTGGTGGAAGTGGATGATGAAGCATCCTCCTCCACAGCCAGGGGAGCCTGTGCACCCTCGAGGCCCTGTGTCTCACTTTGGGATTGAAGATCTTCTTCAGGCATGCAGCGCTGACGCTTTGGAGCTCGAGGCATGATGACTCTGATCAGGGTAGCAGGTGGGAGTGTGGGCAGGACTTGGGCGATGGGGACCCACAGGCCTGGGGAGAGAGGGAGGGTGTAAGTGGCCACAGCTGAGAACCACACCCTGGAGGTTCTAACAAAGGCCAACTTACAGGTCTTCTCCTTCAGTGCTGCTCTGTGGTGTCCCACAGCTCTTGACCTCTTGCTCTCCCTGTCCCCTGAGAACCTGAAGAAGGAAGTGAGAGATGGCTCCTCAGGATGCAGCCGGCAGAGGCCAAGGCTCCAGGACTGACAGTAGGGTAGGTGGAGCTGATGCAGTGGGGTCCACTTTGTCCTGGAGCAGGTGGGGCCCTTGGTACACATTCAGGGCATGCACCTCACCTTGACTCCTGGCACTGTCTGGGCCCTTTCTGCTCTGTGACCTGAAAACACTGCCTTAGACCAAGGCCTCACCTCACAGTCCCTGGAGCTCCTGAAAGAGGAATTGAGGGGCCCTCAGGGTTCAGGCTGCAAGCACAGCCCCAGCCTCCCAGTGTTGTCAGGAGGGTGGGCTGGACTCTGTGAGTTCCCCACTACCCTGGGGTGGGGAGCCTCTGTGCTCACGTGGGGCTCTCACCTTTCTCCTGGAAAAGCCTAGACCCTGCTCCTTTGCTGGTCTAAGAAACTCTCAGATCAAAAGCTTACATCCCTGATACGAAATAGAAGACATGAGGGGACCCACATCTGGCCACAACTGCAGAGGTCCTCCCAGAAAAGACAGCAAGAGGTGGCCATATTCAGCTGGGTCCATGTGTACTGGGGTGAGGAGCCTGCTTGGTCCTCTTCTTGATGCCTGATACGACCTGGGACCCTCCCTTTGTTGATCTGAGGCCACTTCCTTAAACCAAGGTCCTACCTCCAGGAGACATGGAAAGAGGAAGTGAGGGGAGTCCATCTACCCCCAGTTCCCCATGAATTCCCGTGGCTGACAGAAGGGGTAGGGTGGGGCTGAGTCCTGTGCGTTTGGAGAATGGTGTCCCCTCAGTCCTCACCTTGACTCCTGGCAGGGTCTGGGACCCTCCCTCTGCTGACCCGAGTGCAGCTCCCTTAGACCAACACCTCTCCCTCCCAGAGACCAGTGATCCTTGTATAAGACAGGGAGACTCAGCGGACAGCCCTGACTGGGTTCTCCAGAGTGACAGTAGGGTCATGGCAGATTTCTGTGGGGACCCCATCTGTGTTATGGGCTGGGGGTACCCTCAGATTTCCCTCAGGTTCCTTACCTGGACTCTTGTCAGATCCTGCGACCCACTGTGTCTGTAGAAAAGAGGGGTTCCCTGTGTTGACTTGAGTCACCCTCTGAGAGCAAGGTTCTCACCTCCCTGAGATTCCAAAACAAAAGTAAGAAGGAGCCACATCCTGTCATCCCTGTGGGGTGTCCAGGGCTGATATCTCCCCTTTACACCAAAACTCCATTTCCCTGAGGGTTCCTCATCTTCCTGCCTGTGGTAAAATTGAGCTTGCCACTTAGTGCCAATCCTGATCAGGTCCCCTCAGAGCTAAGAACAGGGGACAGCCAGACTCTGTGACATCCCTTCTTTCTGGGCTGCAGGTACCTCCAGTCCTCACTAAGGGGGCACCCCTTGGGTCCTGCAGATTCTGGGACTCCTCCCTCTGTTGACCAAGTGTGGAACCCTGTAATAACTTCTTAGCAACCCTCAGACCAAGGTCCTCACCTCCCTGAGACCCGGCAGGCAGAAGTGGGGAGGGGCACCACACGATCACACCTGCATGGGATTCCCAAAGCTGACAGAAGGAGCAGACATTTGGCGGGGGGGGGGGGGGGGGTGGTGGGCAGGGGAGGGGGACAAGACGGGGACTTCCTTTATTTGGGTGTCCTCCAGGTATTCAGATTTACTCCCGACAGGGCCCAGCCCTTTCCCTCCTGCTGAATCGTGTATGGGTCTTGCACGCCAAAGCCACCATCTCCCTGGGATCCCCGGTGAGAAAGTGGGGGCCACTTCTCTTCCTCACCGTCCTGCCTGGGGTTCCAGAGCTGATAAGAGGGACAGATTTCCTAGTTCTGAGATGCGGGGATCTGCTGAGTCCTCCCTCAGGGCTCTGGGACTCCTCCCTCTGCTGACCTGAGGCTCCACTCCTCAGACCATAGCCCTCTCCTCATTGACACCCCAAAGGCACAGCAAAGACACATCACATGGGCCACCGTGCCTGAAACCACCCAGGGCTGAGGTCCCCACTGATCTGGACTCCAAGGTCCCTTGAGTCCTTTCTCTTCTTCCTCCCCTTGACTCTTGGCTGGGTTGTTCTCCTCTACCACGCCCCGCCGCAGACCTGAGTCACCGTCCCTTGGATTCCTCAGGCCGAGTGAAGAGACATCTCGGTCTGAGACAGAGGTGGGGTGGGCACCCTGTCCTGGGATCCCTTCATGCCTCCCTCATTTCCCAGCAGGGCCCGGGCCTTCCCTCTGCTCCCCTGAAGCCGCATTCTTGGTACCAATATCCCCTTCCCTACGTCAGCCTCAGATGCCGACGTCAGAATTTGCGTTCCTGGTCGCCATGACCAGGGCTTCCCAGGGCCGACATCAGGGGCAGAGCCCTCCCTGAGCGTCCCGACATTGATGCTGGCAGAACCTAGGCGCGGCTCCCGCCGAACCAGCCGGGCCCTGGTCACACCAAGCTCTGACTCCCAGAGTCCCCTGCGGCTTAAGCGGCGGGAGAGAGTGGGGGCGGGGGTGGGGGGGGGGTGACAGCCCAGCCTGAGAAGTCTGCCCTCAGGTGGTCCAGAGCTGGCAGCAGAGGCAGCGCTGTATTATTTAGGGCTTTCTATCTGGGTTGGGGGCGTCCTCAGTCCTCCCTCAGCCTCTCACCTTGCCTCCTCACAGAGCCTGGGCCCGCTCTCTTCAGCCGATCTCAAGCCTGTCCCTCAGAACGAGAACCTCGCTTCTCTCTGATCCCCGAGGCGTAAGTTAGTGGCGTCACATCCGGTCCCCGGGGCTTCCCTGGGTTGACAGCAGGGGCGGAGTGGATTCTGCCGGAACTGGGGTGGGAGTTGGGGTGGGAGTGAGGGTGGGAGTCCGGGTGGGGTGGGGTACGGGTGAGGATGGGGTTGGGGCAGGGGTGGTGGTGAAGATGAGTGTGGGGAGGGGCGTGGAGGTGGGAACTGGGATGGGGATCTTGGGGCTGTGGGTCGTGGTGGGGGTGGGGGTGGGGTCTTTCAGTCATCCCTCAGTGTCTCGACCTTGATGCCTGGAAAAGCCTGGACCCCTGTTTTGTGCTGAGGATGTCTTCTCCCCTTAAACCAGGTCTCTTGACTCGGAGTCTTCCAAGGTGGCAGTGAGGGGAGGGTTGTGGTAGGGGTGACAACATTGCCAGGGTCTTCCAGGGCTGACAAGAGGGGCTCAGCTGGATTCTGTGGCCCCTTTGTGAGGGGTGGGTGGACCCTCGGTCCTCACTCAGGAGGGTCTTCCTCCTGGCTTTTGTCTCTTTGATGAAGTGATGGGTGGGAGATGCTCAGTTTCCGTCACCTCTGATCATTTGCCCAGCTGCATCCCTTGCAGAGCATGGGTGCGGTTCCCAGGCCAGATGGTCCCTGGGGAGCTGCAACACCCGTGATTGTAATGACCTATGGGAGAAGACGCACACCTTCCCAACGGGGCTCTTCCCAAGCCACAAGTAGACTTGGCAAACTTTTTGTCCTAAAGGGTATATTTTCTACAAGAAAGAGGCTGAGCATCGGGGTGTGGAGAGGTCCTGCTGTTTTGAGTTTAGCTGATATTTTATAGTCCAATGCAGTGATGTCTGGTTTTCTAACCCTCATTCCTAGTAAAAATATGTGTTTTAAATGTCTGCCAAGTGTATATTGAATACATATATAACATTTCATGAAAGAATACCTACCTTACGCTGTGTGGTTCACTGCTTATTCTATTTCTGGTCTATTCTTTATATTCTATTATAATAATTTTTCTCTTTTTTTCTGAGCAAGAAAATTTAATATAAAGAATTATTAACTTGTAGCAGAGGATCAACTAAGACCAGTCGTCACTGTGGTGGTTTTAGGTGGTTAGCAGCATAGACTCCGGAGTCATACTCCCTCAATCAACCCCGTCTTTCCTGCTGTCCTGATATCACTCCAGAGCTACTGGGCTACTGGCATCGTGGTATGAAGTGTTGCCTCAGATTGTGCAATAAAGCAGGGCCAGAAATTCAAATATTTCTTCCTACTCGTCCTCTTATTTGCCGTCTATGCAGGCTGCGGACCTCCGCAAATGCACTGTTGTCCTCCACTCCCCCTACTCCAAACACAAGGTCCAATTCGAAATTCTGCAGTCTGCTTAGGGTTCTATCATGTTTTGCTGTGTAGAATTTGTTGAGTGTTGATAATGTTTTTTCCCTTCTCCCCTCCAGGATTGATTCTGGAGTGTAAGTCAGCAATATGAACTTGATGCTCATTTTGGCCTAAAGGTAAGGCACTAATTCTGTAAATAATTTAAGGAAAATTCACGCCTTTAAAATATTCTGTTCTCCATTAATGGATATGGTATAATGCTTTATTTATTTGGGACTTCTTTCACCTGAATCTATCAGCAAACTTTTACAGTTGACTCCAGTAAGATCCTGCTCATTTTTGTTAGGATTATCTTTAAGGTAATTTTAGGAGTTTTTTGCTGTTTTTAATGGGATATTTTCTATTGTATGTTCTATTTACTGTTTTTTTATGACCAGTTTCTTGATTTTGCTATAATGAGCTTCCATAAAACATTTTTCTTCTGAAGTCTTTTATTCATTTAAATATTCCACATGCTTATTCCTTTGACTATTCGTTAAAGATAACATTGTCTCCAAACATCTCTCTTTTCAAAATTCATGCATCTTATTTAGTTTGATACCCATAGCTCTGGCTATGTGTTTCAGTGCAGTTTTGAACAGTAGAGAAGGTAGCATACATTTTTGTCTTGTTCCTGGCTTTTATGGAAATTCTTATAACATTTCACATTTAAGTGCGTTTGCTATAGATTTTAAGTAATGCAAGTTCTATTCTAATGTTAGTTTACTTTTTTTTTTTTTTTACCATTATCTTGTGTTAAACTTCTTTGAAATGCTTTTTATGTAGCCATTGACATAATCAAGTGTTTTTTCTCCTCTAATTTGTTTACAGGGAATTACAATTAAAAGCATTTTCTAATGTTAAATCATAATTTTTATTCCTTGGACAGAGCTTGTTTGTTCAGTTAATATACTTCTATGTTGAATATGCTATTAAATTATTTAGAATATTTGCTGCTATGTGAGAGAGCTTGGCTCAAGCATTCTTTTCACTGGTTGCTCTCATCTGGTATTTGAATCAAAGAGTGCTGGCCTGGCAAAATGAGTTGAATAATTACCCATCTTTTTGTATGCTTTGGAAGAGTTTACATAAGATGGTAATTTGTTTCTCCATGATCATTTGGTATAACTGGCCTCCCAAACTGCCTTATCCTGGAACATTTGGCAGTGGCTTGAGTTTTGAATACTGTACAGTTTCAGTTTGTATTGTTTGATTAAACCTGTAAGTGATCAATTTCACTTAGGATTTCAAATTTAATGGCATGATATTTACAATAAAAAGTTTTTATTACAGATATTCTCAACATATACGACAGTAAAGAGAATAGTATAATGAACCAATATACCAGACACTTAGCATCAACAATTTTCAATACATTGTCCAATCTGGTTCTAATTTTACTCTTACCTACTTCCATCTCTTGCTACCGTAATGATTTGAGGCATATCCCAGACATCATATCATTTTGTTTCTAATTATTTCATATGCTTTTATAAAAGATAAGAACTCTTTTGTGAAACATAAATTCAATGTAATTATATTTCCTAACAGTTTAAATGAGTAATCATCAAATGCCCAGATAATTTCCATATTTACCTGGCAGACATATACTTTAAAAATTAGTTTCTTTGAATCAGTGTTTAAATATGATCTAATCAGTGAAATTATTGGTTATATCGCTTAGTCTTTTTTAATCTATAATTTCTCTGACTATTAATCTTTTTTTCCTTGCAACTTAAAACAAGACAAAACAAAAAAATAAACAGGTCTTGTATTTTGTCTAGTTTCCCATAGTATGGATTTTGCTCAATGCAGCACTTGTGGTGTCCCTTAAGAAGTTTTTCAGATCTTACTTTCTGACACTACAAAATGCTCCAGGCTCATTTTATATGCAGTTCTCCCTCAGCATCCCTGGGGGATTGGTTTCAGGAACTTCCATGGTATCAGAACATCTCATGTACCCCATAAAATATACATTTACTTTGTACCCACAAAACTTTTTTTAAAAGGACCTCCCATGAACACCAGAATTTGCGGATGCTCAATCTTTTATACAAAATGGTATAACATTTGCATATAACTTGTGCACATCCTTTCATATACTTTAAGTTATCTCTAGATTACTTATAATACCTAATATGATGTAAATGCAATGTAAAAAAGTTGTTACTCTGTATTGTTTAGGGCATAAGGACAAGAAAATAAAAGTCTGTACATGTTATGAACAGATCCAGTTTTTTTTGCGTATTTTTGATCTTTGGATTTTTAAATCCATGGATGTGGAATCCACAGAGGGGCAACTGTATTTCATGCCCCAGTCTCAGAATCAGCCATTTCTCCAAGGAGCCCTAATTATTTTTACTAGATGATGGTTTTAGAAACTCACATCTTAGTTCTAGGTGGGCTTGTTGCTACTGGGGGAGTTGTTACTTATAGCCTTTCTCAGTTCACAGAGCAATGAAATATATATGTGTGTCTACACACACCTATAAATATTTGGATATGTAACCATCTGTAACTATATTAAACCGAACATGACTTTATGCTGACGTCTCCAACTCTAATCCATTACAACAAAGATTATTCTAGCCTCCTCCCCTTGCTTACCTGTGACGTCCCATTCTAACAATGAGAAACTCATCTCCTGTCATCTGTCAATCCATTCAGTTAACTGTTCAATTCCAATATACATGTATACTGTTTTCAGAATTATTAATCTGTACTCCTGTGGGAAACAACTTTACTAACTCTAGTACAGCACTTACATACAGTTCCTTTTGACCTTAGCTTTACAACACTCACTTCCAAGTTACTTAAGGCAGCAAATTCCCATCATGCCCTTCAATGAGATTGTTTCATACATTTTTAATACAGTTAGAATGCTTTGCTATATTCTACATTTCATCCTGGAATTTTTTGATCTCTTAAATTATTTCTTTAATTTTCATACATTAAGATTCACTCTTTGTGCTATAAAGTTTTATGATTTTTGACACATACTGTCATGTATGAACCATTACAGTATCATAAAAATAGTTTCACTGCCCTAATAAATCTCCTGTGCTTAACCTTTTTACACTTTTCTACGTATGTTTATTGTTTCTATAATTCTTTCCCTTTCCAAAATGTCATATAAATGGAGTCATACACTCTGTAGCCTTTTCCAACTGGCTACTTTCATGTGACAATATGCATTTAATATTTTTGATGTCTTTGCATGTCTTGTAGGTCATTCTTTTTTATTTATGAATAATATGTCATTGTAAGGCTGTGTCACAGTTTGTTTATCTATTCATCCATTAAAGGACATATTCCACTTTAGGGTGATTGCCAAATAAGCATCTATAAACATTTACGTATGGGGATTTGTGTGAACATATGTTCTCAAATCAGTTAGGAAAATAACCCAGGAGCGTGCTTGCTGGATCTAAGGTGAGACTATGTTTAGTGTTTTTAAGAAACTGACAAACTGTCTTCAAAAGTGGCTGTACCGCATGGCACATGTATACATATGTAACTAACCTGCACATTGTGCACATGTACCCTAAAACTTAAAGTATAATAATAATACATTTTTTTAAAAAAGTGGCTGTACTATTTTTCATTTCAACCAGCAATGAATGAGAGTTCCTTCTTTGCATTCTTTCTAGCAATTGGACTCGTATTTTTTAAATTTTATACATTCCAGTAGGTGTGTAGTAGTATTTATTGTTAGTTAATTTGAAACTACATAATAACAAATAATATTCAGTATCTTTTCCTATGCTCATTTTTTACCTGTCTTCTTTGGTGATGCATCTGCTTCAAACCTTTGCCCAGTTAAATGAGTTTTCTGGTTTTCAATTGTTGAGTTTTAAGTTTTTTGTATTTTGCATACAAGTGCCTTATTTGGTAGGTGTTTTGCAACTATTTTCTCTCTGTGGATTTTCTTTTCATTCTCTTTACAATGTTTTTCACAGAGTGCACACATTTTTAAAACGATACTTAACTTTACCAATTTGTCTTTCATGAATCTGAAAACTCATCACTAAATCCAAGGTTATATAGATTTTCTCCTGCTTTCTCCTAGAGATTTTATATAGTTTCTGCATTTTACGCTTAGGTCTACAAGCTATTTTGGATTAGTTTTTAGTGAAAGGTCTAAGGTTTTGTCTGGATTCATTTTATATTTTATTTTAAAAATTAACTTTCTTCATGAAATTGCATTTGCGCCTTTGTCAGAAATAAATTGACTCTATGGGTGTGGTTCTATTTCTGGACACTATTCTATTTATCTATGTTTTTATTCTTTCACCAATTCCACATTGTCTTGATTACTATAACTTTATAGTAAGTCTTGAAATTAAGTAATGTGAGTCCTCTGACTTTGTTGTTCTTCTATATTGTATTGCCTATGCTCAGCTACTCTTATCCATATAAAATATACAGTAGTTTGTTGATATCTAGAAAATACCTTGATGAGAATTTGATTGGAATCATATTGTATGTACAGAACATATTGGGAAAAACTGACATACTAACAATTTTCTGTCTCCAACCCATGAATGCAGAATGACTTTCCATTTATTTTTTCTTTGATTTCTTTTATCAGTGCTTTGTTGTTTCCATATACAGAGCCTATACGTATTTTGAAGATTTACACATAGGTATTTTGTTTGGGGGGAACTATTATAAATGATGTTTTTAATTTAAAATTTTAATTGTTTATTGACAGTATTTGACAAAGCAATTTATTTTTTATATTAATCTCGTTTCCTATGACCTTGTTATAATCACCTTTTGGTTTAAAAGTTGTCCTGTGTTTGTTATTGTCATGAATTCTATGACATTTTCTACACAGATAAACATTTCTTCAGTGGACAAAGAGAGGCATAGTTTTTTTCTTCCCCCGAAGCACATGTTTTATTTCAATTTCTTGTCTTAATGTACTAGCTAATACTTCCAATATGATGTTGAATAGAAGTTGTCAGAGGAGACATACTTGCTTTTTTCCTGGTTTCTCAAAATCCTTAAGTATAATACTACCTCTGGGCTTTTGTAGACGCACTTTATTAAGTAGAGGATGTCCCCTTTGATTCCACATTTGCTGAGATTATTTTTATCATGAATGTGTGTTGGATTTTATCATGAATGTGTGTTGGATTTTATCAAATGAATATTCTGCATACATTGATATAATAATATGGTAGTTTTTCTTTAGCCTGTTGACATCATGAGTTACATTAATTGATTTCTGAATGTTGGATCAGCCTTGCATACCTGTAATAAGTCTCACTTGGTCCTGATGTATAATTATTTTTATACATTGTTGGATTTGATTTGCTTATATTTTGTTGAAGATTTTTGGATCTATGTTCATAAGAGATATTGGTCTGTAATTTTGCTTTTTTGTATATCTTTAACTGGTTTTGGTGTTATGGAGTGGTCTTACAGAATGAGTTAGGAGTGTTCCGTCTGCTTCTATTTTCTGGAAGAGAGTGTAGATTGCTATTAAGCATTATTTAAACGTTTGGTAGAATTCAACAGTGAAGCCATCTGGGCCTAGTAATTTCTATTTGGGAAATATATTAATTATTGACTCAATTTATTTTGCAGATATGTTTATTCAGGTTATCTTTTTATCTTTGTGTGAGGTTTTGTAGTGTGTATCATTTAAGGTAATTTTATCTAATTTACCAAATTTGTAGACCTAGAGTTGTCATAATATTCTTTCATTATCCTGTTAATGTCCATGGCCTTGGTAAAGATTATCACTTTTTCATTTCCGATGTTTGTAATTTGAGTCTTCTATTTTTTTCTTGACTAGCCTCACTAGAAGATTGTTAATTTTGTTGATCTATCCAGATAACTAGATTTGGGTTTATTGATTTTCTCTGTTGTTTCTTCTAAGATTTTTATGATTTATCTTTTACATTTAGGCCTTTGTTCAATCTTATTTTGTCTATTTGTTTCTTCTCTCTTTTCTTCTATGTAGTCTTCACAATTTGGGCTTACTTGCATCCATCCTTATTTGGAAGTCTTTCCAGGTATTTGAAAGGAACTTGGGTGTTATAATCTAACTTTTTGGTCACCACAGCTGTATCTGCATTATGGGATACCCCAAGCCTAGTAATACTGTGGCTCCTGCATACTCTTAGACGTACTGACTTGGTCGTCTTGGATAAGATCTGGAAGAACTCTCTGGATTACCAGGCAGAAACTTTTGTTCTCTTCCCTTACTTTCTCCCAAGCAAAAGAAGTTTCTCTCTCTCTCTCTCTCTCTCTCTCTCTCTCTCTCCGTCTCTCTCTCTCCCTCTCCTTCTCTAAGCTGTTTCTGTCCCATGAGGGAACCTCCACTTCTCAATTGCATGTCCTGGAACTTAGGCTCTGCAATAGGTAGCCTAGGATGGGATCAGAAATGTTGATGTTGTAAAAGAAAGTTAAAATGGAGACCAGGCCTGAATAATTCCTGAACAGACAAAAGCAGTTAGGCCTCATAAGTGACAAAAGCCTTGCTATTTCTTGTAAATGCCTATAGTGAAGAGAAACATAACTTAAGATCAACCAATCAGAAGTAGCAAACAAACTTATAATTATATAATTAAGAACTTTCCAGTGGGATAAGCCAGGTAAGACAACTGTATATTGGCTACTAATCAAAGGTTTTCTTAGCTTTCCTTCTGTGTCCATCCTTTAAAAGCCTCCCCATTGTGATCCTTCAGTGGAGCTCCTGAACTGCTTCTGGTTTAGAGCTACACACTTCATGAACTATTTTTTGCTCAAATAAACTCATTAACATTTTATCGTGCCTCAGTTTACATTTTTAACAAAGTTCAGCCCCTCCCAGGAAGATACCATACTCTTGAACTTGAACCTGGAAGAGAGGCTGCCCTACGTTCTTGGCTACACCCATCTGGAATTTAGTTTCCTTCACACGGTGATAAGGAAGAGCAAAGGGAGTGGGTCATGGTTCAGATGCCACAGACTCTCACTGTTGTTACCAAATGTCAGATTTTCTTGAATATGTTTTTCTTCATTTGCTATATGCCCTTAGGTCATTTCCAGATATTTTAAATTGCTTTAAAAATAATTGTTACCAGTTTCACTGGGGAGTGAATCCATGGAGCTCCTCATGTTGTCAATGCAAGAAGTGGAACTCCCTGGGTGTAACTTTTGTCACTTAGTTTTAATTTTTATATTTACCTTAGGTTCTATATTTTTATTTTTATAATTATTTTTATAATTTATTTTTCTGTTTTTGCTATGGTCTGAGTGTGTCCCCCAAACTTCATGTTGAAACTTAATCACCAAAGTGATAGGCATTAAGAAGTGATTAAGTCATGAGGGCAGAGTTTTCATGGATGGGATTAGGCTCTTATTGAAGGACTTGAGAGAGTGGCCCTTATTGTGC
Organism: Homo sapiens; assembly: GCF_000001405.40. Lineage (NCBI taxonomy): Eukaryota > Metazoa > Chordata > Mammalia > Primates > Hominidae > Homo > Homo sapiens. The sequence goes on from NC_000023.11 coordinate 152,147,325, forward strand.
TCTTCTGCTCTTCTGCTGTGTGAAGACACAGTGTTCATTTCCTTTTCGTGCCCTCTGTACCTTCCTCCATGTCAGGATTCAGTAAGAAGGCCCTCACCAGACACACAACCAGCTGACATTTTTGATCCTGGATTTCCCAGCCTCAAGAACTGTAAGAAATACATTTCTAGTCTTTATAAATTGCCTAGTCTGTAGTATTTTGTTATAGCAGCACAAACAAAGACAAATTTATTCTTCCCTCATGTTTGCTAGATATAGAGCATTGTATTTTTCCCTCCATCATAACCTATTATTTTGAAAGTTCTATTTATTTCCATTCAGCAAATTGTTGACTTAAAACTTCTAACAAATATATTTAAACCTATAATCTCCCATCAACGAAGAATATTAATCCAAGTTTAGCATATTCCTCAAACAAGATTCTTAGAAAGCTTTTGTTTATTTTCTACTCTTCCCATATTTTTGGGGTTTCATTGATCTCAACTGAATATTTCAAATCATTATTTCAATAATATCTCATTTCTGTTTTATAAACCATTACATAAAAATTTTGTTAAATTTTATAGCCTTATTATAAAAACTATTTATTGTAAACTATAATATTTATTTCTTGCTCTCCACTATTTCTTATATTTGGCTTGGATTTTATATTCTCCTTTTCCCAGAATATGTCTTAGAATAATTCTTTCTGTGATACTGCACAGATTTTCTATTTCCTGAGTCCCTGTATCCCTGAGAAGGCTTTTATTATGCCTTCATACTTTATTGATACTTTTTCTGATTAGGGAACTCTAGTTTAAAAATCTTTTTCCCTCAGCAGTTTATAGATGTCACTCCACTCTTTCTAACAGCTTGCATTGTGCCTGAGAAGTCTGATAACACTGAGATTCACATTTTTAATGGTAATCTCTTCTTTCTTTGTAGAAAACTGTAGTATTTTACCTTTATCCATGAAGTTTGAAAACTGATCTAAAATATGTCCAGGTTTATCCTGGTAAATCATTATTGCTATTGTCCAAATGTTTTTGGTTTTCCTTCTGGGCGTATGGTAGACTGTACGCCCATCTCCTTGAAGTTACATGTGGCCATGTGACATGTATTGGCTAGGAAGATTTGATAAGAGATAACATTATTTTCATGAAGTAACTTTAAGAGGAATACACAATTTGCCACATTCTCTTCCATCTGCAATAATGATTGTGCAAACCCACATTGGTCTAAACCTCTTTAAGTCTGGTCCCTTGGTAATTACAATAAGCAGAGCTCCCCCGCTGCCTTATCATTGAACAGGCAGTATAAAAAATAAATAAAATATTTTGTTGTTTCAAGCCACTGATATTTTTGGATTGTTTAATATTACAATGTAATGTAACCTATCCAGGCTGAAACAGGAATCAGTACCTGTAGGTGGGGTATTTCCATAACAAAAATAATAACAATAACAGTAACATTAATAATAATATATATGTGCATTTGCTGAGGTACCAGATGATGGGTATTAAGCTGTTATCAGAGGCTGGAAGAATGGTGATCCAGGCTTCGTAGTGCTTAAATATTTGCTGAACCTGTTGACTGCATTAATTTGTAAGGCAGATTATCTGCCTAACCAATGTGTAGCTCTAGAGGAAGAGACTAGAATAAAGAATGTTGGTACTGTATGTTAGTTACTGTTGAGTGAATATGACAAGGTATTACGAGAAAGAGCAGAGATCGGAAAAGAATTGGCTAGTTGGCAAACAGTGATGAAATTGAACATAGAGTCCAGAAATCTGAGAACTTGCAGGGTTGGAAGAGGTAATTGCTTCTCAGTCCCAGTGAGTAAAAGACAAAACATAGAACATAGGAGGGTTTTGGTGACAGTTTATTAAAATTCAGCCTCCAAGCAAGGATTAGATCAAGGCTGTGGCCATCTGATCATTGTAAAAATCTTTGAATGGACTGTGTTGTCTCAAAGGAAAGACCAAATTAGGGCCATTGCTGCAGTAATTTTTTTTTTTTGACAGAGTCTCGCTCTGTTGCCCAGGCTGGAGTGCAACGGCACAATCTCAGCTCACTGCAACCTCCACCTCCCAGGTTCAAGCAATTCCCCTGCCTCAGCCTCCCGAGTAGCTGGGAATATAGGTGCATGCCACTACACCAGGCTAATTTTTTTTTTTTTTTTTTTGTATTTTTAGTAGAGATGGGGTTTCACCATGTTGGCCAGTCTGGTCTCGAACTCCTTACCTCAGGCAATCCGCCCACCTCAGCCTCCCAAAGTGCTGGGATTACAGACGTGAACCACTGCGCCCGGCCACTAAATCTGTTTTATTGGACAAAAAGGTTTAGGAGAAATTAACTTAGGGTATAGCTCTCCCATAGAAGCCTGATATCCACAGTTAAATTGTGAGAGACATGACAATGAGAAAGCAAATAAATACAGTGAATATGCAAATTGTGTTTCAAAATGAATTGTGGGTGTAGTTATTGGCATTTGGAGCTGAGTCAAACTAAATAGATAACGACCTTGGGCTAAATTAACTGTGACTGTGTGACACTTAAACTGACTCTTGGGCTCCAAATCTACTATAAACAGGAAACAGGTTGTGAGTTCTTCAGCCCCCAGTGAGTATATATTTCCCAGTGCTCAATCCAGATGTGGTCAAGGAGGGTGACAGAAAAGAAGAAAACCCTTTGAGACAGAGACAACGTCCATAGAGAAAAAGTGACTGGAGATTACTTTCCAGGAACCAGGATTAGGGCTTAATCAAGGAACGTTTCCAGCCACTAGGCAGGGGACTCTTTCTGTGTCAGAATTGCTATTAACCAGTGGCTGATTTGATTCCCATTCTTCTCTCTATAAGAGATTGTTTATTGTGATTATCCTTTCCCTATTTCACCACTGAATGTTACATATGAGGGGGCAAACAACTTTGTGTTTTGTTCATAACTCTTGACAAAGAGGGGACATCTTCAGAAAAGATAAAGAAATTTTCAAACATGACTCAGAGATTCTAGGTTTTGAGAGGGAAAGAGTGATGGAATGGGACTTTTTGATTACTCTCATGGGAGTAGGGAGATAAATGGGTTCTGCATGATGAAAGAGAACAAACAAAATATTCAATGACAAGAAAGGAAGACCGGGGTAGCAATCAGTGCTATCTACCAAATATTCCAGTTATCGTATCAAGTACATGGTATATTGCTCTTCCCCACCTCTTGAAGTTAGATGTGGCCATGTGATTTTTGCCAAAGAAATGTGAGCCGAAGTTATATATTTCACCCAAAGATGAAAGTTTTAAAAGTCAATGTACAATTTCCTACATTCTTTTACCCTGCCATGTGATCATGGAAGCTGGTGTTGTGATGAGTTTTCTCCTTAGAATTACCTTGGGAGGTTTTACAAATGCTGATGTGCAGACCATACCAGAGAACAATTAAGTGAGAATATCTGCACGTGTTACCCAAGCACTTGAATTTCTTTCTTTTTATTTACACTTTTTGGTAGGGTAAAATTTACACACAATATAGCATAAAAATTGTAAGTATACAGTTCAATCTTTGCATATATACATATGCATACATACACAATGCACCATGACTAAGAAAAAGATATAGATCAAGGGTCAGAAAACTTTTTCTGCAAAGAACCAAATATTTTTGGCTTTGTGGTCCAGCCAGTCTCTGTTGAAACTACTCAACTCTATTGTAGTGCAAAAGCAGCCATGGGAAATATGTAAACGAGTAAGGATGTCCATATTCCAATAGAACTTTACAAAAACAGGTGGTGTGTCCCATTTGGCCAGTGAGCTGTAGTTCGCTGATCCCTGATATAGACCATTTCTAGCACCCAGGAAAACTCCCTCTTGCCCTTTCCCAGTTAATACCATTCCAAAGGTAACAACTACTTAATGTCAGTATTTTAAAGCTATCTGAGTGATTACGTGCGCAGACAAAAAGTGCAGAATCACTGGTCTAGACTGATCAATATTAATAGCTGTGTGTATTACCTCAGCATAAGTAAAATTCCCTATTTCCTACATTGACTCAAGATTCTGCGTACAAAATGCTGGCTATGTTCCTGTTGGGAGCAAGCATGCTTTGTACTCCTCAAGGCAGTTTGTCCTCGAGGCAGTTTGAAGATACTTGCAGTGCTGTCTCACTTTCCCCACTCTAGTCCTAATATCCCTTCTGGTAGTCTCCCACAGCAGACGCACAGCTTTAACTGAAAAAATGTGACATATTCAGCTGCCTTGAGAGCAGACTGACACAAAAAAGCTGCTCCTGAACACTTTACTCTGATGATTCTATGGCATTTTTCCACTCTCAGACATAGCTGCTTCTAATCTTTAGGTTTTCCTGTGTTCCGAAGTCTTTTTGTCACCTATATGGAGCTTTAGTTTATTCAGTCCTGTTAAGATCCACCATTAAGTTTATCACATAGAAACTTACTTTCCAAAATTTGCTCCATGTTGTAGATATTTATGGCACACTTTAAGGATTTCTTTTTTTTTTTTTTTTTTTTTTTGAGACGGAGTCTCGCTCTGTCGCCCAGGCTGGAGTGCAGTGGCGGGATCTCGGCTCACTGCAAGCTCCACCTCCCGGGTTCACGCCATTCTCCTGCCTCAGCCTCCCAAGTAGCTGGGACTACAGGCGCCCGCCACTACGCCCGGCTAATTTTTTGTATTTTTAGTAGAGACGGGGTTTCACCGTTTTAGCCGGGATGGTCTCGATCTCCTGACCTCGTGATCCGCCCGCCTCGGCCTCCCAAAGTGCTGGGATTACAGGCGTGAGCCACCGCGCCCGGCCCCACTTTAAGGATTTCTAATGCTGCTATGAGATTATTCATATTTTTATGATCCTTTCACAATACTTCAGTGGGTTTATGGGAAGGAAGAGAGCTATTAAACATCTTGAAAGTGAAGTCCGCTAAGACAGTAGTTGGTGGATGTGTAAAGTGGGAGAGATTTTGACCATTCTTTATCCTATTTAGATCCACTTTCGATGACTGTAGGGTTCTTCAAGAAGTTTAAGGGGTATAGTTTTTGTCATACGGTTTAAGTCTGGATGATGGAAACACAGTTAGGGGAGCCAAGTTGAAGGGTCAGGAATGAGTCAGAGTCTGGTGGATGGTATTTCACATTCTGTCTCCCCGTCACCCTCTTCCTTTACGAAGGAGTAGAGATAAGGTTGTTATATATCATTTGCTATGTATTTGTCTTCAAATAAAATGAAAAATTAACTTAAGCTAGCTCAAACAGTAAGGAAACATTGAATCACATAACAGAGACCTGAGATAGGGTGGGCTTTAGGGCTGGTTGATCCAGTGGTTTACTGATGTCATCAGGGACTCAAGTTCTTTCCATTTTGTTGTCCATACATTTCATACTGTGGCTGGTTTCTCTTGGATTATAAGACAGTTTACACTACTGAATGGAGTTACTGGTTTTCTCATTTGCATTCTGGAGAAGAGGATCACTGTTGGAAATTCTGTCAAAAGAATGAGTGAGAATTCTCCCAGAATCCCTTAGCCACATTTTCATTTCTATTTCTGAACTAAATATGCGACAAAGGGGGATGGATTACCTCAGATTAATCAAATCTGTCCAAGGTGCAAAAAGGATTAATTTTGCCCAACATATATATGATCGATGTGGAAGGAGTGGAATCGTAAACTTAGGGTTCTGTTAGAAAGGAGGAAGGGAGAAATGGATGCTGGGCATTATCAATTGAGAAATGCCACCTCTCCAGGAGGTGGCAGTTGGAAAGTTATTAAAAAAAAAAAAGGGCAATGTGGTTGAGCGGTGAAGAGCCTGGAAGAAGGGCAGGTGCACTTGTGCATGTTGCTTCAACTTCCTGTGCCTTTGTTTCCTCATGTGAAAAATGGAGATAAAATAATACCTATCTGACAGAGTTGTGTGAGGGTTTGCTCATTCACAAATATTTCTGAGAGTTTACTATGTGTTGGGCACTCTTCTGAAAGGAACTGCTGTGGTGAAAATGAAGATTAAGTCCTTGTCCTGAGGAAGCTTGCTTTTTAGTATGTGCATGGGTGTGGGAGTGTATGCAGTAGAAGAGGAAGGGCACTCCCAGGCCTTCCTGTATCACCTGTATTGTCAGGTCCTCAAACCATGTTAGAAGGGTTTAATGTTGAGGCTGAGAATCATGGTTAGCAGATAGAGCAGAGAAACTGGACGTTTCTCCTCAGGCACACGGACCAGTGCCAGTAACACCACCTGGGAGCTTGTGGAAATGCAATGTCTCTGGCTGGACCCAGACCCTCTGAGTTAGAATCTACATTTTAACAAGATCCCTCAGGGGATTCACAGGCACTTCACAATGAGAGATGCGCTGACTTATGACATTTGCTTTCAGTCTATGTGGAGGCAATGACAGTTTGAGTGGGAAGTGAGGTTTTCACAATGATGACTCAGTTTTGGTTCTGCCCAATCTTCATGCCCACCTGTAATGTTGTAGTTATTATCTTTGCATTCTACAATTACCAAAGTGGAAAAAATTATCTGGCCTAATATTATCATTTCCACCCACTAATGCAATTATTTGTTTGTTTTGTGTTTTTAATCCATAGCAATAACATTTACTATTGACATTTCTGTTGCAATCATTTATGTCTATAATCCTTACCAAAAGTTACCTTGGAATAAGAAGAAGTCAGTAAAAAGAAGGCTGTTGTTCCGTGAAATACTGTCTTTATGCCTCAGATTTGGAGTGCTCAGAGCCTCTGCAGCAAAGATTTGGCATGTGTCCTAGGCCTGCTCAGAGCAGCAAATCCCACCCTCTTGGAGAATGAGACTCATAGAGGGACAGCTCCCTCCTCAGAGGCTTCTCTAATGGGACTCCAAAGAGCAAACACTCAGCCCCATGAGGACTGGCCAGGCCAAGTGGTGTGTGGGAACAGGGAGCAGCGGTTTCCAAGAGGATACAGTAGGTGTCTCTATCTCTTCCTATAGTGCAGGCTCCAAAGCTTATCAGTGCTCCATGGCCTGCATTGAGCAAGGTCCTGGAATAGGGTTCAGGGCAGTGATAAATTCCAATGCTAATGTGGGATGAACCCCTGGGGGCTTCACCTCCTTCTTTTAGGATGTCTGTGGAAATTGAGAAAGACCCTCTCTCCATGGTATTGAGCCTACACATGGTTGTGAAACAAGAATTGCTTTGACTGAATCTCACTTTTTTCTAGGTGGACTCACAGAGTCCCTTACATTCATTATTAGTTCATTCGTTCATCCACTCATTATCTTACTCTGTATCAATCCCAGGGCTGAGAACTTACTTTCCCCATTGTCCTCATTTATCTAACAAGCCATTCTCCTATTGACCTCATTTTCTTAGTCTGATGAACACTGGCTGCTAGAGAAAATCTTACCAATAAGCAGATTGACTTCAGTGAATATTCATAGTCTGCAAGTTCAACTGGCTCTTTGAATGCCTGGTCTTTCCTTTGACTACCTTAAACCTTCTCTACTCTCTTCAAACCACTTTTCTTTCACTCTCAGCATATATTTTCACTCTCCTATTTCCAAATAAAATAGAATTCATCAGACCGTTTCCCCTGTTTTTTCCCTCCAGCCCATCTAAAATTTACCTGCAACTTAAAAGTGATCTATCTGGGATTACTACGGATTTCTTTGTTGCTAAGTTTAATTATAATTGATATCCTGATTACTTCTAAATACTTATCTCTGATTCAGATCTTTCTCCTAGCCTCGGTTCCATAATATCCAACTTCCTCCTGAACATCTCTAATTGGATGTCCCCAAACTAAACTCAAGAGATCCTGAACTCTCAACACCAAACCGTAATTAACAAATAACACAGCCATCCATTCAGACATCCAAGCTAGAAACCTGATTATCAAGCTATATCCTTTCCTCTTCTATATTCCCATATTTAGTTACCAAATTTTGTACATTGTATTTTTTAAGTGTTCTTTAAAAAGGGTGTTAGAAAGGCTGGACTTTGCATTTTCAGGTGTCTAGAACACTAGCTACTGCCTGAACACATTTCCTAGCCTCCTACATGGCCTCCCTGCAAGCAGTCTTACTCCTTGTCATTCTGTTCTACCAGCAGCAAAGAGATCATTTTAAATCTCATCTGGTCATAACATTCTCCTACGTAATGTTTCTCAGTGGGTCCTCATTGATCTTCAGATAAAGTTCAAACTCCTGACCCTGGCCTACACAGCTCTGCATGACTGCCTTGTACTTAGCTCTGCACCCACATCTCTATACCCACATCTCTATCATGTGCTTCTGCACTATGTTCTCTGCCCTCTCCCAGTACTATCCTTTTGAGCTACACTTGATTCCTAGCAGTTCCTCAACAGCTACTTGGACTTTGAGCCTCTGAACCATTGCAAATGTTGTTTTCTATACATGAAATACTATTTCCCTCTGTTAATCTCAAAGAGTGGGAGCAAAGGGGCACAAAGGCAAAGAACCACAGTTTGAGAACTTCAGCTCAAGTTTTATCTTGAGCTTCCAGCTTTTCAAATAGGAGGAAAAGGATATATCTAGATAATTTTGAAAGGAGAGAGAGAAGAAAGTGTCATCCTCCTTGATCTTTCTCTTCACTGGTTCCAGTATCCCAAGTCTCCTTTTCCATTTCCATTTCTCCCATCCCCTCAGATGATTGACAGCTAAATGAAGTCCACTTGAAAGATAGCTTCAGTGGGCAGCCTGAGAAGGAGCACCAAACTCCTGACATACAAGTGACTGGGGCATCACTATAAGATGAAGATGTTTTCACACAGCTCCTGGACAAGGTTGCATCACTCTTTTTTCTTGGTTTCAAATTACATCCTTTGACCCTTGTTCTGAGTGCACTCTTCCCAGCTTGAACCCCCAGGATAAAAGTGAAACTTCTGCTAGCCGTGAAGCATTAGAAGCATTAGATCCACAGAGGCAAGGGACAGGGAAATCACAGTGAGTGGATGGGGGCATTGAAAGGCTTTTTTCTTGCTGTCTTTGTTCTCTGCTTGATGACGAAGAATCATTAATGCAATAGCCTTGGTCTGATTTGTGGATTCATACACCATATAAAAGACAATTTAAAAATTCATTCTCCTCAAAAATTGTGTTTGTGTGTTTACATCAGAGGAAAGTTGATACAAAAATGTTGTTCATATGTGAATAACTATAATACATTGAGTGGATGTCATAAAATGAAGCAGTCACTGGCGTCAGTTTAAAGTGTTCCTGGGAACCAAGGCAACTAACGTACCAGTTCTATCTTCCCTAGGAATCTCTTTCTCTGATGTGGAAATGTGTGCTTTTCTTTCCCAATTGATAGAATGTGACTGTTGGCAAACTCAGGGTCCTTCGTGTACCAAAATTTCACAGAGGCTTTGCTGAGACACTACTCCTCAGGCCTATGTCTTCTTGGTCCCTGGGTCTGTTGTAAAGTGGGAATCTTAGGCCCTAAGTGATTCCATAAGAAGTGGGCATCCTACCCAGAATCCAGAGTTCAGGGGCTGTCCCCCAAACCCACTGACACGACCTTAAATGCAGCTGCCCCTGCTCTTACAACCCCATAGCTGCTGGGATTTCCCTCCCTGACTGCTCACTGAAGACATCTTTCGAGTGAGTTTTATTTAGTTGTTAATCCCTCAAGGAGGTGGGTGGGAGAATGAAAAGGTCAATAATGAAGAGGCTTGGAAGGCTGGCCTCTTCATTAGTAACAGAGAAAGAGGTCAAAAAGGATGATCCTTTCATCACTCCCTCCCTTCCCTACTCTCAGGTAAATCTGTAACTTACGCTGTGGCTTAGAGTCTCTGTGAATCTCTTCCCCTCTCCTTCCAGAGTCAAAAAGACATTGACAATTCTGTGCCTGGAACTTGCAATAACCTGATATGTACAGAAATCAGCAGTTGCCCCCTCCCCCTACCCAGAAGGAGCTCATGGTCCTGTGGCAGATAGCTAGCTAACACACTGTTATCAGCACTGTGACAGTTATAGCATGATGGGCCTGGGAGCAAGGACAGGGACAGAGCACACTCAGGGATCAAACACAGCCTCAAGTATTCAGACCCTCAATCCCCTGACTTTCTCCTAGTGAGGCATTGCCTGTTAGGCGTCATTGTTCTGCAGTCCAGAGCTGCCTCTGTGGCTTTGACCAATATTCTAAATGCTCTGGGCCTTGTCCTTTTGCCCTAATGCTTATCAAGCTCTCAACTTGTGTGGTTTCTCCCTGTCCACATATGGTCTTCCCAGGCAATTCAGTTCTTCCTGGTTCTGTCTACAGGGTGCTCTTAGTTCACCCATGAGGACAACGACATTGCTGGCAAAAATCACTAAAAATCACTGAGCTAGAACGAGGTTTTTCTAAAGATGCAAATCTAAGGATTGGACACCTGTGGTTCAAGTGCCCCGTTTTTGTTGCATGTTATTGAAAACTGCCCTCTGTGCCAGTGCTGGTCTGTTTTGTTCTCCACTATGTTCCTAGAACCTTGCATAGGGCTCTATGAGCAGTAGACTTTTGTAGGATGAACATCCTGCCACTCCAAGCCAGTTTCAAACAGAATTTGAAGAGAAACCTTGTACTATAGGACTTTTAAATGTTTACCCAAATTAATAAACCAGCACTGAAACTTACATTTGATTGATGAGCCTTAGTTATTTTCCAGTGGTTAAAATCTTGGAAAGGAATAAAGATGAGGGAAAGTGTATTGGTTTCCTATGAATACTATAACAAATTACTACAAATGTAGTTACTTAAAAAAACCACAAATTTATTATCTTACAGTTCTGGAAGTCAGAAGTCCAAAATGAGTGCCACCGGGCTGTGATCCTTTTGCAGGCCCTATGGGATAATCCATTTCCTTGCCCTTTGCAGTTTTCAATGTCTACCTGCATCCTTTGGCTCCTGGCCCCTTTCCCCCATCTTAAAAGCCAACAGTGTTGAGCTAAGTCCTTCTCAGGCTGTGATGTCTATGGTTTTAATTTTTGCCTTCCTCTTTCACTCATAAGGATCCTTGTGATTATCCTGGCTCACGTATGATTACACTGGCTCATGTGTGATTACACTGGCTCATGTGTGATTACACGGGCTCACATGAATAATCCCAAGTAACCTCCCTATTTTAAGGTCAACTGATTAGCAACCTTAATTCCTCTGCCATGTAAAATAATATATTCACAGATTCTGATGATTGTGATATAAACATATTTGGGGGTACCATTATTCTGCCTACCACAAGAAGGATTCTGGGCACCAAACTCTCAACAAATTTCTTATTGATAGTCATTCTTGTGTCTTGCTCTCTGAGCCCAGTACCCTATCTCACCTCCACTTCACTGGTCTCTGCTTCCCTCCCTCCCTCCCTCCCTTCTTCTGTCTTTCTTTCTCTCAATCCTTTCTTATTCTCTCACTCCCTTCTCCTCCTCCTCTTCTCTTTTTCTATTAGTTTCTTCTCCTCAGCCTATAAACTTTCTAATGTTTCTCCCACATAAAAATAAACTAACTTATCACAACCTTTCTTAACCCCACATTCCCTCCAGCTACAACTGTGTATTTATTGTTTTCCTTTCTGCAGAATGTCCTAAAGGAGTCCTTTCTGTTCACTACCTTTCTTCTCTTCTCCCTCACTTATCAACCCATTTGACTCCTGCCTCTATTACCCCACAGAGAGCACTCTCATGAACTTCACCAAAGGCTCTTGTCCATAAATCTAAAGAAGATATGTTCAGTCCTTGTCCTTTCTAAAATCAGCAGCAGCAGCTGATATCACTGAACATGCCCACTCCTCTATCCTTCCAGAAATCCTATCTTTCCTCCCTCAGCCTCCGTTCATAACACCACCTCCTCCTGGTCTTCCTTGTGCTTGTCTGGCTGCTCATTGTCAGTCTCCCTTGCTGGCTGCTTGTCCCAGGCCCACCTCTTAAGTGCATCTGCTCCTCTTCAGAATATCTGGGCCACATTCTCTTCTCATTCTGCACTCCTTCCCATGACTGGAGGTGTTGGGCAGGGGCAGGAGACATAAGGAGGTCCTAAGGTTTCAATTACAACCTTTACTACACTGACAAAGTCTTGATCCCATATTGTTTTCTTGAGTTCAGGCCTCCAGACCCTGAGATCCAGACACTGACCTACAGATCATGACATACAATTGCCTCCAGCACACCTCCACCAATCATGACCCATAGACACCTCCATCTTCATATGTCTGGTGCTGAGTTCGTCATCTTCCACTCAAATTTGCTTCTCCTCCAGTGTTTCTTACCCATGTCCAGAAACATTACCCACCTTCCCCAGTCACTCAAGTCAGATGCCTTCTTTGCTGTCATCTTTGATGCCTCCTCTTCTTCAACACCAGTATCTAATTAGTCTTTATGTGTCAATGATTTCAGCTTCTAAATCTCTCTCAGGTCATGCCCTCTGCTTCACTCCCAGTTCCACTGTATAATTCAGGGTTCATCATGTCATAAGCAGATGATTACACTGGACTTGTGTGCCCATGCTTCCCTTCTTATTCCATTCTGTCATTGAAGCCAGAGCATCTCCTTGTCTAACACAGAACTTGGGCCCAGTCATGACCTCACCATGCCACCATTATCATTACTCCTCCACACTCTTGCTTAACATCTTTTAGTGTCTGTCCGTTGCTTTGAAGGTAAGGTCTAAAGGCATTCCCCAACCCTTACAGAAGCCTTTGCACATGACCTGTCTCTGCCTTCCTTCCCAGCTTCATCTAATAGCCTCCTTCCCTTTTCTGTCTCCCCTCTAACCATAATTAACTACTCAGTATCTGTAACCTTACTCTGTGTACACAATATTCCTTTGGCTAGATTACTTCTGCTGTTCTCTCTCTCTATCTCTGACTTTCCTCCTTGTCCTCACCCCACTCTTGATTAGGACAAGCCACCTATTCAGTCCAAGTCACAGGTTAGATGCTAGTTTTTCCAGAAAGCTCTTCCCTGAGTGTCTCAGGCTAGTCAAGGGCCCCATCCATGCTCCCCCCGACTCCGACATTCAACCTTTTCATGATTCTTTTCCTGTCTCTCTGACACTAGATTATACCCTCCTTAGAGCACACTCCATGCTTGCCTTCGCTGCAGAACCCCCATCACTTAGCACAGGACTGACACCCATGCCAAGGAGGTTTTCAATAAATATCTGCAAGTGAATGAGTCCCCTTCCATTTATTACATGAAGCACAACAGAAGCAGGCTGGCATCTGGCAAACAACCATATCCAATTCAAAGAGTTGTTGTCAGTGCTTAACACAGCAACTGGCACCCAGGAAGCACTCAGTGGATGACAGTTCTCAGTGTTAGTATTGTTGTTGTCACTATCCCTTCATTTACTTAATTTGGCCCTAAGTTCCTGTGTAACTCTTCCAACTTACAAGTTGTTCTGGGTTAGGATTTTGAGAAACTCGTCTCCATCATATTCATTTCTTCACTCAACGATCATTTCCTGAGCCTTCTACTATGTACTAAGCACTGTGCTGGTATCCAAATGTGGAGAAATAAAGAGAAAGGTGGAAAGAAGGAAACTCAAAAGCCAAATATATGTCAGGAGTTTAATACATAATATCTGCTCTGTCCACCAGTATGCCTCCTTTCTCAAGAGCAGAAATTTTCCCAGGAAGATATTTTATTTCCAGAGAACAATCAAGATGATTTTTTAAATTTTCAAAATAAAGAAAATCATAAATTATCAACCCATATTCGGAAAGCATATAATTGTGTTGAGAATTGTTATTCTACCTTACACCTTCCTCTGATCTGATTGCAGCTCAAAGGATAAATATGAGCACGGCAGTCAGTATTTATCCTGTCAGGTACTGGGACTTTGGAACTTCGGGAGCATTGGATTTCCCTCCCCTCAATATGTACTTTGCTGCTATTTGCATCCAAAATGCACATCACAACATTTCCTTCATGTAAACAATAAAAACCATTTCAGAATACCTTGTATACAGACATAATTGACTTCATTTCTGATAAATTTGGCTAGAATCCTGGAATATCAAGTCCAGAAGGGCCCTTAAAGGTCACATAGCTCAAGATCCTCATTACACAGGTGACTATTTGAGACCTAGAGATGTGGAGGGCCTATTTCAATTCAGGAACCGTGTTGGGATTAGATGTATCTCCTACATACGTAATATGGTTTGGTTGTGTCTCCACCCCAATCTCATCTTGAATTGTAGCTCCCATAATTCCCATGTGTTGTGGGAGGGACCCAGTGGGAGATAATTGAATCATACTGTTCTCATGGTAGTGAATGCTTCTCATGAGATCTGATGGTTTTATAAGGGGTTTCGCCTTTCGCTTGGCTCTCATTCTTCCTTGCCTGCCATGTAAGATGTGCCTTTTGCCTTCCACCATGACTGTGAGGCCTCCCCAGCCATATGGAACTGTGAGTCCATTAAGCCTTCTTTTCTTTATGAATTATCCAGACTCAGGTATGTCTTTATCAGCAGTGTGAAAACAGACTAATACAATATAAGTGGCAATTAAAGATTGTAACCATCTTTCATGTGCAATAGCTCATTTAATCTTTGTAGTCATCCCTGGGAAAGTTTTATTATTATGCTGTGTTACATAGAGGTTAAATGACTTGCCCAAGTTCACACAGCTGGGACAGTGGTATATCCCAGATTAGAACTCAGTATTCCTGCCTCCCTGTGCCTGTATCTTTTTACCATTCACACTAGTTCCAACCACCACAAGCTTTTTCCCATGATCATGTTGGTATCTTATTTTTCTCATGGATTTTGACAGAGACCATTCCTGATCCAAGCCTCTTACATGGCCACATATTAGTACTTACAAGAGGAAAGGGCCACCTGCCCAAGATCCAGGCTCTGCTGCATCTATCATCATGGCTTCTTGAAAGGGATTGCAGTGTGACCATGCCCTAAAACCAAAGTGCCTAGAACTGATTTACCAGCTGAGGTAACCATAGACCAGAAGACCAACCTTGGGCAACATATCCCATTTACCTTGACATGGAGGAGGTCTGCTGGTGCCATTGAAGCCTGGAAAATTTGGCTCATCATAGCACACCAGCTCAGCATGGATATTGTTTGAAGAAAGCAGACAGCTTCAGGGTCAGTAGCAGCTTCTTCTGACTACAGCATGGAGGGAATGTGGTGACTTAAGAAGACCTTGGATTTCACTAGTACTAGTTCTACTGGGAGTTCACTGGCTCTCCACTTTGCCAGTAAGAATTCATTAAACTTTCCTAGATTTCTTCCTATCAAGAGGCAGGGAGATGATCAGTATGATTCTAGGCTAGATCTGTATTTCAGAAAGGAGGCCCAGCTCGAAGTGTATGAATACCCTAGAGCTGTTACCCAACATGACATATGCAGGTATAAAATTTCATTTGCTGGAATGCAGAGTCAAGCCTCCAGCCTTGTGCAGCTTTTAGTGCTATTCTGTTATTCTGAGGCTACAATAAAACCTAGCAGCCTGCAAAAGACCTAGCAGTGTTGTTATTATCCTTCATGCACCTTTGTGCATTTTATTTGACCCTTCAGTGATCTGAATGAGGATGTGTTTGCTGGTTGGCAAGGGTGAAGAGAGGCTTCAAGGAAGGGAAACTCTAAGACTTTGAGTCTACAGGATGTTGGCTTGGAATGGAGACGCCAATCGTAAGGGCCAGCAAGTGGCTTTCCCCAAAGCAGCTCACATGTGTTGC
Organism: Homo sapiens; assembly: GCF_000001405.40. NCBI lineage: Eukaryota > Metazoa > Chordata > Mammalia > Primates > Hominidae > Homo > Homo sapiens. The sequence goes on from NC_000023.11 coordinate 152,162,973, forward strand.
TAGCACCTTTCTGAACTTGTCAAAGCCAACCTTTTGAGATAAGTCATCAAAATGATGGCATGCAGCCAGGTTCTCAGGTATATGACATGTTGTGTCCCTTGTACCACCTTTTAAGTCCAGAGCCATTATATTCATCATCCACCCTAATGGGTAGAATGTCTGGATAGTTAGGACAAATATGTTTTGCTGTATACTTCATGAAGATTTATCTCACTTCTGGGCCTTTGTGCATCCTGTCTGGAATACCCATTATCTTTCTTGCTTGATAAATTCTGAATCATCTTTTGAAGCCCAACTCAGAAGTTATTTTATTCAATAAGTATTCGCTGAGTTTAGACTCTGGTTTTGATCCTACACTTGTGTACAAGGACAGCTCTCCCTCACGGTTCTTAGTCTAGTGGGAGACTGCAATAAAACATGGTGAGTGTTGGGGTAGTGAGAGCAATACAGAGTGTAATAGAAGCACACAACATGGCAAAGCATCCAGTCTGGAAGGACACAGGCCTGAGAGATGTGACTTTTTAGGTGAGAGCTTGGGGGTGAGCAGACATCAGCCAGTGAAGGCAAGGAGAAAACGAACTTGCTAGACTGAGGAAACACCCTGCATAAAGTCCATAAGTTATATTGGGACTTGATGTGCAGTTGATGTGGTTGATGAAATGTGAGTGAGAGGCAGGCATTGTGAAAACAGGAGGCTGAGGAGTGAACAGGACCATGTCACACAAAACTTTGAAGGTGAAGGCTAGAGTTTGAATTTTAGTCTATGTGCAGCATGCCATTGGAGGGTATTCAACAGGCAAGTGAATGATCTAGTTTACTATTTAAAAGGATAGCTCTGTAGTGTTCCGGTGAGAGATCATGATGGAGCCTTGGACTGGGGTACAGGTAGTAGAAGTAGGGCTAATATGGGATTTAAGTTGGAGGCTGAGCTTTCAAGATTTTCAGATGTACTAGATGTAAGGATGGGAGAGAGAGGCTAAGAATACCTCATAGGGTTTTGGCCTGAGCATCTGGGTGAGTGACGTTCTGATTTATTGACAAAATAATGACCAAGGGAAGAACTGTGAGGGTGGAGGAATCAAGAGTACTGTTTTGAACTTGTCAAAAAATTTGATGTGAAAGAACTAAGCTAGAGGTATTCATTTGGCAGTCATCAGCATAAAGGAGATGTGGTGGAGTTTTAAATTATTATCTATCTATCTATTTATTTATTTATTTTTATAGATGGAGTCATGATCTGTCCCAGGCTGAAGTACAGTGGCACGATCATAGCTCACTGCAGCCTCAAAGGCCTGGGCTCAACGGATCCTTCCTCCTCAGCCTCTTGAATAGCAGATTTTATACACATCTGCAAAGTCTTTGGCCCTATCCACCCTTCCTCTTGACTCTGCACTGGCCTTAGGCACACTGCATGACTTTCCAGGCTGGGCCAATAAAAGCCATGCAGCTTCCATTTGGTTCTCTTTGGTTGCTTGTTCATCCCTCTGGAGATGTTTCTTATGAGAACCCAGAAGCCATGCTATAAGAAGCCACAAGGAGAGGCCATGTATAGAAACTCCAGTCAACAGTTCCAGATGAACCTGTCCTTCAACACTCAGAGCCAAGCTGCCAGACATGTGAGTGAAAGCCCCTATCCCCCAATGTGGAACTCAGAACCTCCTTTATCTTCTCAGTTGAAGACTCAAATTTTGTCCTACTGAATAAGACTGGAGCTAGGCAACTAATACTCCTACATCTTACTACAGAATCCATCCCTTTTCACACGGAGCTGGGAAGCATATCCTCCATCCCCAGATGTTCTAGTCAATTAAGTCACCTTCTACTTGTTTGAGTCTTCCCGTCTATGACCCTAGGCATCATGGATCAGAGACAGGCCATCCCTGCGGTGCACTGTCCTATCGGTACAATAAATGTGGTTGTTTTATTTTGGGATAATTTGTTACCCAACAAAAGTTAATGGTAGTATGTGCTAATTGAAGCCATTAGGACAGATGAGAGCACTCAGTGAGAGTGTGGAGAGTGAAAAGAGAACAGGGAAGACACTGGAGGGAACCCCAGCCTTTAAGGGATGAGAGAAGTTGAAAAGGAAAAACATGAGAAACGGAAAGGTAGCAGAGAAAAAAAGCAGGGATATCAGGAGACTATGGTGCTATGGAAACCAGAAAGAGGCATTTTCAAGAATAAAATAGTTTTCAACAGTGTCAAATGCTGACAGGTCAAATAAGATAACTGAAAACTGCCCTTAGGTTTTAGTAACAAGGGCAGTGGTGACTCAGCAAGAAGAGCTTCACTGAGAGCAGATAACAAAATTAGAATTCTTTGAGAAGAGAGGAGCAGAGATGAAGAACAAAAGGAGAGGCTGGGCCTTAGACAGAAGGGAAACCACTTTTTCCAGTGACAGCAGAGAAGGGAGAGGTTGTGAATGTAGATCCCAAGGGCTCAGTCTGTTTGTCATGTGTAGGGACTTCCCTTCTAAGAATTGCTGTTCTTCCCTGAGCTGAAACTTTGGAGAAAAAAAAGGGGGGGAATGTCTGTTTTGTTTCTGCTCTTTGCTCTCAGTTTGCCTGTGGGCCCCCTTCCCGGCACCAGCACCCCCTTAATCTCCTCAATTTAGGATCCAACTTTTCCCATGCTAGAACTGGAGTTGGGGCACTAATGATCCTGTGTCACATCAAGGGAGACCCTGCCACATGGAGCTGAGGGCAAAGATCTGAGTGTGGGATAGGGGTGGGGAGGCTGGGGAGATCACTGTTAGACCTGAGAGTTTAAACCTTGTATTTTCAGGTTTAGTCTCCTAGTTGTCCTTACTTGGTGTACGATCAAATTCCTTTGAAGTTGCCAACTCTTCCAAGTTGTGTAACAGGGAACCAAAAGATGGGGTCGTGTTCCTGGAATGGGAACTGTTGCCAAAGGGAAAATAGTAAGCCATGGAGAAGAGAAATCCTTTAGAATTACAATGAAAATACATTGCTCTATTTCCTGGGAGTGGGTGAATTTAGCAGAAGAAGCAATACAGCTTTTTCATAATATTTCATATTGGGCAATGAGACCCTCGAGTCAATCAAAGCTATGTTTTCACACGAGTTTTACTTTGGATCATTGTAATACATTTCTTGCTCTGGGGGTACCTTTCTTCCATCTTTTTCCAATGGTTGTTAAGAAGCAGAAAGTAATGGTGGCATGAGATTGGGGGTGAAAGCCAAAAACATAGTACTGTCTGTGTTAGGCAAAGAGTGACCAAAGAAAGTTCTGCAGACCAAGTACAATTCAGAAAGGGTTTAATAAACAGCAGCTAAACATTGCACCAAAGCATTTGGAAACACAATTTCTACAGAGAGGCAAAGATCAGGCTTCCATTCTAAGTTCCTTAAGACAACCATTAACAGCCCCGCCCTCCCACCCCCCATATCCCCACATATCCACAAGACTACACTCTTCTAGTCATGAATTTACCTACAGACACAGTCTTAGGAATAATGGGACGGGCATGCATTATCCCAGCAATGGCAAGGAAGCAGGGGACGGGGAAAGGATGGATGAAAAGGCAACCAGCAGCTAATGATACACCCCTTAGGAGCTTTGTTCAGCCGGTGGGCAGGGAGAATCTGCTTGTGGTGCCCTCTGTGGCTTTACCCTGGGCTTCTAGGATACTCTGGACTAGTGCAGGTATTCAGAGCCAAAGTGGCTGGGGCTGCCATCATAAACAGTCTCATTCTCTTGGGCTGAGACTATTAAAAGTGATCTTCTTGGGTGACACATTGTGACTTTCTAAAAACCTTTTTGGTGCCCAACCAAGTTCCACTAGTGACCCAGAAGGCCCGCTGAGATTGTGCTGATTCTGAGGTCACGGTGGACCTGGCTTCTCAGTCCTTTATTTTGGCCTTTGGAAAGGGGCGCACGATAGCTCTTTATTAAAGACACTTGTAAGGAGCCTAGGCAAATCATTCAAACTTCTGGGATTCAGTTTATCTACCTTATAAAAATTGCGTATTTATGCCTGTGTCTTTTACTCACATTAAGATTAAGAACAAATGGCCTCTAAATAATATATTATAAAATTGGCAATAAAGTTAATGATCTAGTTGACTCAATATTGACTAGAGATATTTATTTGTATGAATTTCCAATTCACCCCTCATAGAATCGGCATCAACAGAGGACCGGAGGTTCCCGATATGGTGGGAGAAAAGTGCCTGGGCCAGGGTGTGGAATGTGGAGTGTATGGAAGGAAGAATTTGACTTTCATCTGCCAGTAGCCTTCTCTTTTGAGCCAGACTTCAATCCTCAACTACCATCCACTCCAAACCTCTTACCCAATCCAGTATAGGCTAGTTGCCTTGGCAGGGAGGTGACTTTTGTATCTCTCCCATATTTTAAAAAAATGTTTTTTTTAAATCTAGATCACTTTGTTTCTATTTGCAACTTTTCGATATAAATAAAAAATGCTTGATCATTTTTTCCTGAAAAGTTTACAGGTGGTAATGAGTCCAAATTAAGTAGTGCTCAGTTGGCTACAAGGGTGCCAAAGGCAGTGGGGGAAGAAGATTTTCTGGAGGAGAGATGTACCAAGGAGGGGACTATTTTCCCGAGGGGCTGGACATGGCAGGGCACCAGCCATCTTGGTGCCAGGCTGGCAGAGCTAGTTCTATTTATTTTGGCCATACATGGTAGACGGTGGTTAGTACCAATTGTCCCCACTAATTTCCAAACCAATAAATGGGTTGGGGGTGTAGAACTGGCTCCCACCTTTGCTATCAGTACTTATGCCTAGTAGGCCTTGCTGAAGGCAGGGGAGGTGGCACGCAGGATCACATGGCCTAGCCTAACCTGGCTGCCTAGTAAGTTAGAGTCATCTGATCTAGATGGGAGTCAACAATTCTCCTTGTTCTGGGCCTCTCAAACAGCCAAGGCTTCCACTATGGAGAGTAGAATCTCTTGTTCTTTTTGCAGCGGGCAGAGTGCAATAAAATACATGCAGTGCCCTCAGCTAGGGGAGATTGGCAGACTAAGATGAGCAACTGGACAAATGGCAGTGTTTGGCTTTGATGGGGTTATACTGGGCAATATTGGAGGGACAAGTAATTTTTCTGTAGTTATTTTTTGCGTAGAGATTCATAAATATGAATTGAGGGTCACAGCTTGGTAGAGGGGTAAAAAGGAGAATCCTGAAATACGCGAAGGGGAGCCCCGGGGTTTGGGTGCCTGGATGCTTCACGGGGTATACAGTGCTCTGGTTGCTGCACTGCCACCACTATCTACTGTTTGCGGATCATGCCCTTGATAGCTGACTCCCGGTTGACATATGTGGCCCAATAGACCAGATTGAATATGGCAAAGAGCACAGGAAAGATGATGCGGGAAATTTTGTCAACCTTGCTGACACTGTTGTAGGTCTTGGTCTCAGTCGGGCTGTCCTGCACGTAGGTGGCCTTGGGTGAAGCAATGATTGTTGGGGTTGAGGAGGCACTGGGAGCAGCGCCCTTGGAGATGGTGGAAAATTCAGTGTCCTTGGCCAGGTTGATGGGATAGGTGGTCCCCACGATGTTGAAGGTAGTGCTGGTTTTCTTTGCTGGGGCTGCTGGTGTTTTCTTCTAGAGGCCAGGAAAAAGAGGGGGGGAAAGGGAGAAAAAAGCAAAGCTAATTAATTCATTACACAGAGAACCTTCAGAGGCTGCAGGGAGGAGGAGCCATGAGGGAAGTTAAGGCACAGGGGCCATGTAGCCAATAGCACTAGTAACCAGGTTTGTGTCAAGGAATAACTGAAGATGAGTATGAAAAGAGAAAACGTGCATCATCCTGGCTCACGAGCTATGTCGCTTTGGCTAAGTCACTTTTCCTCTTCATGCCTCAGTTTCTTCATCTGTAAAATGAGGATCAAAATAATTTTCAGGATTGTTGAGAGGATCAGATAAGAGAATGGAGCTAGAAATCGCCAATAAACTGTGGAATGTTGGTCACATGTGGAATCTTATACATCATGTGATTCGATCCTCAGAGCAACCCCTATGAGGTAGGTGGATGAGATTACTCCCATTTGACAGATGAGAAAACTCAGCCTCAGACTAAGTGGCAGAGCCTAACTTGCAATCTGGGTAAGAGATTTTTATCTAGGGCTACACTGTGCTGCTTTCTATAGGCCCCGGACACTTTTTGGTTACCCAAGAAATAACTCCAGAAGGCCGTGACCATCAAGTGGCACATCTCCTGTGAGGAAGAGAGCTTGGTGAGTCTGAAAAGTCATTTTGTCATAAAGACAATACATACCATGGCATGTTGACATGCATCATTACAACAGCTTCCCACCCTTCATGCAGTGTAACTGTTCAGCAAGCTCAGGAGCGGGCCAAGGCTTTCCACAGAGCTATGTAAAAGACTCTCTGACATAGCAAAGGCAGAGATAGATGCGGAGTTGCTATGTCACTGCCCTTTGGGCTTATTTTTAAGAGTGAAAGAAACTCAAACACCCAGTGGGAAGCAAGCACACACACAGGCCAATTTGCTCTCATATATATGAACTTGTGTATACAGAGAGCCTCACTGGGCCTCCCCTGATGCAGAAGAGAGAAGAGGAGACAATGCTTAGGCCTGGATACAAACTGAGAAGCTGAAGAACAGGAGAGGCCAGGGAAGGAGGCCAACCCCAGCCCCAGGCCAAATGCAGTGGCCTAGCTCATAGTCTATAGATGGTTTGTTGCCTCATTCCTCACTCTGGCCTTTTCTTCCATCCCAGTTTGGCTCTAGGGAAAAGTGGGTATAGATGAGCTTCAGAAATGCCCTAATTTCACATACCTCATGAGTGCATTCTTGATGTTACTTTGCTTCCCAGAACCCAGGCTTCACTTCTTTATTCCTTCACTTCCTACTTGTTTTCTTTGTGTGTTTCTCTATTTCCATCCTCTCTTGCTGACCCCTATCTCCTCATCTCTTCATATATCCTTTCTTCTTAACTTCAGAGTCCCCATCATTCTTATTTTTTCTCCTTTAGACGTCACTGCCATTTACTATAGTGATCCTAATAACTTTTGCCCAATATTTACTGAATGCGTACTGGGCCAAGAACTATGCTAGGTACTTAGAGATAAATGGAAAGGGTAAAACATGAGTCCCTGTCTTCCAGGAGCTCACACTCGGGTGTGGGAGAAAGCCTTTTAAGCACACGATTGCCATTGAACGTGATCAGACTTCTCAAAGATCTGGGCCAAGTACTATGGGAAATCAGTCAAAGGAGGGACAAAGTACCTGCAGGCATTGGAAAAGGTGGCTCAGAGAAGGCAATGAAGTTTATGCTCTGGGTCACAAAAGATGAGCATGCGGCAAAGGCCAGTACACAGGCCAAGGACACTTTATTTATTTATTTTAGAGACATGGGTCTTGCTCTGTCACCTGGGCTGGTGGGCCTTGTGTAAACATAGCCCACTACAGTCTTGAACTCCTGGGCTCAAGTGATTCTCCCGCCTCAGGCTCCTGAGTAGCTGGGACTACAGGCATGTGCCACCATGCCCAGCTATTTTTTTGTTTTTTAATTTAGAGATGATGTCTCACTATGTTGCCCAGGCTGGTCTTGTACTCCTGGCTTCAGGTGATCCTCCCACCTTGGCTTCCAAAATCACTGGGATTACAGGTGCAAGCCACTACACCTGGCCAAGGGCACTGTTTTTTGAGTTGACAAGAAGTTTACTGTAGCTGGGCCACAGCGTGCATGGCAAAGAGTTGCAGAAACTGAGGCTGTGTAAAACAGGCAGCAGCAAGACCTTGAAAGGCCTTATATGCTATGCTCTCTTGCTTTGTCTGCTTATTTTGGCCTCAGTGTTTTCAGTCATGGACGGGAAGTGCGACAGATGAGAGGATGTTGGTTTACGTAAATTGAACAGTCTGACTAATAGGATATTTTGAAAGCAATATTCTTTCTCCCTGGGGATTGCAATCACATTGTTACAAGTGGAAGGGGGACAGAACTCTAAGGTTTCTAAAAACCTTGTAAATTATTTAAATACTACATGGGACTCACTTATAATTAGCAAATTCATTGTGTGAATAGAGCCCTGCTGCTAAATGTCTTTGCTATTAAATAAAAGGGTGCTTTGCTTGTTTGCAAACTTGCTTATTAATTTGCTTAGTAAACTCTTTTTTCATGGGTAGACCAAAAATTATAGGAAAGAAAGAAAAGAAAAAAGAAAGGAAAGAAAATATTGCCCTGACTTTTCTAGAAGCTTTTATATATGTTACTTCACTTAGCCATCTTATAAACTGGCTATGACTAAGTCTCTGAAACAGTGATTCTGAACAATGAATACTTTTTTTTAGCTCCATAGGCACTTTATGTTCTATAGATGGGGAGAAGCAGCAATCACGTTAATCACAGATTTTTTAAGTAGTAAGGGAAAATTACCTTTTAATTTCTTCCACCATTTTCAACATGACACATTTTAATCAGCCACTACAATTTTTTACCTAAATCATTAAAGAAGGAAATCAAAGCAAAATTTGAGTGTCAAGAAAATAGGAAAATGAGCCATAGATTAATGGTAATATTTACCCATTTCTACACCTAGTTTTCCAGTAATTCTCCTTGATAGATACAGACTGAGATGACTTAACTTTGACCGAATTGTCATAATATTCCTACCCCCTAGCCAAGTATCTGGCTCTTAGGCAAATGATGGATGTTTACTGAATGAAAAAATACCCACCATTGAAGATTATCAATGTGATTTATTGTTTGTTTCCCCTGAGTCTTGACCTTTGCTGCATAAATAGCATGTCTCCAAAGTTCAGCCTAGGGCAATTTCCTAACCAAAAAGTGGAAATTGACTTCTCCAAATTTCCCAAGGAGTTTGAATCCAGAACAGGAACGCCTTTCCTTCTAAAAATCTATTTCATGTGGGTTTTGTGATGAGGCAATGAAAACTTTTATAGAGAAATGCATGTCCCACTCAAGAGTCTTCCTCCGATGATACTCCTGTCAATTGTCTCTAAAGGTGAAGCTCAACTAGAACCTCAGAGTATATACTTACATGGTCCAGTGCCTCTGTGTCAACCCCCTTGCAGGTGCTCAGCTTTTCTGAGCCCATTTCCAGAAGTGGGGCAAAACAATGGAATATATGCTATGTGGGACTCAAAGATGAATAAAACCAACAACAAAAACCCAAACAACTCAATTTAAAAATGGGCAAAGGACTTGAGTAGACATATCTCCAAAAAAGATTTACAAATGGCCAACAATCACATGAAAAGATGGTAAGCATCACTAATCAGAAATGCAAATCAAAGCCATGAGACCCCACCTCACATTATGATGGGTACTACCAAAAAACCCCAGAAAATATCAAGTATTGGCAAGGATGTGGAGAAATTGAAACCCTTGTGCACTATTGGGAATGTAAAATGGTGCAACCACTATGGAAAATGTTGTGAGGGTTCCTCAAAAACTTACAAATAGAATCACTATATGATTCAGCAGTTCCACTTCTGAGTATATATCCCCAAATTATAAGCAGGGTCTCAAAGAGATATTTGCATACCCATGTTCACACCTTCATTATTCCCAATAGCCAAATGGTGGAAGCAACCCAAGTGTCCATCGAGAGAACAATAAACAAAATGTGGTATATACACACAATGAATTCATTCCATTCACAATTCTTCAACCTCACAAAGGAAGGAAATTCTGATATATACTACAACAGACATGAATCTTGAGGATGCTAAATGAAATAAGCCAGTCACAAAAGGATAACTGTTATGTGATTTTACTTCTATGACATATCTAGAGTAGCAAATTCATAGAGACAGAAAGTAGAATGGTGGGTGCTGGGGCTAGGGCAGAAAGGAATGGGGAGTTGTTGTTTAATGAATACAGAGGTCCAGTTTTGCAAGATGAAAAGGGTTCAGGAGACTGCACAGCAATGTGAATGTATTTAACAGGACTGAATTACACAATTCAAATTGATTAAGGTTATATATATTTACGAGTATGTGTACACACACACACACACACACACACACACACATATATACACATATATGATTAAATCAGAGACCCTGCCCTCAGGAAATCTAGTTTAGTGAGGAAGGTTAATTAAAATAAGAGAGAATTAAAATATACAGGAGAAAGCACAAATTAGAAACATTCAGAGGGGCATGAATAATGAAATCAAGGGAGTTCAAGAGAAGGAAGAATTTGGAACTGTCAGGTAAGTCAATGGAAAGGAGAGAAAATGCAGATGGAAGAAAAATAATCACTTGCACCACTTTCCTGTAAAGGCGGTGGGGGGGTGGGGGTTATCTAGAGCATAAGTGTGGAATTTCTCAGGTCCAGATCACAGCTGAGAAGGAAAGAATGGATGAGATTAGATACTATATTTTGGTGGAGAGAAAGGAGCACAGTAGGTTAAGGGAAATCTCATACAATGGCTTCTACATTCCCCATGAGGAAGGTTAAATAAATAGCAAAGATTTAAACTAGAATATATATGTATATATATATTTTTTGAGATGGAACTTTGCTCTTGTTGCCCAGGCTGGAGTGCAATGGCATGATCTCGGCTCACTGCAATCTCTGCCTCCCGGGTTCAAGCAATTCTCTTGCCTCAGCCTCCTGAGTAGCTGGGATTACAGGCATGTGCCACCGCTGCCCCCCTCCCCAGGATAGTTTTGTATTTTTAGTAGAGAAGGGAGTTTCTCCATTTGGTCAGGCTGGTCTCGAACTCCTGACCTCAGGTGTTTTTTCTGAATCTGTACTCAATTCTCAGCCTCCCAAAGTGCTGGGATTACAGGCATGAGCCACCGCGCCTGGCTAATTTATTTATTTATTTATTTATTTATATTATTATTATACTTTAAGTTTTAGGGTACATGTGCACAACGTGCAGGTTTGTTACATATGTATACATGTGCCATGTTGGTGTGCTGCACCCATTAACTCGTCATTTAGCATTAGGTATATCTCCTAATGTTATCCCTCCCCTCTCCCCTCACCCCACAACAGGCCCTGGTGTGTGATGTTCCCCTTCCTGTGCCCATGTGTTCTCATTGTTCAATTCCCACCTATGAGTGAGAACATGCGGTGTTTGGTTTTTTGTCCTTGCCATAGTTTGCTGAGAATGATGGTTTCCAGCTTCATCCATGTCCCTGCAAAGGACATGAACTCATCCTTTTTTATGGCTGCATAGTATTCCATGGTGTATATGTGCCACATTTTCTTAATCCAGTCTATCATTGTTGGACATTTGGGTTGGTTCCAAGTCTTTGCTATTGTGAATAGTGCCGCAATAAACATACGTGTGCATGTGTCTTTATAGCAGCATGATTTATAGTCCTTTGCGTATATACCCAGTAATGGGATGGCTGGGTCAAATGGTATTTCTAGTTCTAGATCCCTGAGGAATCGCCACACTGACTTCCGCAATGGTTGAACTAGTTTATAGTCCCACCAACAGTGTAAAAGTGTTCCTATTTCTCCACATCCTCTCCAGCACCTGTTGTTTCCTGACTTTTTAACGATCGCCATTCTAACTGGTGTGAGATGGTATCTCATTGTGGTTTTGGTTTGCATTTCTCTGATGGCCAGTGATGATGAGCATTTTTTCATGTGTCTTTTGGCTGCATAAATGTCTTCTTTTGAGAAGTGTCTGTTTATATCCTTCACCCACTTTTTGATGGAGTTGTTTGTTTTTTTCTTGTAAATTTGTTTGAGTTCATTGTAGATCCTGGATATTAGCCCTTTGTCAGATGAGTAGGTTGCAAAAATTTTCTCCCATTCTGTAGATTGCCTGTTCACTCTGATGGTGGTTTCTTTTGCTGTGCAGAAGCTCTTTAGTTTAATTAGATCCCATTTTTCAATTTTGGCTTTTGTTGCCATTGCTTTTGGTGTTTTAGACATGAAGTCCTTGCCCATGCCTATGTCCTGAATGGTATTGCCTAGGTTTTCTTCTGGGGTTTTTATGGTTTTAGGTCTAACATTTAAGTCTTTAATCCATCTTGAATTAATTTTTGTCTAAGGTGTAAGGAAGGGATCCAGTTTCAGCTTTCTCCATATGGCTAGCCAGTTTTCCCAGCACCATTTATTAAATAGGGAATCCTTTCCCCATTGCTTGTTTTTGTCAGGTTTGTCAAAGATCAGATAGCTGTAGACATGCCTGGCTAATTTAAACTAGATTTTGTAGAATAAAGAAGACAGAACTAATTAGGGACAGAGAGTAACTGCAGGCATAGGTTGAAGGAACAGCAGAATTCAAAAATACACTCATAAATGTCACCAATCCATCAATAGCAATGGATTTTTTTTTTTTTTCGGAGAGAAATAGAGGACTTGGACTGAAGTGACTAGGGAGGTCAAGAGTGCTGGTGAGTGACTGCAGTGATACAGTGTGGGACCTATGCTGGATAGAGAAGCAAGGAAAACATAGGAAATCATCCATTTATTTAATATTTTCTGCGTCTACAATGTGACAGGTTCTGTGCTAGGTGCTTGGGGTGCAGGAATAAATGGTAAAACACAGCTCCTGCCCTAAAGGAGTTCACATCCCAGTTGGGGGGACATGTAATAAACATAGAAGCAAAAAAATGCATAAAGCAATGTAATGTCAGGAGGTGAGAATTATCATGGAAGCACATAAAGCAGGGCAGTGCAGAAAAAGATGATGAATGCTAGTGATAGAAGGTCTGCCTGAGAAGGTAAGTAGAGACCTGAACAAAATAAGAAAGCAAGCTGTGAAAAGATCTCAACAATAAACATTCCATAGAGAAAGAATGGTAATGACAAAGTACCTGGGCTTGGAATGAAAGTGATTCATTAAGAATCATCAAGGAGGCTGGGCACGGTGCCTCACGCCTGTAATCCCAGCACTTTGGGAGGCCAAGGCGGGCAGATCATGAGGTCAGGAGATCGAGATCATCCTGGCTAACACGGTGAAACCCAGTCTCTACTAAAAATACAAAAAATTAGCCAAGCATGGTGGTACACGCCTGTAGTCCCAGCTGCTCAGGAAGCTGAGGCAGAAGAATCGCTTGAACCCAGGAAATGGAGGTTGCAGTGAGCCGAGATTGCACCACTCTACTCCAGCCTGGGTGACAGAGTGAGTTTCCATCTCAAAAATAAATAAATAAATAAATAAATAAATAAATAAATAAATAAATAGAATCATCAAGGAGGCCACTATGGGATGAGTGAGTGGAGTGAATGAAAATTCAAAAAAGATGGTAAGAGGTACCATCACAGATCTAAGGACAAGATCCTGTAAGGTTTTGAGCACCATCGTAAGAATAATGGAATTTGATCTAAATGTAGTGGGAAGCCATTAAACTATTTGGAGCAGAATTTTTATAATTTACTATTTTAATTGATCTTCCCTACTGTTGGGCAGAGAATAGATGTGTAGGCACTGAAAGTAAAGGACTAAAATTAGGATGTTAGTCCTAATGAGGCTAGTGAAGAGGTGTGGTGTGTTGAATGTTAGATATGGAGAAAAGTAGACAGATTCAAGTTATATTGTGCACGTAGAGGAGTTAGGACTTGCTGATGAGTTAGGTTTGGGTTGTCTGAGAGCAGAGTTGGGGGCAGGTAAGAAAAATAAAAGAATTAAGAATGGATTCCAGGTTTTTGGCCTGAGCATCTGGAAGAATAGTGACATTATTGGCTGTGCTGGGAAGACTTGAAGAAGAGCAGGTTTAGGGGGAAGATGAGGAGTTGTGTTTGGATATGAGAATTACATTTTTATCAGACATCCCAATAGGAATATAATCCCAATAGAGATGTACACAGTTACATATATCAGTCTGCAGCTTAGGGGAAAGGTTTGGGATAGAGATACATATTTGGAAGTTGTTCGCCTCTAGATGGCCATTGATTCAATGTCTTGGGATTGAATGAGGTCGCTTGAGAAGTGAGTACAGATTCAGAAAATAAAAAAGAGATCAGACTGCTGACTGGCCTGCAGATCTGACTGAGCTGCCCTGAAATGCTCTAACGTTTAGTGCTGGAAAGAAGACAAGGATAGTGCAAAGAAAATACCAAGGACGAACAAGAAAAACAGGAAATCCTGATGTATGAGAATCCAAGTGAGGAGTTGACACCTTTTTCAAAGAAGACATCTTTAATATCAAAGAGTGAGAGAGTAATGGTCTGAAAGCAGTACTGGGGATTAAGACGATGTAAACTACACTTCTGGAAAATGGGAATCTGATTAACAGCTTCTGCCAAGCAGGAAGGCAGTTGGAAGGAAGTCTCAACTGAGAATCACATATCAGTTAAAACAGGAGGTGGACGGGTCATTCAATGAAGAAGCTGCTGGGGCAGAATGTTTTATCTTCCCATGAACAGGAGTTCCTGAGGGAAGTGAGGGACAGTTTATGAGGAGTAGGAGGATACGTCAAGAAAAAACCACAGAAGAGGATAAGGATAAGAAGTGAGGGGAGGATAAATAACCATAGAGAAAACTACAATTTGGGTATTGACCAAGGATGACACAGAGGCGAGCCCTATGGAACATATGGCCTCATGTGTCCACAAATTTCATTACAAAACTCTTCTGATGTCAAGTAACAGTTCCAAAAACACTAACACAATTAGCTGACTTACTGTCACTGTTTTTCTGAAAAAAAAAAAAAATACAAAAAACAAAAACAAAACACTAGAACAAATATACAGGCAGTTAGATTGGTTCATTTCTGAAACCTTCACGTAGTGCTGGAAACAGTAGCAATGCCTGGTAAATGGGACAATCCAGACCTCATTTAATAGGCTCAATTCCAGTTTATGATGTCAGATGAGTCATCCAATTGAAAAACAAAGAGAGAACTTGGGGCAGTTGCAAATAAAGTGAACTGGTTGTAGAAATCCTACATATGAAATGAACACGGAGAGAATACAATAATGTTGCTAAGTTGAGCAAGATGAAGAAAAATAGAGTGATAAAGCCAGATGAAGTGAACATCAAAGGACAAAACTTTTTGCATGAAGTAAAGGAGTAAACAGTGGCCTGGAAGCAGCAGGAGGGAATGGAGGAGTGGCTTCCACTTGCAAGGGCAGTAGATTTTTTAGGAAACAGTCAAGTACTCAGTAAGGTAAACAACAAAATAGAGAGGAAGTATTTTGGATTTATCTCTCCTGTGACACTCAGCACTTTGTCCTATATCAGTGCTCTGTCTGTATATGTGTGTATATATATATGGATATATGCCTTACTTTTCTTAGACCATCAGGTCCTGAGTACTGGGACCATGTAGTTTAGTTTTGCAAACCACAGGTATTCCAGAAATAATTGCCGTGTGTGCGTCTATGTGTGTGTGTGTGTGCGTGTGTGTGTGTGTGTGTTTCAATCGAGACTATGATTACTGCTAGGCCACTTATACCTACTGCAGAGCAAGGTAGGAAGACCACCAGTTTATGAGTAAAACTTAACCCATATTGAATGTTACTTACCCAACAAAGAAATACCAAGGGGTGATTTGATTTGTGGCTACAATTGCAGGAATGACCCATAGACTTAAAAGCCATTAAGGACAAGAAACTAAGCTTTTCCAAGATTTGAAGAGAATGTGAATGTTTTCTCCAATGTAAAAAAGATAAAATTTTATTCTAGAGCATTTGAAAATAAAAAAAGAAAGTCCAAGCATTACTATTTTTTGCAAAATTTATACAAGAAGTTATACAAATTTTATAAATGGTTCTAAGAATAATTTTCTTCTTTTTAAATGTTGAGATTTGTTTTTTCATTTAAATTTGCTTTTATTATTTTTAATGTTGAATAACTTAAAGTAGTAATGGACATAGTTTAAAAAATTGAAGTTGAAAACTTATGAAAATCAAGAAACCCTTACCCCAATGCACCCAAACCCATTGTCCAGCCCCTTGTAGGTATTTATTTTTAATTCTCTTAGGTGATAGTAATACTTCTAATAGTTATTTCTATACTTTTATACAATATATTTATACTGCTACCAGTTTTGCTTACTACCAATTGTCTTTTCATGATAAATGATTTATTTCACATATGTAACCCTTCCTGAATCCTCTAGTACAATTATAGCAAACTTTTTAGTTCTATCAATAACCAGTGGTGATAGCATTATAAATGACTGTATAAATCCCTGTAGTAGCCATCTGCAAACTGGACTGGTTCCTTTGCAAATTTGCTTGCTGCACAGTTGTCACTTTAGTACTTCACTTTTTATAATTTTTATTTCTATTTATTCATTTTTAATTGACAAATGAAATTGCATGTATTTATCATGTACAAAATGATGTTTTGAAATAGGTGTACATTATGGAATGGCTATATTGGGCTAATTAACATATGCATTGCCTCACAGTTATCATTTTCTGTGGTAAGAACATTTAAAATCTACTCTTAGCAGTTTTCAAGAATACAGAACATTGCTATTAACTACAGTCACTTGTTGTACGATAGGGTCTCTTGAACTTATTCTTCTCTAAGTAAAATTTTGTATTCTTTGACCAACAACTACCCCCAACTCCCAGTCCCCAGTAACCACCATTCTACCCTCTGCTTCTGTGAGTTCAATTTTTTTTTTTTTTTTTGAGATGGAGTCTCGCTCTGTCGCTCAGGCTGGAGTGCAGTGGCGCGATCTCGGCTCACTGCAAGCTCTGCCTCCCGGGTTCACGCCATTCTCCTGCCTCAGCCTCCCAAGTAGCTGGGACTACAGGCGCCCGCCACCACACCTGGCTAATTTTTTGTATTTTTAGTAGAGATGGGGCTTCACCATGTTAGCCAGGATGGTCTCGATCTCCTGACCTCGTGATCTGCCCGCTTCAGTCTCCCAAAGTGCTGGGATTAGAGTTCAACTTTTTTAGATCACACATGTAAGTGACATCATGTGGTATTTTTCTTTTCTGTGCCTAGCTTATTTCATTTATAGTAATGTTCTTCAGGTTCATCCGTGCTTATGTAAATGACAGGGTTTCCTTCTTTTTTAAAGGCTGAATAGTATTCCATTGCCTATACCACATTTTCTTTATCTATTCATCAGTTTATAGACACTTAGGTTGATTACACATATTGGCTTTTGTGAATAATGCTGTAATTATTATACAAGTACACATACTTCTTTGACATACTGATTTCAAGTTCTTTGGATATATACCCAGTAGTGGGGTCGATCAACCATTTGGTATTTCTATTTTTAATTTTTTCAGGAACCTCCATACTAGCTTTGCAAATTTACATTCCCACCAATAGTGTGGAAGGATTCCCTTTTCTCCAAATCCTCACCAACAGTTATCTTCGGTCTTTTTGATAACAGACATTTTTAAAAGTGTGAGGTGATATCTCATTGTGGTTTTAATTTACATTTTTCTGATGATTAGTAATCTTGAGCATTTTAAAAATATAACTATTATCTAGCTGTATGTCTTCTTTTGAGAAATGCCTATTCAAGTCCTTTGTGAATTTTTAAATTGGGTTGTTTTCTTGCTATTGAGTTGTTTGGGTTCCTTGTATAGTTTTTATATTAGCCTCTTATTAGATGGTTGGTTTGCAAATATGTTCTTTTATTCTATAGGTTGTCTCTTTGCTCTGTTGATTGTTTCCTTGGCTATCAAAAAGCTTTTTAGTTTGGTGTAATCCCATTTGTCTATTTGTACTCTTGTTGCCTATGCTTTTGGGATCATATTCAAATTACCTTTGTTTCACAGAGATTTTTTTCCCCAATGTTTCATTTTAGTAGTTTTAGAATTTCAGGCATTACATTTAAACCTTTAATCCATTTTGAGTTGACCTTTGCATATGGTGTGAGATAAGGGTCTAACTTCATTTCTCTGTGTGTGGCTATCCAGTTTTCCCAACATCATTTGTTAAATAGGCTGTCCTTTCTTCATTGTGTGTTCTAGATACCTTTGTGGAAAATCAATTAACCATAAATGCATGAATTTATTTTTGTGCTCTCTATTGTGTTAAATTGCTCTGTGTGTCTGTTTTATGCCAGTACCAAGCTGTTTTGGTTAATATAGTTCTAGAGCATATTTTGAAGTCAGGTAATACGATGCCTTCAGCTTTCTTCTTTTTGCTCAAGATTGCTTTGACATTCAGAGTATTTTGTGGTTCCATGTAAGTCTTAGGACTGTATCTTTTCTATTTCTATTAAAAATGACATTGGAATTTGATAGAGTTGCATTTAATCTGTACATCAGTTTGGGTGGCATGAACATTTTAACAATATTAATTCTTCTAGCCATGAACAGTGGGTATCTTTCCATTTATTTGTGTCTTCAATTTCTTTATTTGGTATTTTATAGGTTTAGTGTACTAGTCTGTTATCCTCTTGGTTAAATTTATTCCTAAGTATTTTATTATTTTTTGTACTTATTGTGAATGGGATTGCTTTCTTGATTTCTTTTCCAGATAGTTCATTGTTGATAAAGAAATGCAACTGATTTTTGCATGTTGACTTTGTCTCCTGCAACTTTACTAAATTTATTTGCTAGTTCTAACAGCTTTTTTCTTTTCTTTTCTTTTCTTTTTTGTAGGGTCTTTAGGGTTTTCTATATATAAGATCAGGCCATAAAAAATGATGAGTTCATGTCCTTTGTAGGGACATGGATGAAATTGGAAATCATCATTCTCAGTAAACTATCACAAGAACAAAAAACCAAACGCTGCATATTCTCACTCATAGGTGGGAATTGAACAATGACAACACATGGACACAGGAAGGGGAACATCACACTCTGGGGCCTGTTGTGGGGTGGGAGGCTGGGGGAGGGATAGCATTAGGAGATATACCTAATGCTAAATGACGAGTTAATGGGTGCAGCACACCAGCATGGCACATGTATACATATGTAACTAACCTGCACATTGTGCACATGTACCCTAAAATTTAAAGTATAATAATAAAAAAAAAGAAAAAAGATCAGGCCATCCATATGCAGGGAAAATTTAACTTCTTCCTTTCCAATTTGGATGCCCTTTATTTCTTTCTCTTGTTGAATTGCTCTGGATAGGTCTTCCAATACTGTAGTGAGAGTGGACATACCTGTCTTGCTGCTAACCTTGGAGAAAAAGCTTTTAACTTTTTACCACTGAGTATGATGTTAGCTGTGGGTTTGTCATATATGGCCTTTATTGTGATTGTAATTAGTTGAGAGGTTTTTTATCATGAAAGAATGTTGAATTTTGTCAAATGCTTTTTCTGCATCTACTGAGATGACAACTTGGTTTTGGACTTCATTCTGTTAATGTGGTGTAGCATATTTATATATTTACACATGTTGAACCATCCTTTCATCCCTGGGATAAATCCCACTTGGTCAAGATGAGTATTTTTTTTAAGTTTATGATTTAACCCTTACAGCCATTGCCTGACGTGTTATATATATATATACACACACACACACACACACACACAGTGTATGTATATATATACACACTATGTATATATACACTATATATAGTGTATATATACACTAGTATATATAGACACACTATATATGCACTATATATAGTATGTATACACACTATATATAGTGTATATATGTACACTATATATAGTATACATACTATATATAGTATATATACTCTATATAGTATACACACTATATATGCATATATAGTGTATATATACACTATATATATACTATATATGCATATATAGTGTATATACACACTATATATACTATATATGCATATATAGTATATATACACTATATATACACTATATATACATATATAGTGTATATATACACTATATATACACTATATATGTATATATAGTGTATATATACATATATAGGTATAGTGTATATATACACTATATATACACTATATAGTGTATATATAGTATATATATACAGTATATATATACTATATATGTATATATTTACACCATATATATACATATATATAGTATATAAATACTATAGTATATATACTATAGTACTATATATAGTGTATATATATATAGTGTATACATATATACTTTAAGAAGTTCTGGGGAATGATTCTTTTAATGTACTGTTAACTTTGGTTTGCTAGAATTTTGTTGAGGATTTTTACATCTATTTTGTTCATCAGGGATATTGGCCTGCAATTTTCTTTTCTTGTAGTGTATTTGCCTGTCTTTGGTATGAAGGTAATGCTGGCCATATAAAATGAGTTTGGAAGTATTCCCTTTTCAATTTTTTGGAAGAATTTGAGAATGATTGGTATTAGTTCTTCTTTAAGTGCTCGGTAGAATTCAACAGTGAAGACATCAGGTCCTGGGCTTTTCTTTGATGGGAGACTTTTTGTTACTGATTCAGCTCCTTATTCATTATTGGTCTGTTCAGATATTCCATTTCCTCATGATTCAGTCTTAGCAGGTGATGTATGTCTAGGAATTTATCTATTATTTCTAGATTATCAGTTTGTTGGCATACAATTGTTTATAGTAATCTGTTATGATTCTTTGTTTTTCTGTGATAACAGTTGTTAACATCTCCTGTTTCATTTTTTATTTTTTGTATTTGAGTCTTCTCTCCTTTTTCTTAGTCTAAAGGTTTGTCTATTTTGTTTATCTTTTGAAAAAAAAACACATCTTAGTTTTAATGATCTTTTCTATTGATTTTTAAGTTCCCTATTTCATGTATTTCTGCTCTGATCTTTAGTCTTTGCTTCTTTCTAGTAACTTTGGGCTTAGTTCTTCTTTTTCTAAGTTCCTCAAGGCATAAAGTTAGATTGCTTATTTGAGATCTTTATTCTTTTTTGATGTAGGTGTTTATTGCTATAACCTTCCTTCTTCTTAGAACTGCTTTGGCTGCAACTCATAAGTTTTGGTACACTGTAGGTCTATTTTTGTCTCAAGATATTTTAAATTTCCCTTTTAATTTCTCCTTTGACTTATTGGTTGTTCAGGAGAATGTTGTTTAATTTTCATGTATTTGTGAATTTTCCAAAATCATTCTCTTTATTGCTTTCTAGTTTCATACTATTGTGGTTGGGAAAGATACTCGATATAATTTTTCTTTTTAAGTTTGGATGAACTTCCTGGTTTTATCCCTAGATCTCTTACCTTTCCTTTCACATTCTTTTTTTTCTGCTCTACTTATAGACTGATTTCCTTTAATTTATTTTCCTACTTCTCTATTGAAATTTTTATTTTGGCAATTCTTTTTATTTTCAATACCTCTTCCTTATTCTCTGATTTATTTTTATATAGCATCCTGTTCTTATTTTATTAATATATTTACAAATCTAAAGTAAAAGTCTTGTTTTTCTTACGTTCTCTTTAATTCCCTAAATTATGTCTGTCCCCTCAAGGTGAGGTGTTCCTTTTTAGTTTATTTGCCTGTTTTTGTTTTAATCTTTGCTCTTCTCTTTCACATTGCAAACTTTTAACTGGTGATCCTTGATATCCCAGTATTATTTGGTAACAGAGAAGATGTCTGTTTGCTCATGTAGCTAACCTGAGCTTGTTGATTGGTGGGCTGTGATTTAGGATGATTAGGTAAAGTAGGTCATTTTGAGGGGATACTTCAAAATGTCAGTATGCAAAAACTTTCCTCTAGGGATGCTCAGCTTCTTTAGAAGAGCAACCCTGCTGTTTTTTCCTGGAGAGTATACATCTGGCTAGAGACATTTCACATATTGAGCAGGCTCTGGAGTCTGGAGTACTCTGTACACAGACTTTTGTTTTATTCTCTATTGTATCTAGCGCTTCCTAACACTGAATTTCTCCCGGGTTATGTTTTACTGCAGTTCGATAAATCAGTTATTATAACCTCCATCAATGTTCATTCTTCTATAGCTATGTTAATATCTCTTGTCTGACTGACATCCCTTGTCCTTCTCACCTGTTACTTGTGGTTTTATACCTGTTTTATTCCTTTACTCTCATTTTAGCGGAATCTTCAAAGGAAGCAGTGATAAAAACATGTGGTTGATCATCAAAAACCCACAGTTCATCTATTGTCTAGAGTGCAATTACAGGGTAGTCAGTTATCTTCATTTAAAAATGAGGTTTTATTTCTGTATCTTCTTTTTTTCCTTTCTAATGTTTCCTCTCACATTTTATCTAATGCCTGATCATAATACAGATCAAAAATAAATCTTAAAATCAGTTATATTATTTTAAAACTGTTTTATGCTCACCCATTCCAGCTTTAGGAAGCAAAAAGGTTTAATATGTCTCCCTAATGGAAGAAAAAAGAAACTAAGTTATTATTAAATTCTAATATTTTCCCTTCCAATGCACTTCAAATTTTTTTCTGTTGATCTCACTATTAGTTGCTCCGTATTGTAGCGGTGCAGACAAAGCAGAGCACCTGTACATTAGAGATCCATTTTTCTGCATTCCATCTTTTTTTCAATTCTCATAATATGCTTCTTGAGATAACTTAAATGGACTGACCATAGAGACTAAAGAGGAAGACTGAGATCACTATCTTTGCAAAATAGTTTTATAATATTCTTTTTGTTCTCTCTATTTAAAATTTTAGCACTTTTTAAATGGAGAAATGGTCATCATTTCTGATGTCTAGCTCTAGAGTTTCTAACAATCTATTTAAGTCCTCTCTCTGTCTTCAAACCACTTCCACTCCTCTTACTGGCCATAAAAAAAAATCTGTCTCATTTTTTATAAAACATCATGGAAGCCTTGCAGCTATCTAAAAATAGCAATAATCATCCCCCTGAGGCATTTGTCCCTCCTCTACTGTAGTAACCAAACTGGAACAGTGTACTCTAAACACGGGCCAACCAGTACATAATAAAAAGGGCTTATCCTCTCACTAGTTCTAGGTGATTCTTAACTTAGACCCAAATCAAATAGGGCTTATGCTCTCACTAGTTCTAGGTGATTCTTAACTCAGACCCAAATCAAATTGAGCTTTTCCAGAGTTGTAGCACAAAGTAGGCGTACATTAGATTTGCATTTTCTTCATATCCTAGCATTTTATTTTCAATGTTTAATTGTTAAGCTTTTTTAATCCCAGGTCTATTTTTTTGTACCTATGTGTAAGAATCTGTATTTGATTTAGCAAATGTTAATATTTTAATTTAAGCTTGTCCTTTCAAATTTAGAAATCCTCTTTGATTCCTAATTCAGAAAATACTCATTCCCCAACCAATATTCATTAATACCAGCTTATAAATTTGAGTCTTCTACCCTATATGTCTTCATCTGAGTCATTAATAACAACATTTGAAAAAGCAGGGTCAAAGACAAAGTCCTGTAGTGTAACCCCAGGGACCTCCATTCAGTTTGGTGTCTGTCAGTCCATCAGTCAATTTATTTAATTGTTTATTTATTTATTTATTTATTTATTTAGAGACCGAGTCTCTGTCTGTTGCCCAGGCTGGAGTGCAGTGGTGCAATCTCGACTCACTGCAACCTCCACCTCCCAGGTTCAAGTGATTCTCCCGTCTCAGCCTCCCAAGTAGCATGCTACCGTGCCCAGCTAATTTTTTGTATTTTTGTAGAGATGGGGTTCCGCCATGTTGGCCAGGCTGGTCTTGAACTCCAGACCTCAAGTGATCTGCCTGCTTTGGCCTCCCAAACTGTCGGGATTACAGGTGTGAGCCATCGCCTTCAGCGCCATCAGTTAATTCTATTTGATTTGAATTGGTCAACCAACTACATCAGCCTAATTGTACTATTTTTTTTTTGCCTCCCTCCCTTCCTTCCTTCCTTTATCTCTCTCTCTCTCTCTTCTCTCTCTCTTCTTTTTTTTATTTGACAGCGTCTTACTCTGTCACCCAGGCTGGAGTGCAGTGGTGCGACCTTGGCTCACTGCAGTCCGAACTTCCCAAGCTCAGATGAACCTCCCACCTCACCCTCCTGACTAGTTGGGACTACAGGCATATGCACCCATGCCCAGATAATTATTAATTTTTTTTGTAGAGACGGGATTTTACCATGTTGCCCAGGCTGGTCTCAAATTCCTGAGCTAAAGCAGTCTGCCCGCTTCGTGAGCCACCACATCCAGCCTGCTTCCTTTTCTTCAAGGAGGTATAATTTTTTAAAAGTTAGTCAAATATTTTATTAAAATCTATGACATTTTCTGGTCCACTAGTCCAATAAACTGTTGACAAATGCTCATGAGGTTAGATAATTTCTCATTAGTGAACTCAAGCTGTATATCACTGATTGCTGCTAACTGCTCCTAAAATATCTATCTGTTTAATAATGTATTTTAGGGAACTTCCAGTTTAATATGTCAGAGTAAGGATACCTTTGTTCACTTTTCCTCTCTGCAACCAACCAAAAACAGTAAGATGAGAAATAAAAACCAGAACTCTATCTTTGGTGAAACTTAACAGCTTTTATAACCTTAATCCCAAGAAGTAAGGGCTCGGAAGTGAAGTGAAAGTGAAGCGCAGTGAAAATCAGATCAGGGTGAAGATGACACTGAGGATACCTGCTGCTCTAGATTTCAGGTCAAGGATAGTGTCCCAAAAGTGTGTGGCATGACCTGACAAAGGAAAGAAACAATCCCTGTTTTGAAATAAAATCAGTTTTCAAACTGGTAATGAGAACATCCTGGAACTCTGACTACCACATAGTGGCAGAGGAGACAGAGACTGCAAAATTAAAGAATATAATACTATACACGCATACACATGCACAAGCACATACACAAACACACACAGAGACATGCACACAGACACCTGTATCAACATAGAGGGATTTCCTGTGAACAAGGGAAAGTTCTTACTAGTCAGAAGTAGAATCACAACTACAAGGAAGACTACTCATAAGAGATTATATAGACAACAAGTGATGCTCAAACTACTCTACTACTCATTCTCAGCTACTCATTACTATCCTGCTAACTCTCTCAGTTACTCCCCCAATGATATTTCCATACATAACAAGAGTAGTAAAAATTTCTCTAATGCAACTTCAAGTAAGAATTGAAGACAAACTATCATGCGATTAACACAAACTTTGTTACAAAAGGAAGAAAATGACCTATTGAGTATTGTAATAAATGTCTTAATGGAGTCATCAGAAAAAGAGAATGTGACCCATGGATTGTACAATAGCTCAACTATTATTTAAGTATAAACACAATAGACAATGATTTTATACATTCAAAACAGAAGGAAATATGGTTCCCATGAGACCATCTTAAAGAAACTTATAGAAGATAGCTACACACACTGGGGCCTTTGGGAAGGTGGGGGGAAGAAGGAGGGAGAGGATCATTAAAAATAACTCATGAATACTAGGTTTAATATCTGGGTGATAAAATAATCTGTACAGCATACAGCCAACCCCCATGACACAAGTTTACCTATATAACAAACCTGCACTTGTACCCCTGAACTTAAAAAAAGGAATTGATGTAAATATACAATGAATAGAAATGATAGATAAAAGGACGATTTTAAGAAAAGAACCCATTTAAATGTAGAACTATGACTAAACAATTATAGGATTTACAGTTGCATGGGAGGATGTAAGTGTTATAAAATGTAATAAGGGAGCAATAGTAGTATAGCAAACAGAAATTAGGAGATGATAGGAACTGGTAGAGAGAAGGAGAGGTAGGAGTGGGCATGTACTGATTTCCTTATATTCTTCCTGGGTGGGGGGCTAACAGACCCTGTTCCTAGCTGATAAACCAAGTTATAGAGGAATAAATATATTTTAAGGGTACAAAAGTAACAACTAGATTAAGCACAATAAAACCAAGCAAAAAATCCTATGGTAGAGTAGATTAAGGAAGTAGAACTACACTTATCTCTTCATAATTTATAGCAAGGAGTTAATAAATTTTATCTAAATAGTTAAAAATTGTTCAAAAATTTTGCCAACTCACCAATCTATACTCTATGCAATACATATTTTCTCCTAATTTGAAAAATCATTATCGTTTCTCTTCTCCATGATTATTTGAGGAGTACCAGGATGGTCCTGAGATCACATTTGCCAGTTCCTCTTAGCATATTTTGATAATCTTCATCTAGTTCTAGCGACCTGAACTTATTTAAAGCAGCCAGGGACAACAATCTTAATTTCACTGTATTCATGTTTTATTCCTATCAATTTAGTTGGTTTAATGATTTTAATCTCTCTTCTTCCTTCCCATCAATGCACCAATCCAATCAACATTTATTCAGCTTTTACTGTGAGTCAGATGCTAGGCAAGGATGTTGGCTAGCTAGAAATAAGAGGCAGACAAGCTCTTGCCCTCAAAATGTTCACAGTCTAGTGAGAGGAAGACAAAAACTAATATGAATAAATTATTTTAATATCAGGAGCACCCATGCCTCAATCAAAGATAAATCTGTGAATGATTCCAGAAAGGCTCTATGGAGAAAGTAGCATTTCAGTTGGGACTTGAAGAATGAGTAGGTCTTTAACAGGCATGGGAAAAAACAAAGAGCATTCCAGGTACAGAAAGCAAAATAAGCAGACACAGAAAGAAAGATGATCATTTTGTTTTGACTGTAATTTGAATATACTGGGAAGAGGGGCAGAGATGGCCTTAGAGATTGTACTCTGGGTTGAAGATAGAGTCCAAGCCTTTGAGTGACTTTGTAAGTACCAATGGGTGCCCCTTGAGTCTAGCAGCATCACATTTAGGTTTGATCCTTCACCACAAGACATCAACCCTCCATGATACCTGCCCTCTTTTCTTTGCCCTCAGACAACATGCCAGGTTGCCAAGAAGCACTCCAGTTGAGAACTGGATTGATGACCCCAGTGCATAGCACATAGCCCTGCCCAGTTCTTGCAGGCTATAGGCTGCCCACTCCTGGTCCCAATACAGGTCTCTCGGGGGTGCTTCTCAGTTTCTCTTTTGCTATATCTCACCTTCATCTCCAGGGCCTCTGGCACCTTCTTGCCTTCCCAAGCCCAACTCCGCTTGGTGAAATAGTTGACAGTGGCAAATTCAATCAGTGCAGAAAATACAAAGGCATAACAGACGGCTATGAACCAGTCCATGGCCGTCGCATATGCCACTTTAGGTAAGGAATTTCTGGCACTGATACTCAAGGTGGTCATGGTAAGCACAGTGGTGACACCTGAGGAGAGGAAAGATGAGAACCAGTTGCAACTGGAAGACATTGAGAGCTTATTCGATGAAATCACTAATTTCCTATTTGAAAGGAGAAGCTTTACCCCACTCAAAATGGCCCTTTTAAAATAAAATAAAATTTTAAAAAAACACTGGACTATCAAATCTGATGGGTCCACCTAGTAACCAGCCCATCCCAATTGGCAGAAGACTATATAGGCATCTGCAATGGATTACATTTAATTGTTGTCCTCTAGCTTCTGCTTAAACATTTCCATTAAAGAGCAGGTAGTCCATTTCATTGTAAGAGAGCATTTTAATTAGAAAAAAAAAAACTAGCTCACGAACTGAAATCTGGCTTCTTCTAGCTACTGGTCCACAGACCGATCTTGGAGTGTCTTCTGTAGCCATGCAAGGGAAAAAAAATCTGCTCCTTACTCTCCAGAACAGACCTTCAGAGACCTAAAAAGGGTGATGGCTCCTTGCGAAACTGCTCATCTTCAGAATGAACATGGAGATTCAAGTTCACCTCATGAACTCCTTTTCTTGTTTACTTCCTTCCCTAACCTATTTTTTTTTCTTTTTTCTTTTTTTTTCTTTTCTGAATAGCCCAGAACTGAGCCCAAGACTCAGGACATGGTCGGAATTCAGTAAGATGCTTACTTCCTTAATTTTGGACAGTCTTCTGATAATGCAGCAAACTATCGTGGAAAGTGGTTCTGTAGCTGCGTCACACACTAGGTCCCTATTGGGCTTTGTGAACGATGAAAACTATTCCGAAATCTGTTTCTTGTGAGTTTTTGCCAAATCCAAGCTTGTCTTTAGACCAATTGATTCTTTTTTGGGGGGAGTGTTATTCTAAATTCAAGGCTTTATTTACATTTAAATTATATTTTACATTTTTTCTAATCTTTTCATATTTTAGATATGCATGTGAATATATATATATATATAATATAAAATTGTGATTAACGGTATAAGCTTTAGAGTCAGAATGAACTAGGCTGAAAACTGAGCAACCTCACCTACTAGTAATATGACCTTGAATAAGGTGTTTTACCCCAGAGAGCCTCAGTTTATCATGTGTAAAAGGGGGGTAATAACACCAGATAATACAGAGATTTGTTAGGGATTGAAGATTATGTATATATATACACATATACATAAAGTCTATAGTATAATACCTGACACAGAGTAATCATTCCATAAATAGTAGCTTCTATAATTAACATGACTATTGTCTTTACTGTTGTTAGAACAATAGTGTTGTCATACTATATAATTATAATAGTATAAGTATAATCAATGTTAACAACAATATTATCATAATAATTTTACAATTGCTAGTGATGTTTTTCTAGTCTCAATGAGTACTACACTAGAAGTTAGATGTTCTGAGTGCTCCCACTTACTTGATTTATATCTTAGGCAATTTCTTTATTCTCTCTGTGCCTCCATTTTGCCCATCTATGAATATTCCCTACTGTCTCTGTCCCCCAGGATTTTGATAAAGCAGTAGATGTACAAAGTCATTCAAACTTGAGGAAGGGGAAATGGTCAGAATGTCTTTCTTAGCGTTGGCATGCTGAAGAGGATGGAGAAAGTGAGCCTCCTTAGCCTGGGTCAAGTGGGGCATGGAATGAATTTCTAATGAGGTGAAAGAGGCTATATGCGAAATCAAGCAGAGAAGGCACTGTGTCCATTAACTTTACCCAGAGGGTCAGCCATGTGTGCTGAAGCCTCTGGGGCTTCCTTTTCTATCTTGGTCTGCCGTAGTACCTTACTTATATATTTGCTATATAAATGAAAATCCAGACTGCAAAAGACTCCGTACAATTTCAACAGAAATACCCTAAAGGAGTACCTTTGCACCAACTAGGCAGGGAGTCATCAAGGCTGATTAGCCGAAACACATTTTACGCCATGTGAGGAATCTGCCACATAGCTAATACTTATTAACAAACTCTCTGAATCTGTAACCTGGTAATCTCTGACAATGGATCCAGGCCTTGAAAACCTTCAGATCATACCAACCAAGTAGTTACTTAATGGGAGAAACAAGCTACTTTATTAATGGTTATTAGCAAATGCAGTTGTCCACTCTGACACATTCATAGCAGTGTGCTGCTAGTGCTTAGATGGAGAGAACTGTATTGCAACATAAGTGTTTCTGTGCCATATCTCAGTAGAGATTTTTGGAGCTCTAGTCTCTAGGGCTTAATTAAAACTGTCAACTTTTTGAAAGCTCTTAGCTAGTCAGAGCTGGTAGGGCCCTCAATCAAGCCTTTGGTACGCTTCATGGATGGACAAAGAGATTCTTGGCATTTTAAAAGATATTCAGCCTGTCACCAGTGCTTCTCTTTCAAGACTAGAAAACATTTCTGAAAAGGCTTAGGTAGAACTGACTGTCCTCCCTCGTCTCCTTTGAGCACTTCTAGTGCACTTACGTGATGACATGTGTCTCTTATACCAAACCACATCTGTGATGAGTGGAAAGGACTTTAATTCTCAGGCACAGCCAAGTAGCCCACTGTACCACATTTGTTCCTATCAGAGTTAATAATGTTCTTTTCTTACGGTAATTATTAAATATATTATTATTATTATTAATGTAGCTCTTATTGTCTTCTTTTCTCCAACACTGCTAACTGTTTTGTGCCTTATACAGAGTTAAGCCCTAAAGATAAAAAATTTAGATATTTCAGACCACAGCATTCAAAATGAGCACCCATTCTCCCTCCCCTTAGGAGATAATCAGAATTAATCACATTTCATATATCTGTTTACCTCAGACACTACCACAAGGGCAAGGATATTTGTTAATTCACTTTCAGTCAGGCTTAATTCTGTTTTACAAAGTCCTATCTGACCTTATCACCCATATACTTATGAACCCTTTATCGCAAACTCTTCTTACTGCCCAACTCTGCTACTGTATAACTGGTGAGTCCACCTATTTTCTCAACCTCTTCTCTGAATGCATAACCCCCTTTTGGTCTTAACTGAAACCTGACTCTCCTCTTGAATACACTGTTTTGGTTCTCAAAATGTGGTTGATAATTCAGAATCAAGAGCTCAAGAAGTGCAATCCATATTTTCTTTGATGTCTAGCGCTTCTTAGACCATTACCGGATCACAGTGTTGTTGTAACCTGAGCTCTTTTGAGACATCTACCATCTGGTGATACCCCTTTCTGCCCTTTCTCATAAGTATCATCTATAGAATATTCCCATCTCCCCAAAGATTCCTTTGTGCCCATGCCATCCCCTCCTTGGTCTTAGGTAACCACTGATGTGCTTTCATTTTCTATGGATTAGATTTTTCTCTTAGAGTTTCGTATAAATATTTTACAGTATGTACTCACTTGTGTCTGGCTTCCTCCACTCAGCATATTTTTAGGTTCATTCATGTTGTTGCATCTATCTATGGCTCGTTCCTGTTAATTTCACAGCAGCATTCCATTGTATTGATATTACCTAATTTGTTTATTCATTCACCCAGTAATGGGTATCTGGATTGTTTCCAGTGTTCAACTATTGTGAATAAAGATACTGGGATGATTTACATATAAGTCTGGGTGAGTATATGCTTTCATTTCTCTTGGTTAATACCTAAAGAATGGAACTACAAGATTATATAGTAAGCATATATTTAACTTTATATGGCATTGCCAAACTGTTTTCTAAAGTAATTTTACCATTTAACATTCCCAGTAGATTTATGAGAGTTTCAGTCAGCATGCATCCTTGACTTAAGAAATAAAATATAATATAATAACTTTAGGCCGGGCGTGGTGGCTCCCGCCTGGAATCCCAGCCCTTTGGGAGGCTGAGGCGGGTGGATCACAAGGTCAGGAGTTTGAGACCAGCCTGGCCAACATGGTGAAACCCCATCTCAACTAAAAATACAAAAATTAACTAGGCATGGTGGCACACGCCTGTAGTCCCAGCTACTCGGGAGGCTGAGGCAGGAGAATTGCTTGAATCCAGGAGGCAGAGGTTGCAATGAGCCGAGATAGCACCACTGCACTCCAGCCTGGGCAACAGGGTGAGACCCGCCTCAAAAAATAAAATAAAATAAATAACGTTAATTGATACTTTAACACTTTTCTCTGACAGTGAAAGTCCTTGGAACATTTTATCTCCATATACCCCCATCTCAACAGATATATATTACATTATGTTCTAGTATTTTATTCTAAATGTATTGTTTAACCAATAAGCCACTGTTACCATTTCATACATTCAGTGCTTATTTTAGCCATTCTAGTATTTAAAGTGATGTCTCCATGAGGTTTTAGTTTACATTTCCCTAATTTAAAAAAAGATGATGTTAAGGATCCTTTTACATGATTATGGGCATTTGTATATATTCTTCGGTGAAATATCTGTTTACATCTTTTGCCCATTTTAAAAATTGGATTCTTTGTCCTTTTATTATTGAATTTTAGGAGCTTTTTATATTTTCAGAATATATAAATATTTCAAAATATTTTTTTAGGTCTGCACAGATATAGTGTGCTTTATCTCAGGATATGGTTTGCCATTTCATTATCTTAATGTTATCCTTTGATGAGCAGAAATTTTTAATTTTGATGAAGTCCAATTTATTAGTTCTTTTCCTTATTGTTATTATGTTTTTGTGAACTAAGGAATTTCTGTCTACCAAAGGGTGCACAGATATTGCCTTATATTTTCTTCTAAGATAATCATATTTTTAACTTTTATACTTAAATCCATGATCAATCTCAAATTAATTCTCTGCAGTGCCATCTTTATCATAAATCAAGTTTCCATATATATGGCTGTATTTTAGGCTTTCTTATTTTCTTTAAAAATCTTTTGAGACAGGGTCTCACTCTGTCACCCAGGCTGGAGTGCAGTGGCATGATCATGGCTCATGGCAGCCTCAACCTCCCAGGCCCAAGCAATCCTCTCACCTCAGCCTCCCAAGTATCTGGGACCACAGGGATGTGCCACCACGTCTGGCTAATTAAAAAGAAAAAATTTAAGAAGAGGTCTCCCTATGTTTCCCAGGCTGGTCTTGAACTCCTAGGCTCAAGCAGTACTCCCATTTCAGCCTCTTAAAGTGCTGGGATTACAGGCATGAGCTGCCACTCCCGGTCTGTCTACTTTGTTCTTTTTTAGAAGGATATATTGGCTATTCTTGCTTTTTTTCTTACATAAACAATTCTGCAATCATTTTTTATATAAACATTTTAACATGCAGGTTCTCACATCAATGCAATTAATGTAAATATAAATTCTAAATTAATGTGAGGCCAAGTTTGAATTAGCAAATGAATTATCAAGGAATCTCATATTTCACACAAAGCCCAGGCCAAAAAAAACATGCTTCTTTATTGTCTCTCTGCACTAGTAAGTGTATTTTTCTAGTACTCCCTTGCATTGAAAGCGTAACTGTTCAATGATATTGAATTCATGGGAAGTGTCCTTGTATTAATTTCCTTTGGTTTATGTAACAAATTATCAAAAATTTAGTTGCCTAAAACAATTAAATGCCTTCTTACAATTCTTGATGCTAGAAGGCTGAAATTAGTTT
Organism: Homo sapiens; assembly: GCF_000001405.40. Lineage (NCBI taxonomy): Eukaryota > Metazoa > Chordata > Mammalia > Primates > Hominidae > Homo > Homo sapiens. Next base: position 152,195,497 of record NC_000023.11, read on the forward strand.
CACTGGTCCAGTGTCAAGGTGTCAGCAGGGTTGCACTCCCTCTGGAGGCTCTAAAGGAATAATCTATTACCTTTTTCAGCTTCTAGAGCTGTATGACGGATTCCTTCACTCATGATCCCCTTCCTCTTTCTTCAAATCCGACAGCAGAGCATGTTCAAATCTTTCCTCCTTCTGTCATCACATTGCTTTCTCCTCCATAGTCAAATCTCCTTCTGCCTGATTCTTATAAGGATACTGTGATTGCATTTAGGCCCCATTCCAGATAATTCAGAATAATCTCTCCATCTCAAGATCTTTTATTTAATCACAACTACAAAGTTATTTTTGCTGTATAGGTCACACTCCCAAGTTCCAGGGACTAGAATATGGGTATCTTTGGGGACCGTTATTCTGCCTACCACAATCTTAGTTGTAAATGCCTTTCTTTAAAAAGTCAAACTCTTGTTTACCAAGACCAGGAGTCCATCTGCTTATCTTCCTGCCATAACAGTACAGTTAATGGGATTGACACTCAATTTTCAGTTTCTTCTTTCATTTGGGCCCCTGTGTATTTCCTTTAATTTCTTTTAAGCTCACGTTAAGACATTAGCTTAAAAGAATGGTTTCGGCCGGGTGCTGTGGCTCACACCTGTAATCCCAGCACTTTGGGAGGCTGAGATGGGCGGATCATCTAAAAAGTCAGGAGTTGGAGACCAGCCTGGCCAACATGTTGAAACCCTGTCTCTACTAAAAATACAAAAAAAAAAAAAAAATAGCCAGGCGTGGTGGTGGGTGCCTGTAATCCCAGCTACTCGGGAGGCTGAGGCAGGAGAATCGCTTGAACCTGAGAGGCGGGGGGTTGCAGTGAGCCGAGAACGCTCTATTGAACTCCAGCCTGGGCAACAAGAGTGAAACTCCGTCTCAAAAAAAAAGAAAAAAAAAAAAAGAAAGAAAGAAAGGAAGGAAGGAAGGAAGAAGGAAGGAAAAATGAAAAAGAATGGTTTCTATGTTTTATCTAGCTTTTCTAGGATTTTATAAAGGAAGCTTTTTCAGGGTATCTAGTTTGTTACATTTCCCAAAGTGAGCATATTTAACCCACTCTCATACAGCTTCTGCTCCCTCCACTTCACTAGAACTGTTCTTCTCAAGATCCCTAACAGCCAAGTATATCACAATACCCAACAGACAGTTTCTGTCTGCATCTCATGTAAACTCAGTACAGTTCAACCCACATGAGTATTCTCTGCTTCTTGAAATACTCTCCTCACATGACTTCCATGATATCACATCCTTTTGATTATTCTTTCTTTTTCCTACTTTACAGGTCACTATTTCTCTTTCTCCACTGCTATCTCCTACAATACCTGACCTACAATGCTACTTCTTCCAAAACATAATTTACTTTTTATTTCACTTCCCAGTAAAACTTCAGGATATTGGTAGAAACACCTTCTGTGTGGATACCAAGTACACTCAAGTATATGCCTCAAAGGTATCATTGCCATGGAGGCCAGTTTAGTAGCTGAAAAAATTAATATTTATCTCCGACAGTGGGAAAAATAGGCAGGAAATGTTTTGTATGTTTTAAGTCTGTGAGGAAAAAGTGCTAATGATATGCAAATGTCTTCCTAGACATCAGTATACTCATGATGAAGAAAATGGCTTTGATCGTGGGTACTATTAAGAAATCCTTTAAACTGTGTGTGGCCTTTACACAATATCAGATAACTCATACTTTCAAAAAGGCTAGAGAAGAAGCCACAAAGTCAAACGCTCATACAAAAAAAGCAGATCTTAACAAAGCCCCCAATCCAATACTCTGTTCAGACAGCTTGGTTTCTAACCCTTTAACTTCTCCACTCTATGCACTAAATTCCTCTCTTTTTTACTAAAGGATAATTCCCTCTCCAGCTTTTGGGGCAAGCAGGACTGAAATGGGAAGCATTTCAGTATCTTACTGGTCCAACAGTCTTCTTATTCTAACTTCCTCCTTGAGAATTCAGTCGTCTAAAACCCCATGGTCTGATGATTCAGTTACTCCTGCTAGGCACAGGAATTTCTCCCATTCTCTCCAGGAGCCATTCTTCCACCTTTCTCACCTCCACTGTGACTCTGCATGATAAGACTTTCCCCTACGCTCCATAAATTATCACTCACCAAAGACTGTACGGGCAGGAACAGACTCTCTGTTGAGCCAGAACGACACTTGTGACAGAATGACAGTCATGATACATGGCAAGTAGGTCTGGATCACAAAGTAGCCAATTTTTCGCTTGAGATGGAAGTGGGTTGTCATGACGACATATTCTCCTAAAGAGAGAGTAAAATTAGGCAGTATGTAGCTACATAAACATTGCTAAATCAAGTTGGGCCCCAATTCAATTCACAAAGCTCTTTAATCTTATATTCAATATTCCAGCATCTCCCAAGTTCATATAACTAGAGCCCTTTAATAATCACAAAATAGTGTGTTTTTTGTGTGTGTGTGAAAAAACAATGCTATCAGTGTACCAATACAGCTTGCTCGGAACAATTTTGACACAATTCATTCAAGTAAATTAATGTTCTCATTTAAATAATAATAAAATAAAAATCTCTTCTACAGCACTTGCTATGTGATAGGCACTCATTTAGCACTTTAACATTATAAAATATTTAATCTTCACAGGAGCCCTATGAGGTAGGTACTATTGTTATCCTCATTTTATAGCTCAAGAAACTGAGGCAAGGAGAGATGGAGCAACTTGCATAAGGTTACACAGCTAGTAATTAGTAAAGCCCAAAGTCAAGCCCAGGTAGGTTGTCCACAGTTTATGCTTTTTAACCATTATGCTCCGCTGTTCTAATGTACTTACTTGGTTAGACCCAAAAGTTCACATAGCAGAATGTGGACTGACCTACGTTATCCCACTCCTAAAATAAGAGTGAGCACTTACTGCGCTTTTACTGTGTGCCAAAATATTTTCTGAGTGTTTGTGGATTGTTAACTTTATATCCTCCTAACAGTTCTGTGAGATAGGTACTAATAATTACCCCATATTGCTAAATGTATTAGTCAATTCTCCCTCTTACTGGATTTGTCAGCAGCATTTTATGCAGTTGATCCTTCTTCCCTCTTGTAATCACTCTCTTCACAGACCCTCTAGGCCATGATGCTTTTCTGGTTTCTCTCCTACTTCACAGACCATTCCTCCTAAGTCTCCTTTCCTGTTCCTTTTAATTTCTAAACACTGGAGGATGTCAAAGCTCTGTACTTGCACTTCTTTTTTCTGTCTCACTCAGACGCTGGCAATTCTCATCCAGCCTGTGTCTTTAATACCTTAAACTCTAATAACTCCCCAATGTATAACTTCTACCTGGGCTTCCTACTTGTTATGGGTTGAATTGTGTCCCTCAAAAAGATATGCTGAAGCCTTAGCCCCTGTTACCACAGACTGTGGCCTTGTTTGGAAATAGTGTTATTGCAGATGTAGTTAGTTAAGATGAGGTCATGCCGTACTGGAGTAGGGTGGGCCCCTCATCCAACACGACTAGTGTCCTTAGAAGAGAGCACCATGTGAAAACACAGACACACAGGGAGAAGGATACGTAAAAAGCAGGCAGAGGGCTGGGTGCGGTGGCTCAAGCCTGCCTGTAATCCCAGCACTTTGGGAGGCCAAGGCGGGCAGATTACGAGGTCAGGAGATCGAGACCATCCTGGCTAACATGGTGAAACCCCATCTCTACTAAAAATACAAAATATTAGCCGGGTGTGGTGGCGGGCACCTGTAGTCCCAGATACTAGGGAGGCTGAGGCAGGAGAATGGCGTGAACCCAGGAGGCGGAGCTGGCAGTGAGCCAAGGTCGTGCCACTGCACTCCAGCCTGGGCAACAGGCGAGACTCTGTCTCAAAAAAAAAAAAATAAAAAAAGCAAAAAACAAGCAGAGGTTGGAGTGGTGCAGCTGCAAGCCAAGGAATGCCAAAGATTACAGCCACCACCAGAAACTAGGGAGAGGCAAGGGACAGATTTTTCCCCTCAGAATCTCGAAAGAACTAACCTTCTTGATGCTTTGATTTGAGACTTCTAGCCTTAACTGTGAGACACATTTCTGTTAAGTTGCACAGTTTGTGGTACTTTATTATAGGAGCCTTAAGATTCTCTACTCAACTCTAAGATTTATATATTAGACATCACTACTTGGGGATCTAATAGGCATCTTGACTTAACATGAAAAATCAAGATTTTGGTTTTCACTCTCCCCATCCCCAACACCCATTCAAAATGGCTCCCCCAAGAGACTTTCCACTGACTTCTCAACCCCACCGTGTTCTGTTGCTCTCTCTCTCACTTGCTCTCCTTCCCTCCCTCCTTTCTGTCTCACATTTACACACACACACATAACACACACAAAATCAATCAATCAGCCAACTCTTCCAGTTCTTTCTCCAAAATATTTCCATAATTTGACCACTTCTCACCACTTCTACTGCTACCACCCTGGTCTAAGCCACCATCATGTCTCACCTAGAGTACTATAATAGCTTTCTAACTGGTCTCCTTGCTCTGTCCTTGACTCCTCTTCAATGCATTCATAGTACAGCTGCCAGAAATCATCTTATTAAAACGTAAGTCAGATCTTGTCTGTCTTCTGTTCAAAACTATCCAATGGTTTACCATCTCTCAAAGAGTAAAAGCCAGATTCCCCAAAATAGTCCCCAAAGACCCTTGCGATATGCCTGCTCTAATAGCACTCTTATCAGAGCTTCTTATTTTTCACCTCTCTTCCTCCACCCACATTTGGTTTTGGCAGGATTCCCAAGTGAGGCAATTTCCCACTTTTCTACTCTACCCACTCCCTTGTACCTAAACCTAGGAAGCACCATCTGGTCATCCAAGGCTCAATATACAACCCTTATTGAATATGTATTCACATCTTAGCTTGTTTATGTGAACACAAAAAATACAAGTAGGCTTATTTTTAATTTAGCAAATTGAAAATTACAACTTTGGAGTTCCCATCTCTTTTCTTTCTCTCTGCTTCTTTTTTTCAATTCTTTTCTTTCTTTGTTTTATCTTCTGTCTGTGTGCATCTCTACTTCTTTCCGTCCTTTCCCTTTCCTTCACTCTCTCCCCACTGAGAAGGCATTGGGGATTTGTTTTTCATGAGAGTTGGACTTTGATGAGCTTATGCAATTCTCCCTCTTTACCATCTCACATTTCCAAACGCTACCTATTAATCCTATCTCTGATCATGTGAAATATTTAATATATAAAAGATGTAATAAATATTCATAAATTAATTACATTCTGTGGATCTAAAAGGCAAAGCAAATGGACTTTTCAAAAGAGTACCAAATTAACCATTTGTTTTGAATAACTGACTCAAAATGGTTGAACACATTGATTTTCCTCAATCCTCTCCTTTTCTATACTTCTTTCTTTCTCATTCTGTCTTGTTGTCTGTCTTCTGAAGAGGTGAAAGGAATTCTCTTTAGTAAGAACTGACACCTAGGTTGCGAAGATTTCCCTGGTTTCTGTCCTTGTATTGGAGGCTATCCGGGTCCAGTGTGAAATTGTCAAAGGGACAATGGAAAGACACTTTTGTATATTCACGAGTATTCACAACTTAGATCATTTCTATGGGTGGAACTTACAAGTGGACTTTTAGAAAGCTTAGCAAATTAATTTATTATGTCAATTAACTTAATCAGTTTTCTTAAACACAACTCTGATATTTTCCATCTCTATATATCTTCTTCTCTGCCAAAGAGAGAACTGAAACTTTAATCAAATTGGAAGATTTTCACAATTCCCTCCATCCCACCTCCACCCTTTTGTCCCAGCTTATTAAGCTCATTATGTACCACCTGTGTTGTGTGTGTTGTATATGAAATATTCAAGGGTACAATATAAAACACACAATGCATATGTATTCATAAATTAGTTATTATCTATGTATCAGAAACGCAGAACAGTTTAGCTAAATAATGTTTTACGTAACTGACTATATTTTCCTGAAGTGGATTTGTTAGATTCTCTCCCTCCTTGCCCCTATTGCTGTGTCTCTCTGTCTTTCTTATTATGAAGGATGGCCCTTTAAGTGATTTGGGGGAATTTTCTCCTGCCTTTGCACTTCAGCCTATTAAACTCCATCTGTGTTAAATATGAAATATTTGATAATAGAATGTAAAACACATTCACAACTTAGCTAGTTTCTAAGGTTTTGAAACACACAGAGGATTTTTTAGCTTGGCAAATTAAGTCATCATAAAAAAGTAAGTGGATATATTTTCTTAAATCTATCTTGGGTATTTTTCCCTCTCTCTATCTCTACTCCTTGTTCTTTATCTTGCCTCCTGTTTTCTTTTTATCTCCATCTCTCTGATTTTTCTTTATGTCCTGTTTTATGCCTTATCTTTACTTACCTATGCTACACATCTAAAGAAATAATATATACAATGACAATAATAATAAAACTGTCATTCTAACAAATGATCAAATTTCTAGGAAAGATGGATATATAAGGATCATACATCCAAACTATCCTTTTAGAAAATTAATGTAATAATTCGCCAAATTAGGGAAAACAGGGGATGGTGTCAACAACTAGCCACAGACTTTGAGGAATTTCATTCATTTATTTAATACATGTTTGAATCTGGAGCAAAGAGCAGACGGCCTCTGCATGAAGCTAGTTCATACTGAGGACTGACAGCATTTGGAGAGAAAGCCAGCCATACCAATCAGAACATCCACGGATTGTGGGTCCTTTCTCTGGCCCAGATTTCCATTCATATTCTAGACCCTACATGGAAGAGTGTATGAAGAATTTAGAAAGGAATGCCCATAATTTATGGTCACAATAAAAACAATACATATATATGTAAGGTAATAATGTTTATATGGTTCCTAAATCAATAGGTATAAAAGTGTGTGCAGCAAAATGTCTCCCTCCCACATCTGCCCCAAATTACCCATTTCACATCTCCTTCCTTTAGGTAACTACAATTAACAGCCTCTTGTGTATCTTCCTAGAAAGATTATGTGTGTGTGTGTATATATACACAGTTTGAAAACACGTATCTTCGATAATTAAAATAATGTGATACATATAAAGAATAGAGAGACAACAATGAAAAAGAATAATAAATATAGACACACATTTATGCGTTTGTATGTGTATGTATGTGCACACATGTGAATTTACTATATGATAAAAGAAGCATCTCATATCAATGAGGAAACACTCGATTATTCACTCGTGGATACTGGTACATTTGGTTACCTCATAGAGCAAAACCAAAAATAAAACTCCAGATTATATTCGAGATGTAAATTTTAAAAATGGAAATAATGCAGCTCCTAAAAAATGTAGGTAAAAAGTTGGAAAGATGTCCAATTCATATAGCAGACTGAGCAGCAACATTTACCTCCTCTTTCTCTTAAGACTTCATCAAGTACCAGTGAAGACAGTAAAATAGAATAAACCCATAAGAAAGAAAACAACAGGAAAGAATGAATGAAAGAGCTCAAGAGAATTTTGGAATTCAGAAAGTGCTGATGGAGAAAGCAGGCCTCAGTGTAGATGAGAAGCAGCAGAGGGAGCTCAGCTTACAAGGGAGGTCCCTGCTGGCAATGCCCAGAGAGGACACAGACCTGGAGGCTGCAGGGACAAAGGGAGAGGGTCTCAAGAATGGGAATGGAAAATAGGGACATTTCCTGCAGATCTGAACTTGGAAAAGTTACAAGCCCTACTTCCATAGGCACAATGACTGTATCAGTGTGTTTACTCTCCCAGTCAAAAGAAAGATAATCTGAGTGCCTTTATCTAAAATACTCTGAAGGGTCTTTCTACAGAAAACTAGGGAAATTTAAGTGGGTGGTAGGCCCTTAAACAAGAAATGCAATCCCAACAAAAGATAGTATTCATACAGTCATAGTAATACAAATGTCCCTTGCTGGTTTTGAGCTTTTTAAATCAATCTATAGAGAAAGTATTGAAAGCTTAATTAGGGGTATATAACAGTATTAGTTTTCTATTTATTGGTACTTTATCAAATTACCCCACACTTGTTGGCTTCAAACAGCACGAATTTATACTCTTATACTTCCGAAGGTCAGAAGTCTAAAATGGGTCTCACTGTGCTAAAATCAGGATGTAGGTGGGGCTGCCTTCACTTCTGGTGACTCTAGGGAAGAATAGGTTTTCTCGCCTTTTTGGCTTCTCTGGGTAGTCCACATTTCTGGGCTTGTGGCCCCATTTGTCATCTTTCAAGCCAGCTGTAAAATATCTTCTACTCATTTTCTTTTTGACTCTGGTCTTCCTGCCTCTCCTTTATAAGGACTCTCATGGTTACATTATGCCCACTTGAATAATCCAGAATAATCTATTTTGAAATCAGCTGATTAGGCACCTTAATCCCCCCTTTCCATGTAACCTAACATGTTCACAGGTTCTACGGAATAGAATGTGGACATCTTTGGGGGGCCGCTATTCTCCCTACCGCAAGAACTGAGTGTATATTTTAATCCGTTTTTACAATGAAAGCAAACTTTTAGTTGGCAGAAGTTGGAAGAAAGAAGGTGAGGATATGAGGACAGAAGGGTTGATAGATCAATAAATATAGCTAACTATTTGATCCAGCTATCAATACTAGGAGGAAAGGAGAGGTAGGGGCAATGGAAGTGAGATAAGCACTCAATACCTTAGAGTAGGGAATCAATATTTCATCTCTAAAGGTGAAAAATGGCAGTATAAGCACATTATTTAGAACTATGGAGGGAACCATCAGAAGTAAAACATAAGTGGTTAAAATGGGAACTGCTCCTTTTCAGTATATACCTGTTATTTGATTTTTAAATTTTCTTTTCTTTCCTCCTTCCCTCCCTCCCTGCCTTTCTTCCTGCCTTCCTTCTTTCCTTACATCCTCCTTCCTTCTAGATGCAAAGTAGAAAGGGAGTGATCCATGTAGTTATTATGTTTATAGACTCTGGAGCAAGTTTGCTGCCTTGTTTCCAAATCTTGCTCTACCACTTACCAACTGTGTGACCCTGAGAAAATTATTTAATCTGTCTGAGCCTCGATTTCCTTATCTATAAACCTCAGATAATACCACCACCCACCTCAAACTGTTGTTCAAGGGTTAAGTGAGTTAATACATGCCCTCAGGGAAATGCTTTGCACATATTACATGCTCAAAAATTGATCATTAGTAATTCTACCACTAAACCCATATATTACTTTGATAAACAGTAAGAAAACAAGAATGACAATATCTTGTTGCATTATTTTCCTAGGGCTGCCATAACAAAGTACTACACCCTGGATGGGTTAAAACAAAACAAATGTATTCTTTCACAGTTCTGGAGGCTGGAAGTCTGATACTGAGGTGTCAGCAGAGCTACACTCCCTCTGAAAATTGTAGGGAAATCCTTCCTTGCCTCTTCTTAGTTTCAAATTGTTTTCTCACAATCTTTGCTGTTTCTCAACTTATAGAAGCATCGCCCCAATCTCTGCCTTCATATTCACATGGTGTTCTCCATGTGCACGCACGCGTGTGTGTGTGTCTCTATGTTCAAATTTCCCCTTTTTATAAGGACACCAGTCAAATTGGATTAGGGCCCACTCCACTGCAGTATGACCTTATCTTAACTAATTACATCTGCAGTGACCCTGTTTCCAAATAAGGTCACATTTTGCAGTACTGGGGATTAGGACTTAAACATATCTTTTCAGGGGACACAATTCAACCCATGATACCTGTGTTGGCAAGAGTGAGGGGAAATTGGCTTGCTCATCACTGATAATAGGAGTGTGAATTGTTTAACCTTTCAGAACAGCAGTTTGTCAATATGTATCAATTTTTTTTAATGTGTCTACTTTCTGAAATAGCAATCTCAATATCCTGTCTGTATCTTAGGCGGATACTTAAACAGGAGCAAAATGCTATAGGGAAAAGAAGGGTCTTTACAGTGTTGTTTATAGCATTAAAACACAGAATATAATAGTGGATGATTGTTTAAATAGATTGTGATCCATCTATATGAGGACATTACCAAAAAAGAGATACTATTTTACTGAGTTTCACAATGAAATGCTACACTTCCTAGTGACAACAGGGATTATCATCATTGTCAACTATGCTCTGGCCTGACAGGAAGGCTTTTCACTTTTTTTTAAGTAACCAAAACAAGTAATAATAAATGTGTGGTGTGTTCATTCTAATTGCTAACATATTTTACTAAATCTTGTGTACATTTTACCTGGATTATGTGCATTTAGTGACATGAAAACACATTTATAATATAAAATTAAATAAAAATCAGCTTATAAAAAAGTATCAATACTATGGCCCCATTTACATAAAAACATATTTATACAGAAAATGCAAAGGGAACCGTCTTAAATACTGAATGTAAAACAATCAGTTAATGTACCGAAATCTTCTAAGATATTTCTAGAAAGTGGAAACAAAAAGAATTTTAATTTCCAACATTTGCTCCTCCATGTATTTCTAATTTTCCTGTTATGAACGTGTATCTTCTGTGTGCTAAAGATGACACCAACCGCGGTTTACCAAAATGAAGTGGGAGTGGGGTCTGATTGGGCAGCCAAGGATTGGTCTCAAGAGTTGATGCCAGGTGGGCAGTGCCCAGGACAGACGGGGAGGTGAGGGGAGTGAACAGATACAGGGACTTCTCTTGCTTGCTCACTCTGAGGAGGAAATCCCTGCAGCAGCAAGGGTGGGCCTTCAGCCTCTAGGGCCCAGCTGTGCAGTGCACCACTTTGGGCCACGTGATGCTGCAGCCTCAGCCTCCTCCTGGGGCCCCCTCTTTTCCCTTAAGTTGGGGTGGGGAAGGGAGGGGAAACCAGGCAGTGGCATTGGTGGTGGCACCTCTTGAAGCAGGAGGCCGGCTTCTCTGCTCACACATGTAAGGGGTCCAGTGGAGACGTGAGGGGACAGGAGGGTGTGTGAAACCTGCAAATGGCTCCTCTCCCTCCTTGCTTGCATAGTCCCGGGATCAGGGCTCTAAAGAGGCTGGCAGTACCTGTGCAGCCAGTGCAGGAAAAGTATGTCAATGCCCCTGCTTCACCTTCAGCACAGTGAGCCAGGGACGGGTCCCTGTCTGGCTCTGCCCACACTCCCAGTGCTCTGAGCCCTGGCCACGCAGTGGCCCAGGTAGCCAATGCACGATGGCCAGGAGCGCTCCTGGGACACAGGGACAGGGCCCAGGTGGCCCAGACACTCCCACCACCGGCTACCTCTACTGCTTCTGCCAAAGCCAGGCACTTGACCCCAGCAGCAATGCTCACCCACTGGAAGGAGGGAATTCTTCAGATTAGGGCCAGCCACACCTTGCCTGCCTGTGCCACTTGGACTGGTCCAGCCGGAGGCCTGCCATACATGACGCCAGGACCCCACAGAACAGCCCACCCACCCCTGCAGCCCTACACTCCTTATCTCTTCTGCATCTTACTCTGAACAGCTTTCAGCTTCCCTAACAGGCCATGCTCTCTCATACTTCTGGACTTTCGACATCTCAGTATTGCCTTTGTCAAGAATAGCCTTTCCCCACACTAATTCTAGATCTCTAAATCCTGTTTGTCCTTCAATTCCATTTCAAATGTTGATTTTTTTAGGCACCCTCCCCTGATTCTGAGGTGGAGGGAAAACAGGGGGCAGAGGAGATGACAGACTGTGATATCACAAGAGGGAACAGTGTATGTCTAGATAATGAGATAAAAGGACATGTATAATTGTGGATTCACAGAGACAAGTGTTGCTTGAAAATTAACGTTGAAAGCTTCTATCATTTCATAGCAAAAAAAATATTATGTGATATGTGGGCCCCAGCATATACTCCATTTTGACGAACATTCTAAGGTTAGTTGAGATCCAGAATATATCGTCCCTCAGGCCCCTTGAACTGCTCAGGGGCCATTTCCAAATGGACAGACTTAAGGCCACAGAACAAAACTCTAGTTTCATTTGTCAATATCCAAGAGTTAGCCATTGATAAAACCTAGCAGGTTTTGCCAACCAAGCTTTTTTCTGAGTTACGTGATCCCCTTAAGAAAATAATTCCATGGCTACTCCCTGGGCATCCTGGCTGTGTGCTTGACCTTTTCTGGGATTAGTTAATGTGCCACCTCAGCACAGGCTGAGTTAAGCAATTATTTTAATGAAATCTTTAGGAACAAAGCTCAGCTCTTCCCCCACCATGGCCTTCATCTGCTTTCTCTTCTCATACTCTAGCCCTAATGCCCTTCACCTTCTGCACCACTCTTCAAGAGGCAGCAGGCAATCGTGGTTAAGAGGATGGTCTTGGGAGCCAATCTGACAAGTGTTCATTTTCGTTTTGCCATTGCATAACTGTGACAAGGAGCAAATTACTGAACTTTTATATACTCAGTTTTCTCATGATAATACTATCTTTGTCACAACATTGTTTTGAAGATTAAGTAAGTTATAAGCACTTAGAACAGTGACTGGCATGTGGTATAGGTTACAGAAATGTTTGTTAAATAAAATAAGTTAAATACCTGTACTAGACCGGATTATCTCTGTCCCAACAACATGGCCCAAAAGGTCATACTGGTTCAAGCGAGAACCATCCTGTGCCACTTCCACGGATTTGTTCTTTCCGAGAGTCCAAGAATAAACCACTTCAGCTGTTGTATAGGCATCTAAGGCAGAGAAGGGTCAATAAAGAGAAGTTGAAGGAAATGGAGAATGATTACCCTTGATACTAAACTCAAATGAGATCGAAATAAAACTTCCATCTTCAAAGAGTTCTGGGTATGTGGTCTGTCTTCAACTGAAGTCCATCCATCCGTCCATCCATCCATCCATCCATACAATAAACTCTCATTGAACAGCTACTGTAGTATATGCTGTGTACATAGAAATGAACCCAAAGTGTTCTCATACTTCAATGACTGTCTTCTAGACTGCCAATAAACTTTTTCTTCTGTTGGACAGTAGACAGTAGGGGCAGGGGGAGGAATGGCTAAAATATTATCTCATGTAGATGTCACAGACTCAAATGCCTACAGGAGCCATAGAGGTTGACAAAATTTGGATATTCGACCCCTCCAATTCTTATGTTAAAATGCAAACCCCAGTGTTGGAAGTGGGGTGCAGTGGGAGGTGTTTGAGTCATGGAGGCAGATTCCTCACAAATGGCTTGGTGACACCCCCCTCCAGTAATGAGTGAATTCTTGCTGTATTAGTTCACAGGCTATCTGATTGTTTTCAACGAGCCTTGCACCGCCTTCTCTCTTTTGCTCCCTCTTTTCATGTGACACGCTGGCTTGCTTTGCCTTTCACCATGAGTAAAAGCTTCCTGAGGTCCTTACAAAATGCAGATGCTGGCTCCATGCTTCTTGTACAGCCCCCCATAACCATGAACCAAATAAAACTCTTTTCTTTATAATTTACCTAGCTTCAGGTATTCCTTCACAGCAAAGCAAAACAGACTAACACAGAGGTACCTTGAATAAGTAAATGAGGCTAATTATAAGAAAAATAAGCTGGCAGAAAAGTAGTACAAATTCAATTAATTATGGGGTGAGCATATCAGAGAAAGCAAAAATTCAAACTAGTGATATTTTAAGTTAAAAAAGAAAAATTCCAAATTAAAATTACAATAATTGATTTTCTTTCATAACTTATTATCAGTTTGATATGCAAACAAGACACCTACCTGACACCTTTTCTTTTGCATCAGCATTAATGTCAAGGCTTGTATTTAGAATTCCAATGTCAAGTACAGAATTTGTATAGATTAACAGGGGCGTGAGTAAGGGAAATGGTCAGAAATGAGGTGGGGTTATTTAACTTTAGTCAGTATATTAAAGAAATGAGTTGATTCCTTCCCTGACATGGTTAACTCTTTCCACCGTGGATTTTATATCTAGGGTGAGTACTTGCCCTAACTCAGGCACCCAGGCTCATAAAGGGAAGCTGACCGCATACTGTATACCCTTTTCCTTCAAGTTTTGAGCTGCCTGTTGTTCAAGCCAGAGGGGAAGAGGGGTTCCTCCAGCTCATGGTGGCAACTACTATACCCCTAATATACTCTATTGAAACCTTCTACCACAAAGCAAATAATTTCTGGTGAATCTGCCAATAAACAAATATAAATGCTGGGTCCCTGCAAAACTTTGCAACATTGGATATACATTTCACAAGTCTGACATTAACAGCTATTCATGGGTACCAATTGTGATCTGCTTACATTACACTTTTTAAAACTTTTTCAATACACCTAAATAAGTCATTTCCTGCTTTGTTTGTAATGAGCAACATGCTAAAAATTTCTCCAATCACATCAAAATTCTCACTGACATCATGAACAAATATTCATAACTCTATGGTATTTTTTATATCTGTGCTCTCATAAGCTGCAAAGGAAAATATCACAGGAAGTTTAACTTTTCCACATAATTTGCCTTGTATATAGTCTCAGTCATTTCTTCAACACAACAACAACAAGATTTCTAGTTGGACACATAATTTCTGATACAATTAATAGACTTTTTTTTACAAGTTTGGTATCTATGAAATATTTTGATGCCTATAAAGGTTTGTTGCTGAAAGCATAACCACATTTTCTAGCAATAACATTTAGTGTATGCATTGAAGCGCAAAACCTAACTTTCAATGTTTTTTAATTAATATTTTCATTGTGCATTTTTTCTATATATAAATCATAGTTTTTTGTAATGAATAGCATAATTTTGATATATGAAGTTTTGTTTTCAACAAAAGCATACTTTGTGTGCTTAAAGATGTGAAAATATCCTTTATTTCTATAAGAAAATGTAAATTCTCCCATCTTGTTTAAAATATAGCCATCTCAGCATGTCTTAATTTTTTAAAAAAATTGATAGATATGGTACAAGAACGCTTTCATTTTCCTCATTTCTACTGGGAGCTCTTAATTCTCTTGTAAGTAAAACAAAAGTGCAAGTGAGATGATTACTGGCAACTGATACTATACTCCCTTTTCAGGGAGCAAGGTGAAAGTGATGGAGGTTATGAGGAAAGGGAAAGCATACCCTCATCTACAAGGGATGGTCACTATTTGGCCTCGATTGATTGAAGCCATGTAGGATTTGAGCCCAGTGTGTTGTCAGTCTTCTGATTTTGTGAAATAATAAGCAAATGTGGAATTTTATATGACATCTCACAAATTTAAAATCTTAGCAAATAATTTTAAAAGTTGTAAACTGTGTATGGATCAAACAAGTCACACCTGAAGCTCCCAATTTATAACCTATGGTCTAGAGACTTTCTCCTATAGATGGCTATGATTCCTTATAATTCCACCTTAAAAACAAAGCATCCTCTTCTACTTATGGGATATCTAGGGCTCTCAGCTTGATTTGTGGACCTTTAAACTATTATCACCAAGAAGAAAGGAAAATCTTCTCAGAACCCTTCTCATACCCTTACCTAAAATTTACACTGATATTATATGAGGCAGTCATAACACGGTCTGCGAAATGTGATTTCACAAGACCCTTGTGCTCTCATTTTTCCCCAGAGTCTTTTATCTTTAGTACATATGCTTGGGGTACCCCTACTCCTAAGCAGGGAACCATCTGTATAGGTCTTCTTACCTTTGCTATTCAGATGGTTGTAACACTTTTTGTTTAAAGATAGTGCCATGTTCTATCCAATCTACCCAAGATTTTGGCAGTGTAAAAACTAGAACAGGTTCGTTCAGGGAAAGAGTAAGCAATGGAAGATTTTGTTTCCACCCCTAAAAAAGAAAAGGAATTTCTTGCTGGATCTCTTAACTTAAGTTGAGTACCTGGCACAGACAACACTGAATATTCACCCTGAAAATCCAAGCAGACCCTAAGGCAGATGTGACGACAAACTGTGTAGCTATCGGTATCTCAGAAAATTCACTTCTCCAGACTAGCACCTTACTTCATGCAAAAAGCAGCGATTTAATTTCTTTGGCAATAATATATGGGAACAGAGGGATTTGAGGAGAAAAAAATACCCTCTTCTCATAAGATAGAGGGCAAAGCAGGAAAGACATGAATAAGTGGAAGACGAAGATGTGAATTTAAAAATAAAAACAAAAACAAGTTGAAAACTACTCAATTGAGTGTCTGCTTGGAGCCTGACCTGTACTGGTAAACAAAGTCTGTGAAGGCACAGTAGCCACCATCACATCAGGAAGCCCACAATTTACTTGGGGAGACAGAGAAAGCACAATGGCTGTAGTGCAATTTGGAATATAGGAGTATGCACACTAGTAAAATAAACACAAGTGTTAAGTAAAACCAGAGGTGAGCACTATTGCTCCTGCTCAGAGTGGGGTGTTACAGAAGGATTCTTAAAGTAAATGATACTCAGAAGATGAGGCCACCTTTAGTAGGTGAAAGAAGGACATTCCTAGCAAAAGAACAACATAGCCAAGGCAAAAAGTATGTGAGCACATGGAGCGGTAAAGGAATTAATAGTATCACTGGAGTCACAGGCCAGAAGGAAGCTTAATAAATAGCATAAAATATCCAAGTTAGTCTGGGTGCAGTGGCTTATGTTGTAATCCCAGCACCTTGGAAGGCCAATGCAGGAGGATTGCATGGGGCCAAGAGTTTGAGAACAACCTGGGCAACATAGAAGGAAACCGTCTCTGCAAAAAAAATTAAAAATTAGCTGGGCATGGTGGCACATGCCTGTAGCCCCAGCTGCTCAGGAGGCTGAGGCAGGAGAATCAATTAAGCCCAGGAGTTCAAGGCTACAGTGAGCTGTGATTGAACCACTGCACTCCAGCCCAGGCAATAGAGCAAGGCCTTTGTCTCAAAAAAAAAAAAAAAAAAAAAAAAAAAAAAAAAAAAAAAAAAAAAAATTCCAAATTGCCTACCCTAAGAACTAAGGGTTTTTGCAGTCCTGGATTTCTTGTTTTTATTATATAGTCCCCAGAAGAAACTTCTAATGGGAAAGTGGGAACCTCTGTTGGAATACGCACGTGTGTACATACATGTGTGTACACACGAGTTGTGGACATGCCTAAAGGAGAGAGATGACATGACCAGATATAAGCTTGGGAAGGATCACCCTAGCTGCCGTAAGGATGGCTGGTGGAAAAGAGTGAAACTGAAGCCAAGACAGTATTTAAAAGGTCATCACAATGCCTTTTGGTGTCAGTGACCCATAGGCATAATATACTAGACAGTGGGTTGAACTGAGTGGGACAGAGCGATTTCAGAAGTAGAAATGATTATAATTTTTGACTTTTCATGGTGCTTAAGAAAGGAAAAAGGACATTTTAAAAAGATTCTACATGATCCTAACATTGTAGCTTTTCCAAGTACATGGATAATGATGGAATTTATTCACCCACTGGGGAGCAGAATTCTTCCCAGTTAGACCTCCTTCTGCTTTCCTTCTTCCACGGATTTGGGCTCCTTTAATTCCTCAGCTTCTCTCCTATAAAACTGCCCCCTCATCTCAATTCCAATCATTCTATTTCCATAGAGGAGCTGGGGTAGGGTGGAGGGACTGGTTCCTGAAGAAAGGATATCTACCTGACAATTAGAACTTTTGCACTCGCTGAATGGGCCCCTCAATATATTTCATGAGCTATAATGGCAAAAGCAACTCCTTGTCTTTAGTTGCTTAGCAAAATGCCTCCTTCTGTTATCTGAGCCTTGGTATGTAACAGACCCCAGGAAAAAAGGAAGTAACAAACAATCTTGCCATGTTAGCACAAATGAGAAAGCATTTCTTTTGAAATATTGTCAGAAACCACTTGCTTAATTGATTTAATCAGTTACCCGTTCAACAAATATCAAGGCATCATATTAGATAGTGAAGATACAGCGATCATAAAACATCTGAGGCCTCATCACCTCATTGAGCTTACAGTCTAGTGAGAAAAGACTGACAATAAACAAGTAAATAAATAATATAGTAACAGAGTGATGCATGCTATGAAGAAAATAGAGTTACAGGGTGAGGAGGGGTGTCATTAGATACAGTGGTAAGAGAAGATCTCTCTGAGGGTGGTTTCTAATCTAAAACATTAAGAAATGAGAAGGAGTCAGTCATGCAAGAGCTTGATGGAAAACATTTCAGGCCAAAATAATAACAAAACAACTAAACCTCCGCAACCCCCCAAAACCAGCAAATGCAAAGTCTTCTACGTGGTAAAGAGTTCTAGGAACTGGCAGAAGGCCAATGTAATGGGGAAAGGGATATGATATAAGATTGAGGAGGTAGGTAACCAGAATACAGGATATAAACCAAGATAGAGATCACAAAGAGTTTTAGTGAAAGGAACTTAAGTTTGGTTTGGACATGGTAAAAATCCAAGGATTCTCCAGATTTCTCAGCACCATATGTTGAAGAGACTGTCCTTCCCTTAATGTGTATTTTGGTGCTTTTGTCAAAAATCAGTTGGCTGTAAATATGTAGGTTTATTTCTGTATTCTCTATTCCTTTTTTTTTATTTTTATAGATTTGGAGAGTACAAGTGCAGTTTTGTTAAACTGATATATTGTGTAGTGGACAAGTCTGAGCTTTTAGTGTACCCATTGCCCAAATACGAAACATTGCACCCTACAGGTATTTTTTCAATCTTCACCCCCTCATACCCTCTCACCTTTTGGAATCTCCAGTGTGTATTATTCCACTCTCTGTATCCATGTGTATCCATTATTTGGCTCCCACTTATAAGTGAGAATATGCGGTATTCGAGTTTATGAGCTATATCACTTAGGATAGTGGCCTCTAGTTCCATCTATGGTGCAGCAGACCATGATTTCATCCTTTTTATGGCTGAGTAGTATTCCATGGTGTCTGTGTATGTGTTTGTAAATATATATATAGCAATTTTCTTTATCCAGTCATCCACTGATGGACATTTAGGTTGATTCCATGACTTTGCTATTGTGAATAGTGCTGTGATAAACATACAATTGTAGGTGTCTTTTTATGTTCCATTGTTCTGTGTGTCAGTTTTTATGCCACTACCATGCTGTTTTGGTTACTATAGCTTCGTGGTATATTTTGAAGTCAGGTAGTGTGATGTCCCCAGCTTTAATCCTTTTGCTCAGTATGGTTTTGGAGATGTGGGGTCTTTTGTGGTTTCATATGAATTTTAGAATGTTTTTTCTATTTCAGGAAGCATGTCATTGGTGTTTTGATAGCAATCGTATTGAATGTGTAGATTGCTTTAGGTAGCATGAACATTTTAACAATATCAGTTCTTCCAGTCCATGAACACAAGACGTCTTTCTATTTATTTGTGTCTTCCTCTATTTTTCTAATCAATGTTTATAGTTTTCATTGTGGAGATCTTTTACCTCCTTGGTTAAATTTATTCCTAGAATTTTATTGTTTTGTAGCTATTGTAAATGGAATCACTTTCTTTTTTCAAATAGTTCACTATTGGCATATAGAAATGGTACTGACTTTTGTATGTGGATTTTGTATCCTTCCACGTTGCTTATTTTCTTAATTCTAACAAATTTTTGTTTAGTTCTTTAGGGATATATGTATACACACACACACACATATATATATACACACACATATATGTATGTGTGTATGGATATATATATATATATATTTTTTTATATGATTATGTCATCTGCAAACAGGGACAATTTGACTTCCTCCTTTCCAATTTGGATGCCTTTTATTTCTTTCTCTTGCCTAATTGCTCTGGCTAGGACTTCTAGTACCTCTAGGACTTCTCACCACTAGTTGTGAGAAGTGGTGAGACTGGGTATCCTTGCCTTGTTTCACAGTTTCAGATCTTAGAAAAGAGCTCTCAGCCTTTTCCATTCAGTATGATGTTTGCTGTAGGTTTGTCATATATGGCCTTTATTGTGTTGAGGTACATTCTTTTTCTATACCTAATTAGTTAAGAGCTTTCATCAGGAAGAGATGTTGAATATTATTTTCTTCATCTATTGAAATGACCGTGTTTTTTGTCCTTCATTTTGTTGATGTCATGTATCACATCTATTCATTTGTATGTTTTCAACCATTTTTGCATCCCTGGGATGAATCCCACTTGTCTTTTCAACATGGTGCTGAGAAAACTGCATGTCCACATGTACAAGAATGAGACTAAACCCTTATCTCTCACTATAAAAAATGGAATCAAAATGGATTAATGACTTAAATGTAAAACCCAATGCTATAAAATTACTAGAAGAAAATGTAGGGGAAATTCTCCATGCCATTAGTCATCTGGGCAAGGATCTTTTAGATAACAATACCAAAGCACAGGCATTAAAAGCAAAGTAGAGATATGGAATTTTATCAAACTAAAAATCTTCTGTAGAGTAAGTGAAACAATCAACAGAGTGAACAGAAAATACACAGAATGGGAAAAATATTTTCGAAGTATACATCTGATAAGGGGTTAATATCCAGTATATCTAAGGAACTCAAATAATATAAAAAAATCTGATTTTAAAAATGGGCAAAAGACCTTAATAGACTTCTCTCAAAAGAAGATATACAAATGGCCTCCAGGTATATAAAAAATGCCCAATATCGCTAATCATTACAGAGATGCAAATCAAAACCACAATTAGATATCATCTCACCCTGGTTAGAATGACTATTATCAAAAAGACAAAAGAGAACAAGTGCTGGAAAAGATGAGAAGAAAGGGGAACTCTTTCTTATACACTGTTGGTGAGAATGCAAATTGGTACTGCCAGTATGAAAAAAAGTATTGAGTTTCCTCAAAAAATTAAAAACCGAATTACCATAATATCCAGCAATTCCACTACTGGGTATACACCCAAAATAAATAAAGTGAATATGTTCAACAGATATCTATACTTCAATTACTATTTTAGCACTGTTCAAAACAGCCAAGATATGGAATCAATCCAAGTGTCCATCAATGAATGAATGAATAAGAAAATGTTATATAATATATAAACACACACACACACACACACACACACACACACACACACACACACACACACACAATGGAATGCTATTCAGCCATAAAAAGAGAATGAAATCCTATTATCTGTGGCAATGTGGATAAAATTGCAGGACATTATGTTAAATGAAGTGAGCAAGGCTCAGAAAGACAAATGTTGCATTGTATCATTCATATACATAATCTAAAATAGATATATCATAAAAGTAGAGAATAGAATGGCGGTTACCTGAGGCTGGGGAAGGAGAAGAGAGAGGGCCTGGAGAGAGCTTGGTTAATGGAGGGAGATTGATTAATGGGTACAAGGTACAGTTGGATAGAAGGAATAAGTTCTGGTGTGCTATTGTGCAGAAGACTGATTATATTTTTAAAATATTGTATGATATATTTCAAAATAGCCAGAAGAGAGGATTTTGAATGTTCTCATCACAAATACACGATAAATATTTAAGATAATGGAAATGTTAAATACCCTGATTTGATCATTACACAATATATATATTTATTGAAACATCTAATTGTACCCAAAAAGTATACACACTTATTTGTCAATTAAAACGAAAATAATTTTTAAAAAATTTAGGAGTTCTGATGAATCTGAAAGCTACAGCCTGAGGCTGGTATATATAAAAGCAAATGGAAACTGGTACTATATTGGTTTATAACTTAATCAAATAATTGCAATTATCAAAACTTTTATTATTCACAATGACAGGACAAGTTATAGCCACTAGTTACTGGCAAATTAAGAAAATTTTGGATTTCTAGTGCAGAGTATATATGTTTCCTCATGTATTGAGATGATCGTGTGGTTTTTGTCCATTTTATTAATATGTCATATTAGGTTGAATGGTTTTCAGTTGTTGAGCCAACTTTGTATTCCTGGGAAAAATCTCACTTAAAAATGATGTATAATCCATTTTATAAGTTGCTTGAATCCGTTGCTAGAGTTTCACTGAAGATTTTTGTGTCTATACTCATAAGAAATACTTGTCTATAAGAAATACTTGCCTATAGTTGTATTTTTTAGTTACCTTTGGTTTTGATATCAGGGTAACACTGGCCTCATAGAATGAATTAAGAAATGTTCTTTCCCCTTCTATATTTTGGAAGAATTATTTGTGAAAACCTGGTATTGATTGGTATCAAGTCTTCTTCAAGTGTTTTGTACAATTCAATGGTGAAGCCTTAGATCTAATGGTGGGCTTTTCTTTATGAGAAGTTATTAAATTACTAATGTAACCTATTTACTTAGTATAGGGTCAATGAAAACTTCTATTTCTCCTTCAGTCAGTTCCATCAGTTTGTATATTTCTATGACTTTTTTTCATTTCATCTAGGTTACCTAATTTGTTGGTGTACAGTTGCTCATAGTATTCCCATAAAATCCTGCTTATTTCTGTAAGGCAAGTATGATGTGCCTTCTTTCAGGCTTTTAGTAATGTGATTCTATTCTTTTATTTGCTTCGTCTGTCTGGTGAAAGGTTTATCAGTTTTGCTGATCTTTTCAAATAA
This sequence comes from Homo sapiens, assembly GCF_000001405.40. NCBI lineage: Eukaryota > Metazoa > Chordata > Mammalia > Primates > Hominidae > Homo > Homo sapiens. The sequence continues at coordinate 152,217,915 of NC_000023.11, forward strand.
CTTTTAGATTTTTTTATTTTCTTTAATTTTTAAAATTCTTTATTTTATTTATTTTTACTCTAATATTTATTATTTTTTCCTTCTGCTTGCTTTGGATTTAGTTTGGTCTTCTTTTTCTAGTCTCTTAAGGTGGAAATTCAGGTTATTGATTTTAGATTTCTCTTTTAAATATAGGTTTTACAGTTATAAATTTCCCTCTAAGCACTGCTTTAAGCTGATGCATCCCATAAGTTTTGGTGTGTTATGTCATCATTTTCATTTGTTTCAAAATATTTTCTAATTCCCTTTGTGATTTTTTATTTGGATCATTGTCTGTTTAGGAGGGGAATGTGTTGTTCGATCTCAACATATTTGTAAATTTTGCGAACTTCCTTTTCTTACTGATTTCTAATTCTGGGTAAGAAAATGTACTTTGTATGGTTCCAATACTTTAAAATTTATTGAGTCTTATTGTATAACCTAATATATGGTCTACCTCAGAAAATGTTCCATGTGCACTTGAGAATAATGTTCAGTCTTATGTTGTTTGGTGGAACGCTCTATAGATGTTGGTTATGTCTAATTGGTTTATAGAATTGTTCAAATCTTGTATTTCTGTGTTGATCTGCCTAGATGTTCTATCCATGTATTGAAAGTGGAATACTGAAATCTCTAATTATTACTGTTGAATTGTCTTATTTTTCTCTTCAGTTCTATCAGTGTTGCTTCATGTATTTTGGGGCTCTGTGTTTAAGTGTGTATTTCTTTATAATTGTTATACTTTTTTCTGATGGATTGACCTTTTCATCATGACAAAATCTTCAAGGCTTCTACAGAGGAGGAAAGAAGAGGATGGGAATAGGGCTCCCTGGTTGTACTGAGAACTAATCATTTTTCTTGAATAACGCTCTTCAGAGTGTTAGGAGACTTTTGTTAATTTCCGGAGTTTGGAGAAAGTTTATTTTGACAATGTTTGAAAATTGTCTCATTGCTTTTATGGAGGAGTGGATTTTCAGAAGTTCTAACTCTGTCATTCCAGAATTGCTTCCTCACTAGAGGTTTTCTAAGATTAATTTTAACTGCCCATTTAGGAACTTAATAATTTAAATCACTCTCCTTCTTGATGTACTTTATTTGGCCTCCAGGACAACACGTTCCCTTTAGGTTTTCTCATACGTCACCTGTCTTCGCCTTCACGTTTATTAAATTATTCTCTTCTTTCTAGCTTCTAAATGTTATCATGTCTAAAGAAAAAGTCCTTCCTTGATTCTCTTCTCTTCTCTGTATATAGTCATTTCCATAGTGATCTCATCTAGTTGTATGGCTTTAAACATCATCTATGTGGATGACACCTAAATTAAATCTCCAATCCAGATCTCTTTTATGAACACCGAAGTTACATTCCAGATAATCAGCACCCAGGAGTATCATTTGCTTCCCTTTCCAATAACAACCCTCATCAAGGGTAACCACTATCCTGACTAGTGCTTCTATGTGGAAACTCCTTCCTGACATTGTGTTGAGAAAGATAGATATTTTTCTGAATATCAAATCCAGAGAAAAATACTTGAGAAATGAGCAAAACCAGAAAAAAGTATTATAATCATCTTGTAAGAATTAAAGCTTAACAATAGACATAGAGACTTTACTAATTTGAAGGAATCTATTGATGTTAAGTCAAAACCAAGAGCAGGAAACACTGTCACACTGAGTTAAAAGTTTTGAAATTCTCTGGTGTCAGGACAGAAGTACATAGGATTAAAGTGGTCACAACCTGATCAGTTGATTTTGCTTATTATGTGTGTTAATGGCCCTCTATGCTGCTGATGGTAATTCTTGAAAATTTAATATTAGTAAGTCTATATGCATAAGTATACTATACACATAGTATTTTATATGTATAGTATACTACACACACAGTATTCTAAATGCATAAAGCACTATATACTATACACAAACCCTGAGAGTGTTCTTCTAATACATAACAAGTTTAAGAAGCAAAATCAATCCTTAAACTGGCAATTTGGATGAGTGATTCTGTGTAGTGCTGTTTACTTTATTAAGAAATTCAAATGTTGTTATTCAAATACTATCAGTTTGCTATCATTTTCCAGTGTCTGAGTAATCTTTCCATATATTACCACTCTTTCTGAATACTTCTAAAGTTACTATTAATATTTTTATTTATTAAAAGTTAGATATCCATGATTATGGATAAAGAGCGTTAAGAAGTTTGAAAGTGTTTTAAGAATAACATTGAATTTATAAAATACCTAGGAATTCCAACTTCTTGTTCCTGAATCCCATTGCTTAATCTGTCAGGAATCTGGAAATACAACCAACGGCAATGATGGATAAAATATTAAAGACTTTTAACAGCACATATTAGTTTTGCCTGTTTGTATATATAGCATAAATAGAATCAGATTCTATATACACTTATGTGTTTGGCTTTTGCTCAGCATTGTGGCTGTACCTCATCCATGTTGTTGAGTGTAATATAATTGTCATTGCTGTATAGTATTTCATTGCGTGACTATGCTACAGCTTTTCAATCCATTCTGATGGACATTAAGGTAGTTCCCAGTGGAGTTTATTACAATGAGCTCTGCTATGGACATTCTTTATATGCCTTTTGGTATACATAAACAATGATGCCTGTTTGGAACTATACTCAGGACTAGAGATGCAAAGTTGTATGATATGCACATGTATAGCACTATTAAATAGCACCAAACAATTTTCCAAAACCTTGGTACAAACGTAGATTCTTATCAGTAGCGCATGAGAGTCCAGATTTGCTCAACATCCTCACCAAGAAGTGGTATTTTCTGTCTTTTTTATGTTAGTCATTCTAATGGGTGTGTACTGGTAGCCTTTGGATTTTATTTTGCATTTCCCTGCTGACTAATGCAATCAGTCACTGTGTGTGTGTGTGTCTGTCTGTGCCTGTGTGCATGTGCATGTGCGTGTGTGTGCCTGTGTGTGTGTGTGTTTCTGAGCTTGGGAAACTGTTTTAACAAGTGCCTATTAAAGACTTTGGCCTTTTTTCTATCGAGGTTTCAGATACTTTTTATATAGATTTGCAGGATGTCTTATGCTTTTGAGTCCTTTGTTAGGCATATGCAATGCAAATACTTTCTCCCTCTCTGTGGCTTCTACTCACTCTCTTAATGATCTTCTAATAAAGAAAATTTCTTAATTTTTAATATATTTTAAGTCATTCTATTTTACCTTTATGGTTAATGTTAGTCTATGTCCTGTGTAAGCAGTCTCTACCTTTTCCAAGATCATGGAGATACTCTCTTATGCTTTCTTCTATTAATAAAAGCTGGATTGTTTTATCTTTCACTCTTTCACATTTAGATGTGGAAACCATCTGGAATTTATTTTTGTTTATCATGTGATGTAAGAGTCAAGATGAATCTCTCTCTCTGTCTCTCTCTCTCTCGTTCTCTCTCTCTCTTCTATTCTGTTCCATGAGTATATTTGTCTACTTTGCAACAATAATACCTTTTCTAAATTACTGTAACTTCAAAATACCTCTAGATATCTGATATCAGATTAGATTTTAATGTAAATTTCCCAGCTTTATGATTCTTTAAGATCTCCTTAACTATTCTTGTTACTTTAAATATTTCCATATAAACTTTAGAATAAGCATTTTTTCATTCTATTTATGCTGCTTCATGTTTATATGATTTCTTGAGTATTTGGGCTGATAATTTTCATCAGTTTTAAAGTGTCTGGCCTTTACTTAATTATTGCTTTTGCTCCTTTATCTGCCTGTTTATCCTCTGCAAATTACACATTGCAATTTCTTTTATTAACTTTTATTTTAAGTTCAGGGGTACATATGCAGGATGTGCAGGTCTGTTACATAGGTAAACCTGTGTCATGGGGGTTTCCTGTACAGATTATTTCATCACCCAGGTATTAAGATTAGTACCCATTAGTTATTTTTCCTGATCTTCTGTCTCCTCCCACCCTCCAAAAACCCCAGTGTGTGGTGTTCCCCTCTGTGTGTCCATGTGTTCTCATCATTTAGCGCCTGCTTATAAGTGAGAACTTGTGGTATTTGGTTTTCTGTTCGTGTGTTAGCTTGCTAAGGATAATGGCCTCCAGCTCCATGCATGTCCCTGCAAAGGACAAGATCTCGTTCTTTTTTGGTGGCTGCAGAATATTCCATGGTGTATATGTACTATATTTTCTTTATTCAGTCTATTATTGATGGGCATTTAGGTTGATTCCATGTCTTTGCTATTGTGAGTAGTGCTGCGATGAACATACGTGTGCATGTGTCTTTATAATAGGATGATTTATATTCCCTTACTATGACCCACACGCTTTTTACTTGTTTGTGTATTTATCTTTCTATCCTTCAGTTCTGCTTTTTTCTATTTATCAATTTTTCAGTCATCTGATCCTGCCTTCTGCTTGTCAAATCTATCCATTGAATTCGAATTTAAGATATTGTACTTCCCTGTAATTCTAATTTATTCTTCTTTATAGGTTCCAATTTTCTGTTAAAATTATAGGTATTTGATCTGCTTTAGTAATCACTTCCTTTTTTTTTCTTGAATATATTAGCCATAGCATTCTAAAGTCCTTGTCTACAAACTCTGACGTCTAAATCACCTGTAGGTCTGTTTATATATTTTGGTTTTTGGCATTGGTTTTAAAACTTGGTTTTAGGTCTCATGGGCCTGCCTATTCATATGATTATTGATTTTTCATTGAATTCCATACATTGTGTATAAAACTGTAGTATTTTCAAAGAGAAGTATCTTTTCCACCGTAGAGTCTTCATTATTTACTTTGCTATACAGAAAGTATGGGAGAATTATCACCTTAATCTCATAACGGACTTGTGCTGGGTTATAGTTTTGACTAATCTAGTCTGTCTCTGCTATTGCCTTGTTCCTAGGATATAGCTCTCTAGGATTTTAAACTAGTAGTCTAGCATGTCTTTTTTTTTTTTAGTACTGGAAGACTGCAGAAAAGGAAGCTCTGCTTTTCAACTTTTTTCATATTAGCTTTTGTCCTCATGCTCTGTGCAAATTCAAAATTCATCAATTATATATTGAGAGGGAGATCAGCCATTAATTTGAGATGTTTCAGATATTTCCCTTGTGTCACCCTAGCCCTGTGTGATCATCAAATCATTGCTGTTTCTTCTCATCCACCAGTATGAGCCCTATGCCCAGCAAGCTGCAATCCAAGGCCAGAACTGGCAAATGCCCCCAGAGTTGAAAAAGCTGTAGATCACAACTTCATCTATGAGAGGCTCTCCCCTTTCTCCAGAATTTTAGACACTTCAATCTTCACTGAGCTTTATTGTTTCTATGGTTCTAGGTTTTATAGTTGTTAATGAAGGGAACACTATTCACCAATAAACAACTCTGTCCTACCCAGAAATATTGCAGTCACCTCCTACTTGGGCTCCACATGGTTTGATCCCTCTTCTACTTATATCATTTTAAAAATTCCTAGTAATTATTTTAAGACATAAGTCAGATAATGCCATTCTTTTGTCTAAAATATTCTAATTGTTCTTCATTTTTCCTTAGAATATAATTCAAAGACCTTTAATGGCCTATAAGACTTTAGATTACCTGGCCCCCACTTTGATCTCATCCTTTTCTCCTGCTCTCCCCTTCCTCACTCTGGCCAGCCACACTGGCTGAACAAGTCACCTATTTTTCAGACATACGGTATTTTTCCTGGTTGTTCCTTCTACTGAGAGCTCTATTTCCATATATATATATATATGCATTGATAAGCTCTCTATTTTCTTAATATTTCTGCTTGAATGTTCCTTTTAAATAATTAGGGTGACACTAATCACCCTACTTTCAATTTCAGTGGTAACACAAATCCTCCACCTAGGCATGGATGATTCCCCTAATTCTGCAGTACTTTTATGTTTTCCCATGTTGCTTCTCATATTACAACATGCCTTATGCTTTACCCTTTAATCCATTATTTTATCTTTCACTGCCACTCGTCTCTCTATAATATAGCTCCAAAAGAGCAAGGCTTTTGTTTTATTCACGGATGCATTCCAAGCTCCTAGAATAGAACCTGGCACACAGAATACAATCTGTAAAGATCTGAAAAACTAATGATTGAGGAAACATGTTGCACTTAATTATTTGGGTCTTTTCAAATGCACTTTCTGTTTCAAAACACAGCTAAATTAATTTTGACATGATCAACACAGATTTTGGTATATTACTCTGATGACTCTCTATGTGAAACTCACTCTGAAATTTTTCAGTTCAAAAACTCACTCAAATTCTATTCAATGTTGATTTTTCTAATTCATTTGAAAATGGACTATATATTTACTACTTTTTCTGTAAAATGTACAGCTACTGGAAAAGGTAATACTTTCAAAAGTGAGCAAATCTTCAGAGTCTCTTCCTGCCTATCACACACTGTTAAGAATTGGATAGAAGTATATGAAGATGCAGGTAGAATACGCACTTCAAAAAATCTAACCACATTCTGTTTGACATATCTTGTCCTTAGGTAGCTGTGACTGTATTTTATATCACTTCTGTCTTGCTCTGTCCTTTGGGCAATTTAGAAAACAGACATTAATGTTTCAATCTAATGACAGAGAAATTAGTCTGAAATAGCAAAATAAAGTTTACTTCTTAGAAAGAAAATTCTTGTTAAAGGCTAAGTCTCCTCCCCCTGATTAGTTAGTACTACTCAACCCCACTCTCTGACCCACCCTGATACCAGCCCGGATTAAAGGCCTCAGCTTTAGAAACTTGCAGTGGACAGAATATAATATGTTAAGTTTCTTTTGGAAGATCAGGCAAAAAAAAAAGACAGAGAGAGAGAGAGAAAATACATACAGCTTCCAAACTTCAGTGGGCAGGCATGCACATCCATGGGAAAATCTTCCAAATGCATGGGACACTCAGCATGAATTGTTAACCTAAAAGAAAGGCAAACAGAAAATGAAATTAAGCTAAAATAAATGTTATTAAACACAGGGCTGCATTCCCACTCAGTTCCTAAGAATAACGAGATTTTTGTTTGTTTAAGTTCACTGAGATTCAAGTCTTTATGAACACAAAGGATGGATAAAATGAACTAGATAGCCTCTCAAAGAGGCATTAAGTACTCATATTTTTGGATCATATCATCATATCTGAATCCCATCCTGTCACCTTTGAAAAACAGATATAACTTTTCTGCCCTAACTGTACTTCCTTAGACACCCCCCCCAAGAAGCCTGGAAACACCAGGTTCTGACTCATTCACTTCTGATTGCAGTTTAATTATTTCCGAAATATTTCTTCTCAGCAGGCTATTCTGTGAGTTAACCAATTTAAAGATTGCACTGAAGAGAAGAGATATGTAGAAAGAATATCTTTACCCTGATCATTAACAGACAGACAAAAAACATAATTCTGCTGCTCACAGGAACTGCTATAGCTTTGTTGAAAGAGATGGCTCTTGAGGAACACACACACACATACACCACACACACGCACACACACACACGCACACACACACACGCACACACACACACACACACACACACGAAAACTGACCACTCCAGGAAAAAATACAAAGGTGATGGAGGACATCGGAAACCTCAGAGGTCAAGTCTAAAGAGCTCATGCTCTGTCAACAGAGGCAACATTTGGAAAAGATGCTGGATGGATTGCTCAGTGGAAATCTGAATGGTGTATGACATGTTTACATACTCATTCCCCTGCAATAGTCTCTCTGAATAGTCTATTTCAAGGTTTCCCCTTCTGATTTTTTTTTTTTTATTTTTTTCAAGGCTTAACTTTCCTCGGGTTAGATAGTAGCCTCCTATGTAGAAATGGGGCTCACACAGCAAAACCTAAGAGTAGCTTGGAAGCTAGCCGTCATGAGCTACTTCTAACTAGCCTTTATACTTCCTGGTTATATTGGACTCAACCTCTGCCATCCTTTTGGAGTTCTAATAAGTTGAGAAACTGGTTATCAATTATAGCGTCACCCATTCCCCCAATGGCTTCTTCCCTTAGATAGGCACTCCTGCTGAGAACTTTACAGGGCCCAAGTACTCCTTAGGACCAGAAATCTCGCCTAATAAAATATCAATATATGAGACTGAAAAAAACATGCCTCACTTCTATGCAATTACCAAAGAAGCCTGTGGGGAAGTGTTTTGTTGAGGCAACAAATAAAGAAGTGCATGCAAGGGATCCCATGTGTGGTGTCTCCATTTCTCACTCTTCACATCACAGTGCTACTGTAACAGTGTTAGGAAGCAAGATCTTAACAAGAAAATATCCGCAGGCTATTGCTGCTTAACACGGTTTTTCTTTGGTTAATGAGAGTGAGATACCAGGAGATATTTCTTGTCAAATTACAGACATCCATGTGTCTATGAAGGCATAGAAGGTTCAATGTATAATTGTTATCATTATGATGATCATTGCTAATAACCTATGAGATGCTCACAGTATGTTACACCTTCTAAAGAAAGACTTAAACCTAAGACCTAAAACCATAAAAACCCTAGAAGAAAACCTAGGTATTACCATTCAGGACATAGGCATGGGCAAGGACTTCATGTCTAAAACACCAAAAGCAATGGCAACAAAAGCCAAAATTGAAAAATGGGATCTAATTAAACTAAAGAGCTTCTGCACAGCTAAAGAAACTACCATCAGAGTGAACAGGCAACCTACAAAAGGGGAGAAAATTTTTGCAACCTACTCATCTGACAAAAGGCTAATATCCAGAATCTACAATGAACTCAAACAAATTTACAAGAAAAAAACAAACAACCCCATCAACAAGTGGGCGAAGGATATGAACAGACACTTCTCAAAAGAAGACATTTATGCAGCCAAAAAACACATGAAAAAATGCTCATCATCCCTGGCCATCAGAGAAATGCAAATCAAAACCACAATGAGATACCATCTCACACCAGTTAGAATGGCAATCATTAAAAAGTCAGGAAACAACAGGTACTGGAGAGGATGTGGAGAAATAGAACTCTTTTACACTGTTGGTGGGACTGTAAACTAGTTCAACCATTGTGGAAGTCGGTGTGGCGATTCCTCAGGGATCTAGAACTAGAAATACCATTTGACCCAGCCATCCCATTACTGGGTATGTACCCAAAGGACTATAAATCATGCTGCTATAAAGACACATGCACACGTATGTTTATTGTGGCACTATTCACAATAGCAAAGACTTGGAACCAACCCAAATGCCCAACAATGATAGACTGGATTAAGAAAATGTGGCACATATACACCATGGAATACTATGCAGCCATAAAAAATGATGAGTTCATTTCCTTTGTAGGGACATGGATGAAATTGGAAATCATCATTCTCAGTAAACTATCGCAAGGACAAAAAACCAAACACCGCATGTTCTCACTCATAGGTGGGAATTGAACAATGAGAACACATGGACACAGGAAGGGGAACATCACACTCTGGGGACTGTTGTGGGGTGGGGGGAGGGGGGAGGGATAGCATTAGGAGATATAACTAATGCTAGATGACGAGTTAATGGGTGCAGCACACGAGCATGGCACATGTATACATATGTGACTAACCTGCACATTGTGCACATGTACCCTAAAACTTAAAGTATAATGATAATAAATATATATATATATTAAAAAAAGTTAAATTGTATAAACTCATAATTAAATGGGTTACATTTTTTTTTTTAAAAAAAAAAGAACATTCCCATCAGTAATTCCACTCAGGCCTACTGCTAACATTTGTGATGTAGGGACCCTGGTTGCCTGGAACTAAGGATTCTATTTACCTAATTTGCTCCCTATAGTGACCCTGTGAGGGACATATTGCAGACATTATTATCATCTTTATTTCAAAAATAAGAATTCATGGTGTTAAAGTGAGTTTCTCAAGTCACACAACCCGGAGAGCTGCAGTGCAAATCTGGTGTTCTTTCTACACTAGCAATTTTCCATTCATCTGAGGGTAACGGTCTCCTCAGGTCCTCAGTAATCTTTAAGTCATATGAGAGATGCTCTAGTTATCTTTGGTTATCTTTGAGCAAGTATGTTCTATGTATAAGGTAGTCATGTGAAGATACTAAGAAAAGAAGGAAGAACCAGAGGCACAAGCTACAATCATTGCCCTCATAGTGACCACTGCTATAGGAAGAGAAAGCTAACCCTCACATATGCAGTTAACCATTGACACAGGGCAAGAGTTGAGTACATTAGCCTGAATACAGTCAGAGTGCTTTCTGTTGCAGAAAAAACTTGAAGGGATATTGACAATCCTATCTCAATATGTGAAGGGAGATAAGGAGGGCAAGAAGATCAGACAGCATTGACATGTTTAAGAACTAATGAAAAGAGCACAACATAATTTGGTTTATGAAGTACCTTGCCCCTACAAACATTTGCTTTTTCTGTCTCCTCTGTGCTTAGGTGGGTTGAGCAAGAAGTGGATGGGAAGAAAGATAGAAAAGTTATTATAAATCAGTTTTGCCCCTAATCAGAAATCACTACCTTTGCATCCTGCTTTGATAGTCTATTTGTTGTGATCTTATTCTCCATGTCCCCAGAACTGCTGGCTAGACATAAAGTAATTTCCCCTTGGCATTACTCATAAGAGGCAGTGTCTTGGAAATAATAATATAAGTGGAGAAAAGGAACACCATTTTCTTTATTAAACTCTCATGGAATCTTTTCAGTATCCAACACAAGGAGCATGTTTTTCAGTGAAATACGTTTCTCTTGTGTCTGGTTCTTTGAGTCATGAAACCCCTTTTATGCCTTAAGAATAAAAGTCAGATTGGTGGAGCATTGCAGGCTAGCTTCAGAATTCAGCTTTTGTCCAAGACACATCGGAAATTTTGTAAATATCCAAGGGAACTTTAGTTCCCTCACCTATAAAAAGGAATAGAGACAATATCCCCTTCCCTTACATAATCCATCCATCCATTCAACATTTATTCATTTAACAACATCAGGGATTTATAGGGTGGTAGGAGGCACAGATTAGAAAAAAAGAAATCAAAGTCTTTATCTATTCCAGAGGATTATCACTATCATCATTATTATTTTTACTAAATATAAAAAATAATTTCAAAGAGAAAGCTGGGGCAGAATCAGAGCCTTTAAGTGACATGGTTGCCTCTGACTTCAGATCAGCAAAATAAACCCTGTAAAAATTCCATGTCCTCTCTCCTTTTCCAACCTTTCTCCCTCTTCATGGATTCATTTGTGAAGCTCTACTAAGTTTGGTTGTATTTTTGCTAGCAGTTTTCAGTGAGCTTTTCAAAAAAGGTCAGAATCCCCTGAAAATGTGGCATTCAGATCATAGAACTATAGTCGCAATACAGGGGTTGGCCTGCTTTGCTCTTTATGCGAAGATCAGATACAAAGTAAGAGGCAACCCAGGAAGCCCCTTCTTTGGGAGACGAGGATACAAATGAAAATCTGACGACCTTTTTGGCCCTGCATCTGCACCCTTCTCCCCCACATACATATTTCAGTTATGACTCTCATTTTACCATGCTTTGGAAGGGGTTGCAACTTTTAATAGGGTGTTTAGCAGGTACCTCACTGAGTAGGTGACATTTGAGCAACAATCTGAAGCAGATGAGAGAATGAGCCTTGTAGAAACCTGGGGAAAGAGCATTCAAGTTAGAAGGGGTAGCAGTGCAAAGGCCCTGAGGTAGAAGTGTGCCCAGGGTGCTCAAGAAATAGCAACTAGGCTACTGTGGCTGTCTTGTAGAGATCAAGGGGAAGAGTAATAGAAGATGAGTTCAAAGAGGAAGCTATGTGGCATAAACTAGATAGTATAAGGGCTCCTGGATATTTTTGCTTTCACTATGAGTGAAATATAGAGGCACTGTGGGATTTTAAGCAGAGGGTAATTTGATCAAACTAACATTTTAAAATTATGACAACTTTATAGAGAAAAAGTTAAAGGAGGTCAAAAACAAAACCAGGAAGATGAAGTCTAAAACTGCTTTATGATTAAAAACTCTCAAAAATCTAGGAATAGAAGGCAACTTCCTCAACTGATAAATGGCACTTACTAAAACCCTCATCTAGCATCATAGTTAATAGTGAAAGACTAAGATACTTCCCCTAAGATCAAGCAAGGATGTTTTTTCTTCCTTATTCAACTTCTTATTGAAGAATTTAGCCAGTCAAAGAAGAAAAGAAATGGGGAATGACTGCTAATGGTATGGAGTTTCTTTTTTGAGGTGACTAAAATGTTCTGAAATTAGATCTTGGTGATGGTTGCACAACTGTGAATATATTAAAAATCATTTAATTGTACACTTCAAGAGGATAAATTGTATGACATGTGAATCATATTTCAATAAAGCTGTCTAAATAATTAGGCAACCAAAAGAATATAAGAGAATGATTGGAAAGCAAAAATCAAAACTGTCTTTATTTGAAGGTGACATGTTCAGACTTTCCGTGTTCACAAATTTAGAAGTCCTAATAGCATTAAGGTGGCAATTCTCTCCAAATTGCTCTATATATTCAACACATGCGCTTTCAAAATCCCAGATTTTCTTTTTGTGAAAATGGCAGGTTGATTCTAAAATTTATATGAGAACACAAAGGATCTAGAATAGCCAAAGCATCTTTCAAAAAAAATCATGAGTACTTACACTTTCCAGTTTTAAAGCTACAGTAATCAATATGGTGCAGTTTTGGCCTAAATATTATAATATAGACTAATGGAAAAAAATAGAAAATCCAGAAATAAACTTTGATATTTATAGTCAATTGATTTTTGACCAAGGTGCCAAGCAATTCAGTGGAGACAAAAAATAGCTTTCTCAATGTTTCTAGGAGAATTTAATATACAAGTGCAAGATATGAACTTAGACTGTTACCTCACACCATAAGCAAAAATCAACTAACAATGGATCATAAATCGAAATTTAAGAGCTAAAATTTCTAAAGGAGAACATAGGAGAAAATCTTTGTTATCTTGAGTTGCACAAAGATTTCTTAGGTGTGACACCAAAATCATGATGCATACAAGAAAAAAATATGATAAATTAGACTTCATAAAAATTCAAAGCTTTTGCTTGTCAAAAGATACCTTTAAGAAAATGAAAAGACAAGGCACAAAGAAAGTGAATATATTTGTGAAACATACATCTGATAAAGGACTTGCATTAAAAATACATAAATAACCCTTAGAACTCAATAATGAGAAGAAAAACAACCTAATACAAAAATGAGAAGTGTATATATATATATACACACATATATGTATATATACACACATATGTATATATACACATATATATGTATATATATACATACACGTATATATACACACATATGTATACATACACGTATATGTATATATACACGTATATATGTATACATATACGTGTATATATACGTGTGTGTACACGTGTGTGTGTACACGTGTGTGTATACACGTGTGTATATACGTGTATATATGTATATATGCAAATAAGATATTCTGTTAGCTAATAAGCACATGAAAAGATGTTCGACATTAGTCATTTAAAAAATGCAAATTAAAACTACAATGAGATACTACTACATGCACACTAAAATGGCTAAAATAAAAAAGATCAACAATTTCAAATGTTGACAAGGATTTGGGAAAAACATAAGATCATAAATTATGGTGGATGGAAATCACACTTTGGACAATATTTTGGCAGTTTCTTAAAAAGTTTAACATAAGCTTACCGTAAGACCCTGTGGTTTTACTCTAATTCTTACTTTAATTACTCTAATTATTCACTAACAAAGATAAATGAAAACATATGTCCAAAGAAAGACCTGTTTATAGCAGCTTTATTCACAATAGATAAAAGGTGGAAACAACCCAAATGTCCATTATTGTGACTGGATGAACAAGATGTGGTATATCTATACAATGGAATGTTAATCATCAAGAAAAAAGGAATACACACAATGGCATGGATGAATCTCAAATGTGTTATGCTAAGTGAAAATAGCGAGACACAAAATGTCGCACACTGTATGATTCCATTCACATGACATGTCCAAGAAAGACGAATCTATAGAGACAGAAAGTACATTAGTAGTCGACTGGTGTTGGGGTGAGAACAGAGTGTTACTACAAATTTGTAGAGAGATTTTTGGAAGTGATAGTATGTTCTAAACTTGAATTTTGGTTACAGTTGCACAATTCTATAAATCTACTAAAAATCACTGAATTGTACATGTAAAATAAATTTTATAATATGTAAGTTATACTTCAAAAAGTTTTTATTTTAAATGAATCAATATCAGCCTTATAGCACAGTGTTTAAGAGCATGGATTCTTTTTTTTCTTTTTAGAAAGCATGCTTACCTTAGCCATTTATTAATTTATTTGTAGATTTAGGGGGTACAAGTGCCATTTTGTTACACAGATATATTACATAGCGGTGAAATTACGGTTTTTAGTGTAACTATCACCCGAATAATGTATATTGTGCCATTTAGGTAATTTCCCTTCCCTCACCCCTTCCTACTCTCCTACCCTTTCAACTCTCCAATGTCTATTATTCCACTCTCTATGTCGATGTGTATACATTATTTAGTTCCCACTTATAAACGATAACATGCAGTATTTGACTTTCTGTTTCTTAGTTGTTTCACGTAAGGTAACGACCTCCAATTGCATCCATGTTGGTGAAAAAGAGATAATTTCATTATTTTATTGATAAATAGTGTTCTATTGTGTGTGTGTGTGTGTATATATGTAACATTGTGTATATATATACAGCATTATATATATATACATATATATATAATTTTATTTATCCAATCATCCATTAATGTACACTTAGGATGGTTCCATATATTTGCTATTGTGAACAGTGCTGCAATAAACATCCAAGTACAAATATCATTTTGATATAATGATTTGTCTTTGTGTAGATACCCAAGAGCGAGACTACTGAAACAAATGGAGCTACTATTTTTAGGTCTTTGAGAAATCTCCATATTGTTTTCCATAGAGGTTATGCTAATTCAAATTCCCAACTGTGTGTAAGCATTCTCTTTTACCTGCATCCTTGTCAACATCTGTTTTTTTGTTTGTTTGTTTTTGCATTTTAATAACAGCCATTCTGACTGGTGGAAAATGGTATCTCATTATGGTTTTAATTTGCATTTCACTGATAACTAGTGATGTTGGGCATTTTATCATGTTTATTGGCCACTTGTATGTCTTCTTTTGAAAAATGTCGGTTCATGATGGGGTTGTTTGTTTTTTTTTTCTTGTACATTTGTTTGAGTTCATTGTAGATTCTGGATATTAGCCCTCTGTCAGATGAGTAGGTTGCGAAAATTTTCTCCCATTTTGTGGGATGCCTGTTCACTCTGATGGTAGTTTCTTTTGCTGTGCAGAAGCTCTTTAGTTTAATTAGATCCCATTTGTCAATTTTGGCTTTTGTTGCCATTGCTTTTGGTGTTTTAGCCATCAAAAAGTGCGCGAAGGACATGAACAGACACTTCTCAAAAGAAGACATTTATGCAGCCAAAAAACACATGAAAAAATGCTCATCATCACTGGCCATCAGAGAAATGCAAATCAAAACCACAATGAGATACCATCTCACACCAGTTAGAATGGCGATCATTAAAAAGTCAGGAAACAATGGGTACTGGAGAGGATGTGGAGAAATAGAACTCTTTTACACTGTTGGTGGGACTGTAAACTAGTTCAACCATTGTGGAAGTCGGTGTGGCGATTCCTCAGGGATCTAGAACTAGAAATACCATTTGACCCAGCCATCCCATTACTGGGTATATACCCAAAGGACTATAAATCATGCTGCTATAAAGACACATGCACACGTATGTTTATTGCGGCATTATTCACAATAGCAAAGACTTGGAACCAACCCAAACGTCCAACAATGATAGACTGGATTAAGAAAATGTGGCACATATACACCATGGAATACTATGCAGCCATAAAAAAGGATGAGTTCATGTCCTTTGTAGGGACATGGATGAAATTGGAAATCATCATTCTCAGTAAACTATTGCAAGCACAAAAAACCAAACACCGCATATTCTCACTCATAGGTGGGAATTGAACAATGGGAACACATGGACACAGGAGGGGGAACATCGCACTCTAGGGACTGTTGTGGGGTGGGGGGAGGGGGGAGGGATAGCATTGGGAGATATACCTAATGCTAGATGAGGAGTTAGTGGGTGCAGTGCACCAGCATGGCACATGTATACATGTGTAACTAAGCTGCACATTGTGTACATGTACCCTAAAACTTAAAGTATAATAATAAAAAAAATTAAAAAATAAAAATGTTTTTCCCCTCAAAAAAAATAAATAAAATAAATAAATAAGTACATGAAAAACAAATGTCAGTTCTTGTCCTTTGCCCACTTTTTAATGGGGTTATTTTTGTTTTCCTTGCTGATTTGTTTAAGCTCCTTATAGATTCTGGATATCATTTATTTGTTGGAGGCATAGTTTGCATATATGTTCTCTCATTCTGCAGGTTGTCTATTCACTTTTTTGATTATATCTTTTGCTGTGCAAAAGTATTTTTCATTTAATTAAGTCCCATTTCTCTATTCTTGTTCTCATTGCACTTCCTTTTGAGATCCTAGTCATAAATTCTTTGCCAAGGCCAATGATCAGTAGAGTTTTTCTAGATTTTCTTCTAGTATTTTAATAGTTTCAGATCTTACATTTGAGTCTTTAATCCATCCTGAGTAAATTTTTGTATATGGTAAAAGATAGAGGTCCACTTACCTTCTTCTGCGTATTGCAACCCAAATTTCCCAGTACCATTTATTGAATAGGGTGTCCTTTCTCCAGTGTATGTTTCCGTTGATTTTCTCAAAGATCGATTGGCTGTAGGTATGAAGCTTTATTTCTGAATTCTCTACTCTTTTCCATTGATCAATTTGTCTACTTCTATACCAATACCATGCTGTTTGGGTTAGTATAGCCTTGTAGAATAATTTGAAACCAGGTAATGTGATGCCTCCAGCTTTGTTCTTTTTGTTTAGGATTGCTTCAGCTCTTTGTGCTCTTTTGTGGTTCTATGTTAATTTTAAGATTTTTTTCTAATTCTGTGAAAAAATGACATTGGTATTTTGGTAGGAATTGCACTGAATCTCTAGATTGCTTTGAATAGTGTGGTCATTTTAACAATTTTGACTCTTCCAATGCATAAGCCTGGGATGTTTTCCCATTTCTTTGTGTCATTTACTACTTTCATCGGTGTTTTGTAGTTTTCGTTGTTGAGATCTTTCACCTCCTTGGTTAAACGTATTCCTACATACTTTTTGTAGCTATTGTAAATGAGCTTGCATTCTTGACTTGTTTCTTAGCTTGATCATTACTAGTATATGGAAATGCTATTGATTTTTATATGTGGATTTTGTATCCTGAAACGACTGAATTCATTTATCAAATTTAGGAGTCTTTTGGTAGAGTCTCTGGGATTTTGCAGCCGGAGCAATTAGGCAAGGGAAAGAAATAACAGACATCTAAATAGGAAAGGAAGACATTAAATTGTCTCTGTCTGCATATCACATGATTACATATATTGAAAATCCTAAAGACCCCAACAAACAATTGTCAGAACTAATAAATGGACTCAGTAAAGTTGCAGGATACAGAATCAACGGGAAAAATTCAGTAACATTTCTACACACTATTTAAAAAATACATCAAGAAAATAATCCAATTCACTATAGCTACAAAGATATGCTTGAGAATAAATTTAACATTTTCAGAGATGAAAGATCTGTACACTAAACGTTGATGAAAGAAATTGAAGACACAAATAAATTGAAAATCATCTTGTGTTCATGGATTGAAAGAATTCATATTATTAAAATATTGACACTACCCAAAGTGAGCTAGAGATTCAATGCAATTCTTATAAAAAATTCAATGACATTTTTCACAGAAATAGAAAGAAATCATAAAATTTGTATGGAACCAAAAAAGTCCCCAAATAGTGAAAGCAATCTTAAGCAAAAATAACAAATCAAAAAGAACAAAGCATTGCACTATTTGATTTCTTTTTTTTTTTTTTTTAGGGTATCTTTATTTTTTTTTTAATTTTTTTTTATTATACTTTAAGTTTTAGGGTACATGTGCACATTGTGCAGGTTAGTTACATATGTATACATGTGCCATGCTGGTGCGCTGCACCCACTAACTCGTCATCTAGCATTAGGTATATCTCCCAATGCTATCCCTCCCCCCTCCCCCCACCCCACCACAGTCCCCAGAGTGTGATATTCCCCTTCCTGTGTCCATGTGATCTCATTGTTCAATTCCCACATATGAGTGAGAATATGCGGTGTTTGGTTTTTTGTTCTTGCGATAGTTTACTGATAATGATGATTTCCAATTTCATCCATGTCCCTACAAAGGACATGAACTCATCCTTTTTTATGGCTGCATAGTATTCCATGGTGTATATGTGCCACATTTTCTTAATCCAGTCTATCATTGTTGGACGTTTGGGTTGGTTCCAAGTCTTTGCTATTGTGAATAATGCCGCAATAAACATACGTGTGCATGTGTCTTTATAGCAGCATGATTTATAGTCCTTTGGGTATATACCCAGTAATGGGATGGCTGGGTCAAATGGTATTTCCAGTTCTAGATCCCTGAGGAATCGCCACACTGACTTCCACAATGGTTGAACTAGTTTACAGTCCCACCAACAGTGTAAAAGTGTTCCTATTTCTCCACATCTTGTCCAGCACCTGTTGTTTCCTGACTTTTTAATGATTGCCATTCTAACTGGTGTGAGATGGTATCTCATTGTGGTTTTGATTTGCATTTCTCTGATGGCCAGTGATGATGAGCATTTTTTCATGTGTTTTTTGGCTGCATAAATGTCTTCTTTTGAGAAGTGTCTGTTCATGTCTTTCGCCCACTTTTTGATGGGGTTGTTTGTTTTTTTCTTGTAAATTTGTTTGAGTTCATTGTAGATTCTGGATATTAGCCCTTTGTCAGATGAGTAGGTTGCGAAAATTTTCTCCCATTTTGTAGGTTGCCTGTTCACTCTGATGGTAGTTTCTTTAGTTGTGCAGAAGCTCTTTAGTTTAATTAGATCCCATTTGTCAATTTTGGCTTTTGTTGCCATTGCTTTTGGTGTTTTGGACATGAAGTCCTTGCCCATGCCTATGTCCTGAATGGTATTGCCTAGGTTTTCTTCTAGGGTTTTTATGGTTTTAGGTCTAACGTTTAAATCTCTAATCCATCTTGAATTGATTTTTGTCTAAGGTGTAAGGAAGGGATCCAGTTTCAGCTTTCTCCATATGGCTAGCCAGTTTTCCCAGCACCATTTATTAAATAGGGAATCCTTTCCCCATTTCTTGTTTTTCTCAGGTTTGTCAAAGATCAGATAGTTGTAGATATGTGGTGTTATTTCTGAGGGCTCTGTTCTGTTCCATTGATCTATATCTCTGTTTTGGTACCAGTACCATGCTGTTTTGGTTACTGTAGCCTTGTAGTATAGTTTGAAGTCAGGTAGTGTCATGCCTCCAGCTTTGTTCTTTTGGCTTAGGATTGACTTGGCAATGCGGGCTCTTTTTTGGTTCCATATGAACTTTAAAGTAGTTTTTTCCAATTCTGTGAAGAAAGTCATTGGTAGCTTGATGGGGATGGCATTGAATCTGTAAATTACCTTGGGCAGTATGGCCATTTTCACGATATTGATTCTTCCTACCCATGAGCATGGAATATTCTTCCATTTGTATCCTCTTTTATTTCCTTGAGCAGTGGTTTGTGGTTCTCCTTGAAGAGGTCCTTCACATCCCTTGTAAGTTGGATTCCTAGGTATTTTATTCTCTTTGAAGCAATTGTGAATGGGAGTTCACTCATGATTTGGTTCTCTGTTTGTCTGTTGTTGGTGTATAAGAATGCTTGTGATTTTTGTACATTGATTTTGTATCCTGAGACTTTGCTGAAGTTGCTTATCAGCTTAAGGATATTTTGGGCTGAGACAATGGGGTTTTCTAGATATACAATCATGTCATCTGCAAACAGGGACAATTTGACTCCCTCTTTTCCTACTTGAATACCCTTTATTTCCTTCTCCTGCCTGATTGCCCTGGCCAGAACTTCCAACACTATGTTGAATAGGAGTGGTGAGAGAGGGCATCCCTGTCTTGTGCCAGTTTTCAAAGGGAATGCTTCCAGTTTTTGCCTATTCAGTATGATATTGGCTGTGGGTTTGTCATAGATAGCTCTTATTATTTTGAAATACATCCCATCAATACCTAATTTATTGAGAGTTTTTATCATGAAGGGTTGTTGAATTTTGTCAAAGGCTTTTTCTGCATCTATTGAGATAATCATGTGGTTTTTGTCTTTGGCTCTGTTTATATGCTGGATTACATTTATTGATTTGTGTATATTGAACCAGCCTTGCATCCCAGGGATGAAGCCCACTTGATCATGGTGGATAAGCTTTTTGATGTGCTGCTGGATTCGTTTTGCCAGTATTTTATTGAGGATTTTTGCATCATTGTTCATCAAGGATATTGGTCTAAAATTCTCTTTTTTGGTTGTGTCTCTGCCCGGCTTTGGTATCAGAATGATGCTGGCCTCATAAAATGAGTTAGGGAGGATTCACTCTTTTTCTATTGATTGGAATAGTTTCAGAAGGAATGGTACCAGTTCCTCCTTGTACCTCTGGTAGAATTCAGCTGTGAATCCATCTGGTCCTGGACTCTTTTTGGTTGGTAAACTATTGATTATTGCAACAATTTCAGCTCCTGTTATTGGTCTATTCAGAGATTCAACTTCTTCCTGGTTTAGTCTTGGGAGAGTGTATGTGTCGAGGAATTTATCCATTTCTTCTAGATTTTCTAGTTTATTTGCATAGAGGTGTTTGTAGTATTCTCTGATGGTAGTTTGTATTTCTGTGGGATCAGTGGTGATATCCCCTTTATCATTTTTTATTGTGTCTATTTGATTCTTCTCTCTTTTTTTCTTCATTAGCCTTGCTAGTGGTCTATCAATTTTGTTGATCCTTTCAAAAAACCAGCTCCTGGATTCATTGATTTTTTGAAGGGTTTCTTGTGTCTCTATTTCCTTCAGTTCTGCTCTGATTTTAGTTATTTCTTGCCTTCTGCTAGCTGTTGAATGTGTTTGCTCTTGCTTTTCTAGTTCTTTTAATTGTGATGTTAGGGTGTCAATTTTGGATCTTTCCTGCTTTCTCTTGTGGGCATTTAGTGCTATAAATTTCCCTCTACACACTGCTTTGAATGCGTCCCAGAGATTCTGGTATGTTGTGTCTTTGTTCTCGTTGGTTTCAAAGAACATCTTTATTTCTGCCTTCATTTCGTTATGTACCCAGTAGTCATTCAGGAGCAGGTTGTTCAGTTTCCATGTAGTTGAGAGGCTTTGAGTGAGATTCTTAATACTGAGTTCTAGTTTGATTGCACTGTGGTCTGAGAGATAGTTTGTTATCATTTCTGTTCTTTTACATTTGCTGAGGAGAGCTTTTCTTCCAACTATGTGGTCAATTTTGGAATAGGTGTGGTGTGGTGCTGAAAAAAATGTATATTCTGTTGATTTGGGGTGGAGAGTTCTGTAGATGTCTATTAGGTCCACTTGGTGCAGAGCTGAGTTCAATTCCTGGGTATCCTTGTTGACTTTCTGTCTCGTTGATCTGTCTAATGTTGACAGTGGGGTGTTAAAGTCTCCCATTATTATTGTGTGGGAGTCTAAGTCTCTTTGTAGGTCACTCAGGACTTGCTTTATGAATCTGGGTGCTCCTGTATTGGGTGCATATATATTTAGGATAGTTAGCTCTTCTTGTTGAATTGATCCCTTTACCATTATGTAATGGCCTTCTTTGTCTCTTTTGATCTTTGTTGGTTTCAAGTCTGTTTTATCAGAGACGAGGATTGCAACCCCTGCCTTTTTTTGTTTTCCATTAGCTTGGTAGATCTTCCTCCATCCTTTTATTTTGAGCCTATGTGTGTCTCTGCACGTGAGATGGGTTTGCTGAATACAGCACACTGATGGGTCTTGACTCTTTATCCAATTTGCCAGTCTGTGTCTTTTAATTGGAGAATTTAGTCCATTTACATTTAAAGTTAATATTGTTATGTGTGAATTTGATCCTGTCATTATGATGTTAGCTGGTGATTTTGCTCGTTAGTTGATGCAGTTTCTTCCTAGTCTCGATGGTCTTTACATTTTGGCATGATTTTGCAGCAGCTGGTACCGGTTGTTCCTTTCCATGTTTAGCGCTTCCTTCAGGAGCACTTTTAGGGCAGGCCTGGTGGTGACAAAATCTCTCAGCATTGGCTTGTCTGTGAAGTATTTTATTTCTCCTTCACTTATGAAGCTTAGTTTGGCTGGATATGAAATTCTGGTTTGAAAATTCTTTTCTTTAAGAACGTTGAATATTGGCCCCCACTCTCTTCTGGCTTGTAGGGTTTCTGCTGAGAGATCCGCTGTTAGTCTGATGGGCTTCCCTTTGAGGGTAACCCGACCTTTCTCTCTGGCTGCCCTTAACATTTTTTCCTTCATTTCAACTTTGGTGAATCTGACAATTATGTGTCTTGGAGTTGCTCTTCTCGAGGAGTATCTTTGTGGTGTTCTCTGTATTTCCTGAATCTGAACGTTGGCCTGCCTTGCTAGATTGGGGAAGTTCTCCTGGATAATATCCTGCAGAGTGTTTTCCAACTTGGTTCCATTCTCCCCATCACTTTCAGGTACATCAATCAGACGTAGATTTGGTCTTTTCACATAGTCCCATATTTCTTGGAGGCTTTGCTCATATCTTTTTATTCTTTTTTCTCTAAACTTCCCTTCTCGCTTCATTTCATTCATTTCATCTTCCATTACTGATACCCTTTCTTCCAGTTGATCGCATCGGCTCCTGAGGCTTCTGCATTCTTCACGTAGTTCTCGAGCCTTGGTTTTCAGCTCCATCAGCTCCTTTAAGTACTTCTCTGTATTGGTTATTCTAGTTATACATTCTTCTAAATTTTTTTCAAAGTTTTCAACTTCTTTGCCTTTGGTTTGAATGTCCTCCCGTAGCTCAGAGTAATTTGATCGTCTGAAGCCTTCTTCTCTCAGCTCGTCAAAGTCATTCTCCATCCAGCTTTGTTCCGTTGCTGGTGAGGAACTGCGTTCCTTTGGAGGAGGAGAAGAGGCGCTCTGCGTTTTAGAGTTTCCAGTTTTTCTGTTCTGTTTTTTCCCCATCTTTGTGGTTTTATCTACTTTTGGTCTTTGATGATGGTGATGTACAGATGGGTTTTCGGTGTGGATGTCCTTTCTGTTTGTTAGTTTTCCTTCTAACAGACAGGACCCTCAGCTGCAGGTCTGTTGGAATACCCTGCAGTGTGAGGTGTCAGTGTGCCCCTGCTGGGGGGTGCCTCCCAGTTAGGCTGCTCAGGGGTCAGGGGTCAGGGGTCAGGGACCCACTTGAGGAGGCAGTCTGCCGGTTCTCAGATCTCCAGCTGCGTGCTGGGAGAACCACTGCTCTCTTCAAAGCTGTCAGACAGGGACACTTAAGTCTGCAGAGGTTACTGCTGTCTTTTTGTTTCTCTGTGCCCTGCCCCCAGAGGTGGAGCCTACAGAGGCAGGCAGGCCTCCTTGAGCTGTGGTGGGCTCCACCCAGTTCGAGCTTCCCGGCTGCTTTGTTTACCTAAGCAAGCCTGGGCAATGGCGGGCGCCCCTCCCCCAGCCTCGCTGCTGCTTTGCAGTTTGATCTCAGACTGCTGTGCTAGCAATCAGCGAGATTCCGTGGGCGTAGGACCCTCTGAGCCAGGTGTGGGATATAGTCTCGTGGTGCGCCGTTTCTTAAGCCGGTCTGAAAAGCGCAATATTCGGGTGGGAGTGACCCGATTTTCCAGGTGCGTCCGTCACCCCTTTCTTGGACTCAGAAAGGGAACTCCCTGACCCCTTGCTCTTCCCAAGTGAGGCAATGCCTCGCCCTGCTTGGGCTCGCACACGGTGCGCGCACCCACTGGCCTGCACCCACTGTCTGGCACTCCCTAGTTAGATAAACCCGGTACCTCAGATGGAAATGCAGAAATCACCCGTCTTCTGCGTCGCTCACGCTGGGAGCTGTAGACCGGAGCTGTTCCTATTCGGCCATCTTGGCTCCTCCTATTTGATTTCTATAGTACTCAAAACAGCATGGTACTAACAAAAAAACAAACACATAGACCAATGGAACAGAATAGAGAGCCCAGAAATAGATCTGCACATTTACAGTCAATTGGTTTTCATAAAAGATGCCAAGGACACACTATGGGGGAAAGAACAGTCTCTTCAATAAATGGTGTTGGGAAAACAGGATATCCACATACAGAAGAATGAAATTGGACCCCATTTACACCATACTCAAAAGTCAACTCAATATATTTTGAGTTGAAACTATAAAACTAGTAGAAGAAAACAGAGAGAGAAAGCTCAACAGCACTGGCCTGGGCAATGATATTTTTTGCAAATGACCCCAAAAGCATAGGCAACAAAAGCAGAAATAGCCAAATGGCATTACATCAACCTAAAAAGCTTCTGCACATCCAAGGAAACAGTTAACACAGTGAAGAGATAACCTATGGAACGGGAGAAAATATTGCATACTATATATCAAATAAAGGGTTAATATTCAAAATACATAAGGAACTCAAACAACAATAGCAAGAAAACAAATAGCCCAATTTTTAATATAGGCAAAGGATCTGAATAAATGTTTGTCTTAGATGTATGAAAAGAGGCTCAACTTCATAAATAATCAGAGAAATTCAAATCAAAACCACAATCAGATATTACCTCACACCTGTTAGGATGGCTACTATCAAAAAGATAAAAGATAGGTGTTGGCGAGAATGTGGAGAAAAGAGAACTCTTTCATACGGCCATTATAAAAAACAGTATGGAGGTTCCTCAAAAATTAAAAATAGAAATACCATATAACCCAGCAATCCCACTACTGTGTGTACATGCATCCAAAGGAAATGAAATCAGTATGTTGAAGAAATATCTGCATTTTCATGTTTATTTCAGCATTATTCACAATAGCCAAGATACGGAATCAATTTAAGCATTCATTGGTGGATAAATGGATAAAAAGATGTGGTATATATACACAATAAAATACTACCTGGCCTTAGAAGAAAAGGAAATCCTGCCACTTGCGACAACATGGAGGACATTATCTTAAGCAAAATAAGCCACACTCAGAAAGACAAATACTCTACAATCTCATTTATATGTGGAGTGTATAAAAGTTGGACTCATAGAAAGAGAGTAGAATGGTGGCCAGGAAGTGGGAGGATTGAGGAGATGTTGGTCAAAGAATATAAAATTTCAGTTACACAGGAAAAATAAATTCAAGAGATCTATTGTACAACATGGTGAGTATAGTTAATAACAGTGTTTTATATATTTAAAAATCGCTGAGAGCAGAATTTACGTGTTCTCAGCACAAAAATTGAGATGTGAGGTAATGCATATGAAAATTAGCTTGATTTAGCTATTCCCCAATGCATAAATATATCAAGACATTCTGTTGTACACCATAAATACATATTATTTTTATTTATTTATTATAAACAGAGCATGGATTCCAAAGCCAGACTGCCAGATTTAAAACCCAGGTCCACCATGAACCCAGCTTGTAGTAGTAGCTATGTGTAAGTTACTTCAGTTCTCTGTGTCTTGTTAGCTAACACCTTGCAGATGCTAATTGAAGCCCTAAGACTAGATGATACTACAAAAGGAGTGATGTATCTAGGGAAGACAAGAAGTCTAACGACTGAGATTCAGCATACTGGGTTCATGTCTTTCCACTGACTCTCCACACATCTCAGGCAGAAGGTATATGTATCAGAATCTTGAAGGAGGGAGGGGAAATGAAGCAAGCAGTAAACCATAAACTGCATATGGTCATTTGAAACATTTGGTCCAGCAATTATGCTATGCCATCTCATTGGGTTCAAAATCCCTGCTATTGACTAAAAGTCACAGGGTAAATAATTTCTTTCTATACCTTTGGAATAGAGACAAATTAGTGACTTGGCTATTTGGTGCCCTTATCTCATCTTTATTGGAAATACCTAAGTACATTTTCAAAACAAGCAAACATATCAGAGATTATTCTTACTGTATGATTTGCTGATTTTTAACATTTTATTATACCATTGATACAAAAGCCAGTATTTACTTTGCATTTATTATACAGTGCTTTGCATATTAAGGATATTTTTGCTGGTACATATGTCTTGTCTCCTGAACTAGATTGAATACCACATGTAAGTCATTTGCTTTTTGATGGAAATCCATGCAACACACTAACCCAATGAGTAAATTTTCCAACTCAGAAACTGTTACATCCATGTCTTCAGTGCCTGCTGTGGTCTGAATGTTTGTGTCCCCCTGAAATTAAAATGTTGAAATATTAATATAACCACTAATGTGATAGTATTAAGTGATAGGGCATTAGAGAAGTGATTAGGTCAGGAGGGCTCTGTCCTCTTGAATGGGGTTACTGGCCCTATAAAAGTGACCTAAAGGAAAATGTTAGTCTCTTCTGCCATGTGAGGACACAGCAAAAAGTTGCCATATTTGAAGCAGAGAGGTAGCCTTTAGACACTGAATGTACTGGAGCCTTGATCTTGGCCTTCCTGACCTCAAGAACAGTGAGAAATAAGTTCTGTTGTTTATAAATTACCCAGTCTAAGGTGTTTTATTATAGCAGTTCAAATGCATTAAGACAGTGCCCATTTGCCTTCGACCCACGGAGAGTGACACTTCTGGAAAGTGAGGTTCTGGTTATCATAAGCTACTTCTCCATTACTTTACCCTTCTAATGCAGCAACCTCTAGCACATATTCCTTATCCAGAATACTGCGGAGCTATACACATAATATTTGTATACTTTAAAATATGCAAGCTATATCTCAATTAAAGAATTAAAAAAATCTGCAAAATTAATTGAATGAAAGAGTCACCTAAATTAACTGCCCCACAGAAAAATATCAAATCATTCTTAGACTTTTGCACATAGAATACTGATTATTTTTTAAATAAGGGCATAAAATAGGAGAAAACCATAAATAAGGTTAGAGAAAAAAGGTTCCCACACTAACTAGAATCCTAAAGGTTAAAAATCTAAAGTTTATTGAATATATGTACTGGTTGTTCAGTGAGGCTATCACTGTGTTTAAGTATAATGTAGGAGGGAACAGTTTGAACTTTGTAGGAGAACAAGGGGCTCTGGAATTCAGTATGAGCCATACCGAAAGCAATCTGTCAATTAGGCCTTCTCGAAGTGGAACAACCTACTCTGAACTCTTAGGAATGCTCTCTCTAAGGACAAATAACACTGCTTCAGGAGCAGTTGAGGTGCCAGGCCAGCTATTTCTATAATAATGGAGTAAAGGGCAGGATTTGGGATTTATGGTGAAAAAGAAAGAATAACAAATCATTAATAGCCATTATCAGTACAGCATGAGTCACTTGAAATATACTACCACCAAACACCCAAACCAAGCAGCACATTAGTCACGAGAATGCCAGTTGTCTGAGGTGTCCCATTAAATCTTCAAGCTATAGACAAGAAGCTCAGTACGCAGGAAGGAGGGCCACCACTTTACTGCTCCATTTAGCCTTCAGAGGGAGCACATCTGAGTTTTAACAATTATCTCAGAGGTGTAGCTCCAACCTCATTTCCATTCTCCAGCCATCTGTAAAAACTTATAATTTTACAAAACAAAACTCTCATGTATCTGTGTCTTTTCATACATTTTTTTCCTGCCTGGAATACCCTTTCCTTTTTATAGGCACAACATATTTCCTTCAAGTCTTTTCTCAAATATTCCCTCTTCCATGATGTTCGTCTGTGCCCTACAAGTACTGTGGTTTCCTCCAGCTCACAGCAATCTAAGGGCTCTTTGGACAACAGTCTTAGACGTTACCACATAGGATTATTAGTGTCTGTTTAGCTCTCTGTCTTCTGCACAGGACTATAAGCAACTTGAGAGAGTGGTCTCTTCATCATTGTAATCCCATCCCTGGTATGGTAATTGGCACATAGCAGATGGTTGACAGCTGTTTCCTGATTTAATAAATATTTCTGTGAGATAGGCAGAGCAGGTATTTTCAGCAATGTATCCCAAAAGAAGAGACCGAGACCCAGAGAAGAGAAATGCCTTGTCCATGGTTACACTGCTGATCTGTTCCAAAGGTGGGATTCACACCCATGGCTCTTAATTCCTTCTCTGATGTTTATTCCATTACAACAGAGTTTCTACTCTGTCTAGGGGTAGCATCTAAAATAGCTGGGTTCTTTGGAACAAGAGGGACACTTACTTTGACCTGTAAATCCCTCTGTTAGAATGAACTTTTAAACAGACTCAATTTGCCTGGAGACCAGTTTCTTGCTTGGAGAATAAAGGCAGTCCTTGTTATTTCAAGGCCATGATTTCCACATGGAACTGGCAAAAATGAAATAAATGTGAGGAAACTTCTCAGGAATACTTTTTTCCTCCCCACCTTCCAGCTCAAATGTTAGTTCCCCTGTGAAGCCCTGCCACACATCTGGGTCCATGTCCCCAAGTTTCAGTGAATCCTGTAATTTTTAGCACATAGCACTTCACTGTTAGCTTTATGTGAAACTTCCATTATGCCTTTTGGTACAGTGAATGATGTGCCCTGTCTTTCCTCCTAAGATATGAGCTCTTGGAGGGCAGGAGCTGATGTCCTTGCATGAAGTGCACACAGTAATTTGGGATTGACTGAGGACTTACACCATTATTTCCTTCTCACCTCATTGTAAGCTTTCTCAGAGACCAAAATGAACCACTCCATCTCTTCTATGCTCTTACTTCTGTTCATTAGAGTGAGATTCACTAAGTGTGGCTCTGTGAGTCAGTTGCTAGCTTAATGAATAAGAAACTACAGGTGGAATCCCCTAGAGCAAAAGCCATTACAAAAAAAAAGACTGTGTGAAACAAGCTATCAATGCTTGGTTGATCTGATTACATTAAATCCTATACAACTAACAGTGTGGCCCAAATGCTTTCCCTGGTTCCTGGCCATTTCAGAGGCAGAGTCTATAATGAAAACACAAGTGCAAGCCATTTGCATCTAAATAAGTAGGAGAAGAATTTTACTGATGAAGTTTGTGGGAGGAGGGCTCCTGACATGCAGAATTTAGCCTTCACATAGTTTGTCTTTGGAATATTCAAAGCACATAAAACTGACTCAGTCATACAATAAAAAATTTCATGGTCTCAATATGATAGCAACCCTCACTCAATTGGTTCAGAGCACCACTTTCCTCTTGATTATTAAACATGGAGAAACTAGCGCCTATTTCCTTTGAGCTAAATGCAGGACACTATTACTGTGTAACGTAACCCATAGCTGACATTTTGTGCAATGTATTCAGTTTTACAAAATCCCACTGTGTCAATGTTTTCCTGAGTTCCAGACCTGCATTTCCAACTGCAGCTTGTCGTGTCCACTTCAGATTTGTTATTTAAAATTGATAGGCCACACCCTCCCTTATTAGAGGAAATGATGGGATGTAAAGGGGAAAAAAGGTTTTCACTAGCAGAATGACTTGGGTCTCTATACCAGCTCTGCCACTTATTGGTGGTGTGAGTTTGCTCTATTGAAACTTCAGTTTACTAAGTGTAAAAATAGGGATGTTAACAATAAAAATGAAAACACTTCACAGAATGCCAAGAAGTATATCAAGCAATTTACATGCCTTATCGCATTCACTTCCTGCAATGGTCTATGAGGCAGGCATTGTTATGATTTGCCTTATTTTACAGAGGAAGGACCAGGAGCAGTCTTACTGCAGAACCCACCTTCTTAATAACCATGCTATATTATGCTTCTGTAGTATATACACATGAACATTGCTGTGAGGATTAAATTTAACAAATACATGTGAAGCAACTAGCACAACAGGTGGCATATAGCAAATCCCCAAGATATGTAAACTCTCTAACCCCTCCTCTCTCCAAAATATCTCCTTCTTCTCCTATAATGAGTTTTTGTTGTGGTGGTTGTTGTCGTTAATAATTCACTCAGTATCCAGGGAGAATATGTCAGGGACATTCTCAACGCACCTTTTTCCTCGATACCCTATATCCAGTTGGACTTCAACATCTATTGAAAACGTCTCTCATTATACTTGCCCTTCTTCTTCCACTCTCACTTCTCACTGCCTTTTCTTGGACCTCTGTCATTCCTTCCTGGACTATGAAAGGGTCTGTTAACTAGTATTTCTATTTATCTTCCAGAATGCAACCAGGGATTTCAATTTAAAAAAAAAAACTGGGATTGGCAAACACTTGCCAACTGTTCACCAAATCCACTTTCTCATTTTCTTGGTAATGTTTCTTTTCCCACCATGTCCATGTGACCTCATTCTAGTTAAAGTAACGTCAGTAGACATGAGTATGCCACTCAAGGCCTGGTCTATAAATACCTCCCATATACAATCTGTCGTGCTCTTTCATCTTCTACTGACTTAATACAAATAAGCACAGTGGTCTTGAAACAAACTTGCACGTTGTGCACATGTACCCTAAAACTTAAAGTATAATAATAATAAAATTTAAAAAAAAAAGAAAACCATGTGTTGCACCACTTGGAAATGAGCCGCTTGTCAATGGGGAACACCTGCTTTGAAATTTAAGGAGCAAGAAATACACTTCTATCATGTTTGAACTGTTATTCATTTTGGGGTTCAGCAACTTGTGTTATCACAAATTCTCTTGTCATGTCTTTCACTTTAAAAAATACATTATGTTGGTCAAAGGATGCATATTTATAATTAGGTAGGAGTAATAAGTTCAAGTGATCTATCATACTGCATGGTGACTAGCTGACAATAATGACGATATATTGCATTCTTGAAAAATGCTGACAGTGGATGTCAAGTGTTCTCATCACAAAACGTTAACTATGTGAGGTAATGCATTTGCGAATTAGCTAGATTTAATTATTCTGCAATGTATATGTACTTAACATCATGTTGTACACAGTAAATACAATTTTATATGTCAATCAAAACATAAATAAATCTGTAAAAACAATAATGCTTCCCTGTAACTACAGGATAAACATATTCTGTATCACTTCTTCACTATCATCCCTCATCTGTCATGCACAAATCCTTCCAAATAGGTATGCTATTTGGCTATATTTCCTACTCCCTTTATCACTGCCATGTTCCAAAATCTTATTACTCCTCTTTGTTCTACGGAAATGTTAACAATTGGGTCATCATTTATATTACACCCCTAATACTTCCATTATCCTAGGCAACTTATTTACTTGTAGAAACCAGCCATACAACCTCCTGAACTCCACACTTCCAATTAGGCACCAAGTGCCATCAATGTTACCTCTTGAACATATTGTATGCCCACAATTCTTCCTCAAAACCTAATTTAGTGGAAAGAGCAGTAACATGAAGCTAGAATAAGTGTTGTGAAGATTAGAGATGTTTTACGTAAAGTACCTAACAAATAGTAGGTGTTCAACACATAGTATACTACATATACACAGTATATATAATACGTAGTTGTCATTAGGATTATCATTTGAGTATTATGGCAGCTTCTTAGCTAGGTACCTCATCTTCAGCCTTGCCTTCCTCTAATCTGCCTCCTACACTGCTCCCAGAGTGATCTATCTTAAATGCAAATTTGTTTGATTTCTTCCTCCGCAATAAAGTCTTTAGTGGATCCTCATCATGTTTATGCCAACATAGCGTATAAGCCCCTCTCCCCACCTCGGACTGCTTTCCTGCACTGTACTCTGGTCCAATCACACTGAACTTTTAGTCCTTCAATGTATCATCACTACCTTCTCCTCTCACTCTTCAAGCCTTTATACATGCTATGCTCTATCTCTGCAATGTTTCCTCCCTGTCTTTTAATTTACTTCTACAGATCTTTTAGGTCTCAGAAATCATTCAGAAGGTGATATCCTCTGGAATTTATTGTGGCTATACCCCACAGACTCATTTCACTGTCCTTGTTAGATGCTCCCATAGTACTCTCTCTTTCCCCTATCATGTCTCACAAAGAAGCATGGATTTTCTGATGCATGATGTCGATTCATGAATACATGTCTTTGTGTATACTATTTCTTCTGCCTGGAAAACCCTCCTCTACCTCAGCCCTGTCTCTCATTTGTTTGACAGTCACCTACACTTCCTTCAAGATTCAAGGGACAAACTATGCAGCACCTCCTTTTGCAGCTTTCTTTGATAACCCTATATCATTTTAGATGTGACTTCTCCTGCGATTCTATCACATTTTGCACCTCCATTTCAGGAATTTTATATTATTGTGCAGCTATCTGTGCACAGGTCTCTTTAACTGTAGAGTCATTAAGAGCATGACCTGTGCCTTATTTATCTCTGTAGCTCAGCAGATATTCCAGAACTTTAAACATAGTAAGCACTCGTGAATGTGCTGATGAATGTTTTAAGTCAATAGGATAAAATCTAGTTAAATTCCATAAATAGTTCTCCTTCATATTCAGATAGTCAATAGGACTTTTTTACTATATTATATATTATGCAACATTTATATACAACGAACATGTTTACCCGTGTCCTCATATACAAATAATATGACATTAATAGAGATGAAGTTTTCTATATATCCATACCTGAATAATAGAACATATTTTATAAATGTGTGTATCATCTCGGGCTGGGCTCTGCTAATTATCTATGCATTGTTCCAATTTTAGTATGTGTGCTGATGAAGTAAGCAGCAGGTAACGGGTTTTAGCCTGTATTTTTACGGTTGTTCTGAGGTCCCAAGATGAGGCAAAGCAAGGCTTCTTTCTAAACTGCCCTAGTTACATACCCATGCAATGCTTGCTCAGATTTTAGTAGGAAGCTGTCCTTCTGTAGTTTTCCCATGGACTCCAGATAAGATTCCTGAGGGTCAAAATAATAATAGGGGTGCTATAGAATAACACTTTCTGAAAAATTCTAAGTGTTCTGCAGACCTTATTCAATTTGTGCTTTTCATATGCCTGCAAGACTGGCAGCAGCTACATTATTATCAGACTAGAGAAAGTGAACGGTTTGTGACTTGAGAAAGGTCACTAGGTGAATCAATTGTGGGGCTGTAAAAAGAGCCAGGCTTTTATTTTTCCATTTTGAGCCTATGTCTCCCTCCAGGCCCACCTTCCTGGATCCAAGGTGCTACTGTGTAGGAAACCGATGGCTTCATCATGCTTCTGTGCTTCTGTACTTCCTCTATTCTGTAAAACAGAATAAGCACAAGGGCATTCTACATAGACTCTAATCTCATCGAACTTGACTTTCTTGTCCAATTCAGACTAGAATAAAGGGCCCAATTATCATCATCTTCCCATTCATTCAACTGTATTTCAAGGAAACTAATCCTTTGCTCGGCTTCATCCTCTGCCCTCCTCAACCTGCACCTTCTATTTTTTTGTATTTCAATATTCCCATCCTCTCTCCTTTCTTCTCTCTTCTCTATCCCTCCTCCAAAACTTAAACCTATTCTCTATGCTTTATTCCTTTTATTGTTGTTTCTCCTCTATCCTGTTCTTTTCATTCATTCTCTATTTCTCCTCACTATTTGCAATCTCTACTGGGTTCAGATCCTTTCCTGCCCATTACTCTCTCCTTCCTCTTGCTTCTCTTCCATTTGCTTACTGTCTTCTGCCCATCCACATCTCCTCCTCATTATTCTGTCCCTCCATCCACCTCATTCCATACAGCTTCTTTTCTGTTTACATATACTCCACTCCATTCTTTCCACAATTGTGTGAACTCTTATCTCTTTTTCAAACTCTTCTCTTTCCTATAATTTATTACAAGCATGCCTCTCTTCCATCTATTCCTTCCCTAATGCTCTGTTTCCCCAAATTCTCCTTGATATATGACACTCATTCATACCTTTTCTCTGTCCTATCCTCCCCACCTTCATTTCAACATTTATATATAACCTCATAACCTTTCATGCAATGTGAGAAGAGGTGTCCCTCTTCCTTTCAAGTAAAACTCTAACTGTAGATTTGATATCATCCCCTTGATGGTATTTATGAGAACTTGCTGTCAGCGATGTGTTATTTCTCCTATATCTTCTATCTTTGTCTTCCTACTGACTCTTTTGTACTACCTCACAAATATGTGTCAATCTCTCCTCTGAAAACAAAAGCAATTTCTTTTACCCCTGAATGTAGCTATGATACCTCCCTCCCTTTCATTTTTCAAACAAGCTTCTCGAAGGTATTTTCTATGTGCACTATCTCCCCACTCCAACTCCTAAAACTCTCCATTGCACTAGCCACTCTATTGAAACAGTGTATGTGAAGAACACTAATATCCTCCATGTTACCAAACTTAAGACAGACTTTTAAGTCTCTATATTACATCTCTTTTTATAGCCAACAATGTTGTAAAAAATGTGTAAACAGGGTAAAGTGCATGAACTTGCAGCTACACTACCATATTAATAATGCTGGCTCAACCATCTACTACCCAAGTGAACTTGAAAAATTCTGTTACCCACGTCGTGTCTCAGTTTTTTTTTATCTGTAAAGTTGGGATAATAGTACCTATCTCATACTGTTGTTAAAGCTGTTATGAATATTATAAAAGAATGATTAGAACAGTGTCTGTCATATTTTAAGTACTATATTGATGTTAATTAATAATACTTATACTATTAGTGGTGTTATTATTGATAACTCTCATTGTTTTGAAACTTTAATTTATCAGTCAAGATGGGTTAGATTAATATGCAGTAGGAAACAATCTGAAAATCTCAGTGTCCTAAAGTAACGGAAGTTTATTTCTCACTCACACTACCTCTGGTTGGGGAAGTGGGACCCACTCGCTTCTATGTCATCTTCAATAAGGGGCATAGAATGATAGGGCCAAGACCACCTGGCATAATGCTACTTACTGTGGCCAGGGGAAGGCAACATGGCAAATTATGTATTGGCTCTTGAGGGGCTTCCCATCCTCTCTCAGAGCTGACACATACTATTTACACTCACATTTGGTTAGCCAAAGCAAGTCATTTGTCCATGCTGAACTTCAAGGCTCAGGGAAGTGTAGTACTACTTTGCATCCAGATGGAGGTGAAGTGAAAATATTGGCAAGTGGTAATATTGACTACCACACTTAGCTTTCATGATACTGCACATTGTTAACAGCTCCCTGACATTTTCTTCCTGGTTTCTTTCATAGGTTCCTCTTTCCCCTCCACTGCCTTACTGATAGTAGTTCTAGATGACTAGATACCTGGCATGAAATTCTTCTTACTCTATACTCTTTCCTGAAGTGATGACATCCATTTTCACGTTTCCATTTGTTCCAATATACTAACAATACCACACTTTATATCTCTACATTGTATCTCTCTCCTGATCTTAAGACTTGAATATCTAACTGCTGTTAAGACTTCTTTCCCTGGATAATCTACAATCACCTTAAGCTTATCTTGTCCCAAATTAACCTCACAGACTTATCTAAATTTGTCCTAACTTTCATATCATCTACTCCAGCCTATAGTACCATCTTTCACCCATGTTATTTGGATACCTACTACCTTCACAACTCCTCCTCTCTGTCATTCTGAAGTTTTCTATATTTACTGCCGATTTCCTTAACATATCGTCACTTCTCCATCTTAATCCATTGTTCTGAATTAGAACACCACTGCTAATCTAGACTATTTCAGCTGTTTCTTAATCATTTTATCTAATTCCAGTCTTTTTACCTTCAAATGCATTATTTACCCAGTAACTACAGAGCCATATATGAAATAGAAAACTGACCACCTCAGTCTCTTGCCTAAAATATGTCCTTCCATTCCCTGCAACTGCTCACTTGGTTTTCTCTGTCTAGAACGTCCTTCCTCTCTTCCTTCTGCCTCTACCTATCCACCTACAAGTTTCTTGACTGCATTCTACTTACATAATAATATAAAATGCTAATGCTAATACCAATAATCAGAAGCCTAGCTGTTGCCTTATCCAGGGACTCTTCTCTCAACCTGTCCCAAAACAATGAGTTAGATGACCCTGCTCTATATTCCAATAACTACCCATCTCTTTAGCATTTTAGTTAACATAATTTGCTATTATCCTATTAGTCTTTCTCCCCTATTATATTGTGATTATCTTAAGGACAGAGATTATGTCTCATTAATGTTTGCATTTCCAGAATTTACTTTAGGGTCATGTATATATTAGGAAGTCAAAACATGTTTGGCAAATGAATAAATGAGGGAAAGCTTCTCTTTCTTTCGTCTACAATTTCCCTCCCTCTTGTTCATCTCCTCCCATGTCCCTTCCCCTACTTCTCTATGTCTTTTCCTCTTTATTCCCATCTACTACATCCACTTCATTATATTCGCCTATCTCTTTAGAATATCCTAATATCTAATCTAGCTTCTTTATTTTACACCATCTTATCCTTTGTCTTCTCAACTTCTCTACTCTTTTTGTCCTCTCTTCTCATACTCTCTTTCTTTTCACCATTCTCATTTCTCCAATATACATGCCTCTATGTACTCTGTGTAATTAGTCTTCTCCTCCCCTCTTGACCCTCATCTTCCCACTTCTATCCACTTTCCTTCTTCATTATTTTATCCTCCACTCTATGCTCATTTCTCCTCTATGTTCATTTTTCCTCCCATCTCTCATCCAACTTCTCTCTGAAGTATTATCCTTTTTTCCTTGACCATCTCCTCATCTTCCAAATTCTTGTAGGAAAAACACCAATAAATAGCAAATTTGAAGTAATGAGAGATTAGTATACAGACAAACACACTTCATTTATTCACCACCTATTTACCAGGCATGCATTATTTGAGGTTTGTTCTGCAAAATAACAAATACACCAATTCTAAATAGCCATAGAAGCTCCACTACACAAAATTAGCACTCATTAATGTGGAAGGAAGCTTCAGGAAGTGACAACTGATATCGGAGGAACAAGCAAATTCATAAAAAAGCAAACCCAAAAACCAAGAATGTTTTTCAGTATTGGGGAAAGAATCTTATTGCACTGAAAATTTTTTCAAATTTATTCTTTTTGACAGCAAAATTCAATGCCTAATAACTCTATGACAGTAACAAGTTATGAAATACATAAAATTGTGATGTTTTTATCCATTGGGAGTTGGAAAAGTATGAAATATAATTTATATTTTATGAAGATTTCTATATCTATATATACACACACACATATGCACACACATATAAACACCATGTATAGATAGATAGAGATATAATCTTAAATTGTTTGGAAAATTCACTTATTATCATCCTCAGTATCCTAAGGTAATGTAGCATAAAATAAACATATTCAAATAAATAAAAAATTAAAATAAGTATTTTTAAATTTATGTTTATAAAACACTGTATGTTTCACAAAATACCCATAGTTATCTCATTTGATTCTCACAACTCTGCATCATAGGGATAGTTTGTTGTTGCAGTTAAACCTAGTCAATTCTAATTATCAGCGTTCATGCCTGTGTGTATGTTTTTGTGAATCTGTGTATTTAAGTGTCCTTGAATACATTATGTCCTTCTGTGTTAGTCCACATGTGTCTTTAGGTATGCATGCATATACAAATCATGAATGTATACCTCTGTGTTTCTCAAAATGTTCATCTATGCAACTCTTTATTTATGTGTTTATTAGAATATATATGTCTGTGAGTATGTATGCATGCAATTGTATTAGGAAGTATATACATACCTGTACATTTCTAATCTATACACTTGAGGGAATTTTCAATGGATACTCTAAAACATTCTGCTTTCAAGCCCAGTCCTACTCCCAATATACTTTGGGTGGGAACCACCACTCTCTGACCTCATTGTATAGAGGAGGGTTCCGTTGTCCACCAATCTGAGCAGCTTGTTGGGCGTGGTCATGTTATGAGCCACTGATTTCTTGCCATTGTGGAAGAAGGTGTCCGGTGTCCAGATCTTACTAGCCAGGAGATTGTTCAGTGGAAGGATCTTCATGGGGCCATCAAATTTCAGTCTTTCATCATGCCATGTCTGCCGAAAAAATACATCAATAGTGTACTCCTAGGGGTGAAAAGAGAGAAAACAATGTTTCAGTTGAGTTCTGGTAAGGGCTCATAGTGCCCTTAGCAAATATTAATTACCTTGCAGTATTTCCTCTGATGCAGAGAAGCAGCAGTCTATTAACAGTAGCTCCTGGTGTGTAAGGAAAATGATTATGATTGAGAAATAATGCCATGGAGATTAATAAGCATGGGGATAACATATTTGACAAGGCATTTTTAAGGAAGACAACTGCCAACACATCCCCACACAGCACACAAGCTGATCATAAGACTTTGCCTTATGAAAAGGCAAGTGCTCCCTCCTGTATGCAGTGACACCCAAATAAGAACAAGTTTCTTACCTTGTCTCTACTGCTTAATGACCCCATATGAACATCAAAGGCCAATATAAAAATCGCCACAAAACCAAAACCTTACATTTTATCGTACATTTAATCTGAGCCTCAAAATAACAATATGTCTGATTAGCAAATAGCTTATTATCCTCAATAAATAATGAAATATTATAGATAAATAAGATAAAAAACATACCTTATAGACAAATAAGATAAAAATGGGTAAATGAACAGCAAAGTCATGAAATGGATAAAAATTGCTAATAAACGTGAAGAAAATATTCAAATTTGCTGTTTATCTAAATACAAAATAAATGAACAATAAATGTTCCAGGTATTGGTAACAGCATAATAAATTGTTTGATTACATTTTCTTGTAGCTATTAATTATAAAACCTGAACAACAACTGTATATACCTGTATTCCTTGAAAGCAGTGGAGCGTGACTGAAAGCAGACAGAAACCTAAGGTGAGTTTACCTTTGAAAGATGGCAGCAGCAATAGATTAGAATTGTGAGTTTGTGATTTTTCTTTCTTGAAGGTGCTTCCCAAACCTAGAATTCCTGTGGCATATACAACACCCTTACTGGCTCAAGGTGGCAGAGAATCTGGACCATTAGGGATGGAAGACTCAAAAGTAAGAGAATCCCAGAAGGGATGGGCCTCCAAATCTGAATATATATTCTGCCGAAAAATTCCGGCTGATCACTATACTACACACAAATAGGAGAGACCCTGGGGCCCAGTTAAAAAAAATAGGCAGAAACAATAAGATAGTGGTCCACTAAATGAAAGAAATGAGCTGGGTGATGTTTGTGAATTTGCTACGATTTAGACTGAAGGAATTCCTTAATCCATCACAATTCAAGTGGAGGAAATCTGAAAAAGTATTAGCTTATCAGAGAATAAGCTCTGGATTGGAAGATGGAAATTCATGAGGATGTCCTGGGAACAAGAGAACCACTGAGAGGGTGAGTCCCAAAATCTGAGTATAACATCTGCCCAAATATTTGACCACTGAACTACACAAGGCACAGGGGACACTTCCAGATAGCCAGGTTAAAAGAAATGAAAGCCAGAATTTGCTGAATATTCTTTGGTTTAAAATCCCCTAATGGCTTCCAATCGTATGTGGGATGAACTTTTCCTTGCCATAAGCTGGCCCTTGCCTTCCTCTCTGAGTTATTCTCCAAACACTCTTTCCTTTAAAGATTAGCCATTCTGGCATTTCTCTTCCTTTAGTAGACCAAAAACATTCCTGCCTACAGATTTAAAGATCATATAATTGGTTGCCTAAACTGGAACACTTTTAAGAGGAAGAGGAGGCAGGACTGTGGCAGATGAGAAGCTGGAACTAGACTTTCACATAAAGCCAAGAATCTGTTAAGAGCTTAGCAAAAGGGTAAACTAGATCAACTTAACTAGACAAAATCAGATCACAACACAAAAGTTCAAAAAGGAAGAGGGAGGAGTTGAGGAGAAAGTGTTTCTACTGAAATGTAGCAACCTCAAAATTCTAATCATATGTGGGATTGACATCCGAATATATACTGTCTGCCTGATCTGAAGTTTACAAGCTGAAAACTTAACACAAAAATTGGTCTTAAGCTGGGTATACCACTAGATTGACTTGCCAAAGCAAACACACAAAAAACTGGAAGGACAGAACCACAAATTAATGCTTGCTGAAAATTACTTCACTGTCCTTAATGACAAAACACCTAAGGAAATGGTTACAAGTAAGGGTCAACAGATACAAGATAAAACTGAATTAGAGCCCCTCCAAGGACTTCATATAACATAATTATCCAGTAGTGATTATGAAAAAAACTATAATTAAAATTATAAAGGTTATGAGGGGAAGGGAGAAAGTAAAAGCAAATTTGAAAAAGATATATCTAATTGAAGTTGACTTTCTGTAAAAGAAAAATAGTCATTGAAAATAAAAGTTCAGTGGGTGTGTTACATTGAAGATTAGATATTATGAAAGAGATATTAGTGAACTGGAAAATACATATGAGGAAAAATTGCCCAGTTCACATTTAAGACATATAACTGATAGGAAATATGAAAGGGAGATATAGTACTATGAAGGATAAAAACAAAAGTTTCAGTATACGTGTATTACGATTCTAAATGTGAGAGATTTGAGAAAATAGGGGAGAAAAAATATTCAAAGTAGTAATGGACTACAATTTCCAGAATTGTTGAAATATATGCATCCTTAGCTTCAAGTACCATAATGAATTGCAAGCTCAATACATTACAATAGATCCCAGCCAGTACATAATGAATTTAAAGAATACCAAAGAAGAGATTTTTAAAATTGCAAAACAGAAAAGACATACTACCTACATAGATATGACCACTTGACTTATAACCACCACTTATGTTGACTTCTTAAATGCAACAATAGAAACCAAAAAGACAATAAAAATACACTTTGAAAATGTTGTTGAGGGCACAACAAGATGGCACAATAGAAGGCTCCACTGATTGTCCCTCCCCCACTCAGCAGGGACACCAATTTAACAACTATCTATACACACACAAAAAAGTACCTTCATAGGAATTAAAAATCAGGAGAGCACTCACAGTGCCTGATTTTAACTACATATCACTGAAAGAGTTACAGAAGAGGTAGGAAAAACAGTCTTGAATCACTGACACCACCCCTCCCCAATCTGCTGTCACTGGTGGTGTGGCATGGAGAACTGTTCTGTACACTGACGAGGGGGAGAACACAGCAATTGTGAGACATTGAACTAGTGCTGCCCTGTTACAACAGAAAGCAAAACCAGACCAAACTTAGCTGATGCCTGCCGATGGAGGGAGTATTTATCCTAGCCCTAGCCAGAGGGGAATCACTGATCCCAGCAGTTGCAACTTCAGTTTCCATAAGCCTTGCCACCTTGGGCTAAAGTGCTCTGGAGCCCTAAGTAAACATGAACAGCAGTCTAGGCCACAAGGGCAGCAACTCGTAGGTGATTTCTAGTGCTAAACTGGGCCCAGAGCCAGTGGACTGACTGTGGGGAGACATGTGACCTATGGAGACACCAGCCAGGGCAGCTAAGGGAGTGCTGGCTTCATTCCTCTCCTAACCCAAAGCTGCACAGCTCGCAGCTCCAAAAGAGATCGCTTCCTTCCACTCGAGTAGAGGAGAGGGAAGAGTAGGGAAGATTTTGTCTTGCATCTTGGATACCAGCTCAGCCAAAGCAGGACAGGGCAGCAGTCAGAGTTGTGAGGCCCTTTTTACAGGCCCTAACTCCCAGGTGACATTTCTAGAAACACAGCGGGTCAGAAGGAAACCCATTGCCTTGAAAGGAAGGAACGAACCCCGGCAGGATTTATCACCTGCTAACTAAAGTGCCCTTGGGCCCTGAATAACCAGCAGTGATACCCAAACACTATGTGGTAGGCCTTGGATTAGGCTCTGAGATTTGCTAGCTTCAGGTGAGACTCAGTACATTCCCAGCTGTGATGGCTATGGTACTAGACGCTTTCTGCTTGAAAAAAGTGGAGGGAAAAGTAAATGGGATTTTTTTATTCAATCTTCGGTACGAGCTTGGCTTCAGTGTGTTAGAGCATCAAGCAGGCTCTTGGGGACCCTGATTTGAGGACTTGGTTCCTGGACAGCATTTCTGGACCTGCCTTGGGCCAGACTGGAGGAGACT
This sequence comes from Homo sapiens, assembly GCF_000001405.40. Lineage (NCBI taxonomy): Eukaryota > Metazoa > Chordata > Mammalia > Primates > Hominidae > Homo > Homo sapiens. The sequence goes on from NC_000023.11 coordinate 152,260,010, forward strand.
GCCCTGAAAGGTGAGTCCCAGGCCAGGAAGTACTCAGTACAAGCTAACTGAAGAGCTTTTGGGCCTTAAGGGAACATCAGTAGTAGTCTGGCGGTACTCTTGTGGGGCGGTGGTGGTGGCCATGAGGTGAGGCTCCTCTGCCTATGAAAAGGGGAAGGTGGAGTAGGAAAGACTGCATGCTGTGGTTTAAGAGCCAGCTCAGCTGCAGTACAAGAGAAAAACCAGGTAGATTTCTATTTATGACTGTAGTCTCTGGCTCCCAGATGGCATGTCTAGATCTGCCAAGGGCCTGGAAGAATTCACCACCCCAAATGGAAGGACACAGGCCTGGCTGGCTTTGTCATATACTGATTGTAGAACACCAAGGCCTTGAGTGAACATAGGCAGTAGCCAGGAAGTAGTTACAGGAAGCCTTGAGTGAGACCCAATACTGTGCTGGGTTCAGGTCTGACCCAGCACAGTCATAGTGGTGGTGGCCATAGGGGTGCTTTTGTCACTCCACTCTCAGCTTCAGGTGGCTTAGAACATAGGGAGAGACTTAATTTGTTTGAAAGTTAGTAAGGGAAGCCAAGAAAAGTCTTTGACTGGTAATGCAGAGAATTCTTCTGGATACTGTCTAAGAACATTAAGGCAGAATCTCTAAAAGACTGCAAGAACCACAGTGTTACTGAGCTTGAGGTGCCCCCTAAAACAGATACAGCTTAGATCACAACACCCAAGTCCTTTCAAATATCCAGAAAGCCTTCCCAAAAAGGAGGGGTACAAACAAGCCCAGACTGAGAAGACTATGATAAATACCATACTCTTCAATGCCCAGACCTGATGAACATCTAGAAGTATAAAGACAATCCAAGAAAAACATGAACTCACCAAATGAACTGTATTACTCCATTCTCATGATACAAATAAAGACATACCTGAGGCTGGGCAATTTATAAAGGAAAGAAATTTAATTGACTCAAAGTTCAACATGGATGGAGAGACCTCAGGAAACTTACAATCATGGCAGAAGGGGAAGCAAACATGTCCTTGTTCACACAGTGGCAGCAAGAAGTGCCAGGCAAGAGGGGGAAAAGCCACTTATAAAACCATCAGATTTCATTAGAACTCTCTCACTATCATGAAACAGCATAAGGGTAATCACCCCCATAATTTAATCACCCCCACCAGGCCCCTCCTATGACACATGGGGATTAGGGGAACTAAAATTCAAGATGAGATTTGGATGAGGGAACAGCCAAATCATATAATTCCACTCCTGGTGCCTCCCAAATTTAATATCCTCACATTTAAAAGTACAATCATGTCCTTCCAACAGTTCCCCAAATTCTTAACTAACTCCAGCATTAACTCAAAAGTCCAAATTCAAAGTTTCATCGGAGACAAGGCAAGTCCTTTCCACCTATGAGCCTGTAAAATCAGAAGCAAGTTCGTTACTACCTGGATACAATGGGGGTACAGGCATTGGGTAAATGCATCCATTCCAAATGAGAGAAACTGGCCAAACAAAGGGGCTACAGTCCCCATGCAAGTCCAAAATCCAACAGTGCAGTCATTAAACCTTAAAGTTCCAAAATGATGTCCTTTGACTCCATGTCTCACATCCAGGTCATGCTGATGCAAGAGGTGGACTGCCATGGCCTTGGGCAGCTCCACCCCTGTGGCTTCGCAGGGTACAGCCCCCCTCCCAGTTGTTTTCATGGGCTGGAGTTGAGTGTCTGTGGCTTTTCCAGGTGCATGGTGCAAGCTGTCAGTGGATCTACCATTCTGGGGTCTGGAGGATGGTGGCCCTCTTCTCACACTTCCACTATGCGGTGCCCCAGTGGGAATTCTGTGTGTGGCCTTCAACCCCATATTTCCCTTCCACACTGCCCTAGCAGAGGTTATACATGAGTGTTCTGCCCCTGCAGCAAACTTTTGCCTGGACATCCAGGAGTTTCCATACATCCTCTGAAATCTAGGTGGAGGTTCCCAAATCTCAATTCTTGACTTCTGTGTACCTGCAGGCTCAACATCTTGTGGAAGCTGCCAAGGCTTGGGGCTTGCACCGTCTGAAGCCATGGCCTGAGCTGTACCTTGGCCTCTTTTAGCCACAGCTGGAGCTGAAGCAACTGAAGATGCAGGGCACTGTCCCCAGGCTGCATGGAGCAGGGGGTTCCTGGACCTGGCCCATGAAACCATTTTTTCCTCCTAGGCCTCTGGGCCTGTGATGGAAGGGGCTGCTGTAACGGTCTCTGACATGTCCTGGAGATATTTTACCCATTGTCTTGGTAAATAACATTCTGCTCCTTGTTACTTATACAAATTTCTGCAGCCAGCCTGAATTTCTTCCCAGAAAATGGCTTTTTCTTTTCCATCACATTGCCAGTGTGCAAATTTTCCAAACTTTTATGCTCTGTCACCTCTTGAATGCTTTGCCACTTAGAAATTTCTTCCACCAGATACCCTAAATCATCTCTTTCAAATTCAAAGTTCCACAGATCGCTAGGGCAGGGGCAAAATTTCACCGGTCTCTTTGCTAAAGCATAACAAAAGTCATCTTTGCTCCAGTTTCCAACAAGTTCCTTATTTCCATCTGAGACCACCTCAGCCTGGACTTTATTGTACATATTGCTATCAGCATTTTGGTCAAAGCCATTCAATGAGTCTCTAGGAAGCTCAAAACTTCCCCACATCTTCCTGTTTCTGAGCCCTCTAAGTCTCTAGAAAGTTCCAAACTTTCCCACATTTTTCTTTCTTCTTCTGAGACCTCCAAACTGTTTCAACCTCTGCCTGTCATCCAGTTCCAAAGTCTCTTCCACATTTTCAGGCATCTTTACAACAGTGCCCGACTCTCTGTGATACCAGTTTACTGTATTAGTCCATTCTCACACTGCTAATAAAGACATATCCGAGACTGTAACTTATAAGGGAAAGAAGCTTGATTAAATCACAGTTCAGCATGGCTGGGGGGGCCTCAGGAAATTTACAATTATAGCAGAAGGGGAAGCAAACACATCCTTCTTCACATGGCGGCAGGAGAGAGAAGTGCCAAGCAAAAGGGGGAAAAGCCCCTTATATCTCTTGAGAACTCACTCACTATCACAAGAACAGCATGAGAGTAAGCACCCCCATGATTCAATTACCTCCAACCGGGTCCCTTCTGTGACATGTGGGGATTATGAGAACTACAATTTAAGATGAGTTTTGGGTGGGGACACAGCTAAACCACATCATAAACTAAATAAGGAACCAGGGAACAAACCTGGAGAAAGAGATATGTGACCTTTCAGAGAGATAATTCAAAGTAACTGTGTTGAGGAAACTCAAAGAAATTCAATAACACACAGAGAAGGAATTCAGAATTCTATCAGATAAAATTAACTGAAATAGTTAAAAAGAATCAAGCAGAAATTCTCGAACTGAAAAATGCAATAGGCATACTGGAGAATGCATCAGAGTCTTTTAATAGTAGAATGAGTCAAGCAGAAGAAATAATTATTGAGCCTGAAGACAGGCTATTTGAATGTACACAGTAATAGGAGACAAAAGTAAAAGGAATAAAAAACAATGAAGCATGCTTTCAAGAACAAGAAAATAGCCTCAAAAGGGCAAATCTAAGAGTTATTGGCCTTAAAGAGGAGGTACAGAAAGAGATAGAGGTAGAAAATTTATTGAAAGGGACAATAAAAGAGAATATTCCAAACCCAGAGAAAGATATCATTATCCAAGTACAAGAAGGTTATAGAACATCAACCAGACTTAACTCAAAGAAGACTACTTCAAGAACATTTCATAATCAAACTCCCAAAGGTCAAAAATAAAGAAATAATTATAAAAGCAGCTAGAGAAAAGAAACAACATGCAATGGATCTCCAATACATCTGGCAGCAGACTTTTCAATGGAAACCTTACAGGACAGGAGAGAATGGCATGACATATTTAAAGTACTGAAGTAAAAAAACTTTTACCCTAGAATAGTAAATCTATTGAAAATATCCTTCAAACATGAAAAAGAAATAAATAATTTCCCAGAAAAACAAAAGCGGAGGGATTTCATCACAACCAGACCTGCCCTATAGGAAATGCTAAGGGGAGTACTTCAATCAGAAAGAAAAGAACATTAATGAGTAATAAGAAATAATCTGAAGGTACAAAACTCCCTGGTGTTACTAAGTACACAGAAAAACACAGAATACTATAACATTGCAGCTGTGCTGTGTAAACTACTCTTATCTTCATAGAAAGATTCAATCATGTACTAATCAAAAATAATAACTACAACAACTTTCCAAGACATAGACAGTAGAATAAGATATAAATAGAAACAACAAAAAGTTAAAAAGTGGGGGAACAAATAAGGTATAGAATTTTTATTAGTTTTCTTTTTGCTTGTTTGTTTGTTTATGGGAACAATACTAAGTTGTCATCAGCTTAAATAACGGGGCATAAGATAGTATTTGCAAACCTCCTGGTAAACTTAAACCAAAAACCATACAATGGATACTTAAAAAGTAAAAAGTAAGAAACTAAATCATATCATCAGAGAAAATCACCTTCAGTAAAACAATCACAAGAAGGGAAGAAAAAAGGAAGAAAAGACCACAAAACAACTAGAAAACAAATAACAAAATGGCAGAAGTAAGTCCTTGCTTACTACTAATAATGCTGAATGTATATTGACTAAATGCTATAATAAAAAAAATACAGTGGGTGAATGGATGAAAAAAGCAAGAGCCAGTGGTCTGTTGCCTAAAAGAAACACACCTCACCTTTAAAGACACATGTAAACTGAAAATAAAGGGATGGAAAAAGATATTCCATGCAGATGGAAAGCAAAAAAGAGCAGGAGTAGCTACACTTATATCAGACAAAATAGATATCAAGAAAAAAACTATAAGAAGATACAAAGAAGGTCACTATATAATGATAAAGGGTTCAATTCAGCAATAGGAAATAACAATTGTAAATATATATGCACCCAATGCTGGAGCACCCAGAAATATATAGCAAATATTATTAGAGTTAAAGAGAGAGATGGAGCCCTATGCAATGATGGCTGGAGAATTCAATAACTCATTTCAACATTGGACAGATAGTCCAGACAGACAATCATCACATAAACATTGGACTTAATCTGCAGTATAGATCAAATGGACCTAATAGATATTTACAGATCTTTTCCTCCAATGGTTGCAGAATACACATTTTTTTCCTCAGCACATGGGACATTCTTAAGGATAGACCCTATGTTAGGCTGCAAAACAAGCCTTAAAACATTAAAAAAATTTGAAATAATATCAAGCCTATTCTCTAACCACAATGGAAAAAAACCAGAAATCAATAATAAGAGGAATTTTGGAAACTACACAAACACATGGAAATTAAACAACATACTGCTGAATGACCAATGGGTCATTGAAGGAATTAAGAGAGAAATTGAAAAATTCCTTGAAACAAATGATAATGCAAACACAACATACCAAAACCTATGGCATGCAGTGAAAGCAGTGCTAAGAGGGAAGTTTATAGATATAAGTGCCTCTACCAAAAAGGAAGAAAAACTTCAAATAAACAACCTAACAATGCATCTTAAAGAACTAGAAAAAACAAGAGCAAACCAAGCCCAACATTAGTAGAAGAAAAGAAATAATAAAGATCAGAGCAGAAATAAATGAAACTTTAATAAATAAAACAGCACAAAAGATCAATGAAAAACAGTAGGTTTGTGAAAAGATAAACTTGATAAACCTTTAGCCAGACTAAGAAGAAAAGAGAGAATAATGAAATAAAATCAGAGATGAAAAAGGAGACATTAAAACTGATAAGGAAGAAATTCAAAGGATCATTATTGGCTACTGAGAGCAACTATTTGCCAATAAATTGGAAAATCTAGAAGAAATTGAGAAATTCTAAGACACATACAAACCTACCAAGATTGAACCATGAAGAAATCCAAACCTGAACAGACCAATAACAGGTAATGTGATCAAAGCCATAATAAAAAGACTCCTAGTAAAGAAAAGCCTGGGACCTGATGGCTTCACTGATGAATTCTACCAAACATTTAAAGAAGAACTAATACCAATCCTACTCAAACTATTTCAAAAAATAGAGGAGAAGGGAATCCTATATCAAGAGCATTCTACAAGGCCAGCATTACCTTCATACCAAAACTAGACAAAGACACATAAAAAAACTACAAGACAATATATCTGATGAATATTGAGGCAAAGATTTTCAAGAAAATACTAGCAAACCAAATTCAACAACACATTAAAAAGATCACTCATCATGTCCAAGTGGGATTTATCCCTGGGATTCAAGGATTGTTCAACATATGCAATTCAGTCAATGCGATACAGCATATCTATAGAATGAAAGACAAAAACCATATGATCATTTCAATTGATGCTGAAAAAGCATTTGATAAAATTCAACATCCCTTCATCATAAAAACCCACAAACCTGGGAAGAAAATGTTGACAGAAAAGTAACGATCACCTCAGAATTCTATAGCCAAACTTAGATTACCATTTAAGAGTGAAGTCAAAATAAAGATAATTTTAGATAAGTAAAATAAGGCAGAGAATTTACCATGAACAGATCTTCACTGTTGCTCCAGGTTTTCTCATGGCTGAATCACTCACAGCCTTCAGGTTTTAATCAAAAGTTACTGTATCCGAAGCATTGCTTGAACATCCTATCATTAATAGTAATCTCCCTTCCTCTTACCATGAGTTATTTTTCTTCCTTATAGCACTGAAAAAAAAATATTTTTTTATTTGTTTACACTGCACTAGCCAGCTTCCACTAGCCTGGAAGCTCCATGACAGCAGGGACTTTGTTTTGTTTACTGCTATATCTACACCACATAAAACTCTGCATAGCGTATAGCAGATGCTCTATAAGAATTTTAAATCAGTAGATGATTGAATGAATTATCATGAAAAGAACTACTAAAAGAAGATCTTCATGTGTTTAAAAATATAGCCAGCAGAAAGATGCAAAAAGGAATGGTGAGCATAAGTATTGACACAGTTATCCTAAACAAATATGAATATCTACAAATGACAATAAGAGCTGTAAAAACAAAGTGGAACAAATAACTACATTAATTCAATTTTTTCACTGTTTAACACAATGTTAACTGTGGGTTTGTCATATACGAGCTTTATTATTTTGAGTTATGTTCCTTCTATGTCCATTTTGTTGAGGGCTTTCATCATAAATGGATGTTGGATTTTATCAAATTCTTTTTTGGTATCTATTAAAATAATCACATGGGTTTTTGTTCTTGACACCCTTAATGTGATGCATCACATTTATTAATTTGTATATGTTGAACCATTCTTGCATTCCTGGGATGAATCTTACTTGATTATGGTGAATAAACTTTTTAATGTATTGTTGTATTTGCTTTGCTAGTATTTTGTTGAGGATTTTTGTATCTAGGTTCATCAGTGATATTGGCTTCTAGTTTTCTTTTTTTGTGGCCTTGTATGGTTTTAGCATTGGGGTAACATTGGCCTTGTGGAATGAGTTTGGACATATTCCCATCTCTTTAAGTTTTTGAAGAGTTTGAGTGAATTGGTATTATTAATTTTTTAAATGTTTGCTGGAATTAAGCAATGCAGCCATCAGGTCCTGGGTTTTATTTGACAGGAGAAATTTTATTATAGCTTCTATCTCATCACTCATTATTGGTTTATTGGGGTTTTCTCTTTCTTCATGGTTTAGTCTTAGTAAGCTGTATGTGTCAAGGAATGTATCCATTTCTTCTAGTTTTTCCAATTTATTGGTGTATAATTGTTTATAATAGTTTGGAATTATTCTTTTTATTTCTGAGATCTCACTTGTGCTTCCTTTTTCATTTCTGATTTTATTTGGGTCTTCTCTCTTTCTCTTAGTGTAGCTACAGGTTTGTTGATTTTATCTTTTCAAAAAAACAAGTTTTTTCATTGATCTTCTGTATATTTTGTTTTAATTTCATTTATTTTTGCACTGATCTTTACTATTACACCTACTAATTTGGGGTTTGATTTGTTCTTACTTTTTTTTAGTTTTTGAAGTGCATCATTAGGTTTTTTTTGGAGTGTCTTTCTATTTTTTTCACTTAAGTGTCTATTGCTGTAAACTTTACTCTTAGTACTGCTTTTACTGTATCCCACAGATTTTTTTTATGTTGTATTTCCACTTTTGTTGTTTCAGTACATTTTCAAATTTGCTTTGTGATAAGGTTTTGCTCTGTGTCCCCACCCAAATCTCACCTTCAATTGTAATAATTCCATGTCATGGGAGGGACCCGGTAGAAGGTAATTGAATCATGGGGGTGGGTTTTTCCCATGCTGTTCTCCTGATAGTGAATAAGTTTCATGAGATAAGATGGTTTTATAAAGGGGAGTGCCCCTGCACATGCCCTCTTCCCTGCCACCATGTAAGATGTCCCTTTGCTCTTCCTTTGTCTACCACCAGGATTATGAGGCCTCCTAGCCATGTGTAACTGTGAGTCCATTAAACCTCTTTCCTTTATAAATTACCCATTCCTGGGTATGTCTTTATTAGCAGCATAAGAATGGACTAATACACTTTGCTTTGAGATGGGGTTTCACTTTGTCACCCAGGCTGGAATGCAGTGGCATGAACATGGCTCACTGCAGCCTCAATCTTCTGGGCTCAAGTGATCCTCCCACCTCAGCCTCCCAAGTAGCTGAGACTATAAGTGCATGTCACCACACCTGGCTAATTTTTGTACTTTTTGTGTAGAGATGAGGTTTTGTGATGTTGCCCAGGCTGGTCTTGAACTCCTGAGCTCAAGGGATCGGTGTGCCTGGACCACCCAAAGTGCTGAGATTGCAGGCATGAGCCACTGTGCCTGGTCTTAAATTTACTACTTAATTTTTTCATTGGCTTATTGGTCATTCAGGAACATGTTCTTTAATTTCCATGTGTTTGTGTAGCTTAAAATGTTCATCTTGTTTCTGATTTCTAGTTTTATTCCATTGTGGACAGAAAAGATACATGATATAAATTCTATTTCCTTGAAATTGTTCAGACTTGTTTTGTTGCCTATGGAGCATCATTTGCAGATAATATGATCTTATACCTAGAAATACCTAAAGACTCCAACAAAAAATTGTTAGTACTGATAAATGAATTCCATAAAGTTGCAGGATATGAAATCAACATTCAAAAACAGTAACATTTATATATGCCAATGTCAGACAAATCAAGAAGGCAATCCCATTTACAATAACTGCAAAAAATGCAAAATACCTAAAAATCAATCTAACTCAAAAATAGAAAGATCAATACAAGGAAATTTAAAAACTGATGAAAGGAATTGAAGGGGCACAAAAAATGGAAAGATATACCACACTCATTGATTGACAGAATTGATATTGTTAAAATGACAATATTACACAAAGCAACTTACAAATCAATGCAATCCCTACCAAAAATACCAATGACATTCTCCACAGAAAAAGAAAAGACGAATCCTAAAATTTATGTAGAATAACAAAAGGCCTTGAATAACCAAAGCAATCCTGAGCAAAAAGAACAAAGCCTGAGGCATCACAGTATCTGACTTCAAAACTTACTGTAAAGCAATACTAAAAAAACACCACATCATGGTGCTGGCATAAACAGAGATACATAGACTAATGGAACAGAATGGAGAACCCAGATATAAATCCACACATTTACAGAAAATTCCTCTCCAACAAAGGCAGCAAGAACATACAACAGGGGAAGGAAAGTCTCATTAGTAAATAGTGCTGGGAAAACAGAATAACCCATATGTGGAAGAAATAAACTCGTCCCCTATCTCTCATCACACACAATAATAAAATCAAAATGGATTGAAGACTTAAATTTAAGACTTAAAATTATGAAACTACTGGAAGAAAACATTGCGGAAATGCTCCATGATACTGGCCTGGGTACAGATGTTTTATATAAGACTCAAAAGCATGGACAACCAAAGTAAAAATTGACAAGTGGATTACATCAAGTTCAAAAGCTTCTGCAAAGAAAATGAAACAATCTTCACAAAGTGAAGAGACAACCCACAGAACAGGAGGAAATATTTGCAAAATATCCATACGATATGGTTTGGCTGTGTACCCACCCAAATCTCATCTTGAAATGTATTTCCCATAATCCCCATGTGTCGTGGGAGGTAATTGAATTACAGTGGCAGTTACCCTCATGCTGTTCTTGTCATAGTGAGTGAGTGAGATCTGATGGTTTTATAAGAGGCTTTCCCCCCCTTTACTTGACACTTCTCTCTTCTGCCAGCATGTGAAGAAGGACGTGTTTGCTTCCCCATCTGCCATTACTGTACGTTTCCTGAGGCCTCCCCAGCCATGCTGAACTGTGAGTCAATTAAACCTCTTTCCTTTATAAATTACAGTCTTAGGCAGTTCTTTATGGCAGTGTGAGAACGGACTAATACAGTACCTTAGTACCAGGAGGTACTAGGGTGCTGCTGTAAGTATACCTGAAAATCTGGAAGCAACTTCGGGACTGGATAACAGGCAGAAGGTGGAACAGCTTGGAGGGCTCAGAAGAAGTCAGAAAGGCCAAGTGCAGTGGCTCACACCTGTAATCCCAGCACTTTGGGAGGCCAAGGCCAGTGGATCACTTGAGGTCAGGAGTTCAAGACCAGCCTGGCCAACGTGGTGAAACCCCGTCTCTACTAAAAATACAAAAATTAGCCAGGCACGGTGGCATATGCCTGTCATCCCAGCTACTTGGGAGGCTGAGGTAGGAGAATCACTTGAACCCAGGAGGCAGAGGTTGCAGTGAGCCAAGAACGCATCACTACACTTCAGCCTGGGTGACAGAGTGAGATTCCAACTTAAAAAAAAAAAAAAGACAGGAAAATTTGGGAAACTTTGGAACTTCCTGGAGACTTGGAGGCCTGAGAAGACAGGAACATGTGGGAATGTTTGGATCTTCCTAGAGACTTCTTTTTTTTTTTTTTGAGAGAAAGCCTCGCTTTTGTCCCCCAGGCTGGACTGCAATGGTGCAAACTCAGCTCACTGCAATCTCTGCCTCCCGGGTTCAAGCGATTCTCCTGCCTCGGCCCCCAAGAGTAGCTGAGATTACAGGCACCTGCTACCATGCCTGGCTAATTATTGCATTTTTAGTAGAGACAGGTTTGCACCATGTTGGCCAAGCTGGTCTAGAACTCCTGACCTCAGGTGATCCACCCGCCTAGGCCTCCCAAAGTGCTGGGATTACAGGCATGAGCCAATGCACCTGGCCTCCTAGAGACTTCTTGAATGGCTTGGACCAAAATGCTGATGATGATATGGACAATAAAGTCCAGACTGATATGGTCTCAGATGGGGTTGAGAAACTTGGGGGGAACTGGAATAAAGATAATTCTTGCTATGCTTTAGCAAAGAGACTGGTGGCATTTTGCCCCTGCCCTAGAGATCTGTGGAACTTTGAACTTGAGAAAGATGATTTAGTGTATCTGGCAGAAGAAATTTCTAAGCAGCAAAGTGTTCAAGAGGAAGCAGAGTATAGAAGATTGGAAAACGTTCAGCCTGAAAATGTGATAGAAAAGAAAAACCCATTTTCTGGGGAGAAATTCAAGCTGGCTGCAGAAATTTGTGTAAGTAATGAGGAATTGAATGCTAATTGCCAAGACAATGGGGAAAATATTTCCGGGGCATATCAGAGACCTTTATGGCAGCCCCTCCCATCACAGGCCCAGAGGCCTATGAGGGAAAAATGGTTTCCTGGACCAGGTCCAGGGCCCCTCTGCTGTATGCAGTCTCAGGACTTGGTGTCCTGCATCCCAGCCACTCCAGCTGTGTCTAAAAAGGGCCAATGTATAGCTCGGGCCATTGCTTTGGAGGGTGCAGCCCCCAAGCCTTGGCAGTTTCCATGTGATGTTGAGCCTACAGGTGCACAGAAGTCAATAATTGAGGTTTGGGAACCTCTGTCTAGATTTCAGAGGATATATGGAAACTCCTGGATGTCCAGGCAGAAGTTTGCTGCAGGGGTAGAGCCCTCATGGAGAACCTGTGTTAGGGCAGTGTGAAAGGGGAATGATCGAGTTGGATCCCACACACAGGTCCCCACTGGGGCACTGCCTAGTGGAGCTGTGAGAAGAGAGCCAGCATCCTGCAGACCCCAGAATGGTAGATCCATGGACAGCTTACATCATGCACGTGGAAAAGCTGCAGGCACTCGATGCCAGCCTGTGAAAGCAGCTGGGAGGGGGACTGTACCCTGCAAAGCCATAAGGGTGGAGATGCCCAAGGCTGTGGGAGCCCACCTCTTGCATCGGCATGACCTAGATGTGAGACATGAATTCAAAGGAGATCATTTTGGAACTTGAAGATTTAATGACTGCCCTATTGGATTTTGGACACGCATGGGGCCTGTTGCCAATTTGGCCAATTTCTCCCCTTTGGAATGGATGTATTTATCCAGCGCCTGTACCCCCATTGTATCTAGAAAGTAACTAACTTGCTTTCAATTTTACAGGCTCGTAGGTGGAAAGGACTTGCCTTGTCTCAGATGAGACTCTGGATTTGGACTTTTGAGTTAATGCTGGAATGAGTTAATAATTTGGGGGACTGTTGGAAAGGCATGATTATGTTTTGAAATGTGAGGACATAAGATTTGGGAAGGGCCAGGGGTGAAATGATATGGTATGGCTGTGTCTCCATCCGAATCTCATTTTGAATTGTAGTTTCCATAATCCCCACGTGTGGTGGGAGGGAACTGGTGGGAGGAAATTGAATCAGGGGGCAGGTATCCTCATGCTGTTCTCATGATAGTGAGTGAGTTCTCATGAGATTTGATGGTTTTATAAGGGGATTTTCCCCCTTTGCTTAGCACTGCTGTCCCTGCAACCATGTGAAGGGGGATGTGCTTGCTTTCCCTTCTGCTTTGATTTAAGTTTCCTGAGGCTTCCCCAGTCATGCGGAACTGTGAGTCAATTAAAACTTTTTGCTTTATAAGTTACCCAATCTTGGGCAGTTCTTTATAGCAGCAGGAGAATGGACTAACACACCATCTGACAAGGGATTAACAACCAGAAGATATAAGCCGCTCAAACAACTCAATAGAAAATATAAATAAATAAATAATCCTGTTTTAAAATGGGCAAAAGATCTGAATAGACATTTTTCTAAAGAAGACATACAAATGCCCAACAGGTGTATGAAAAACGCTCAACATCACTAATCATCAAGGAAATGCAAAACAAAACCACAACGAGATAGCACCTCATCTCAGTGAAAATGGCTTCTATCTGAAAGACAGGCAATTACAGATGCTTGCAAGGATGCGATAAAAGGGAAAGCTTATACACTGTTGGTGGAAATGTAAATTAGTATAAACACTATGGAGAACAGTATGGAGATTCCTCAAAATATTAAAGATAGAACTACCATATGATCCTGCAAATCCACTACTGGGTACATATCAAAAAGAAAGGAAATCAATATGTCCAAGAGCTACCTGTCCTCCCATGTTGATTGCAGCACTATTCACAATAGCCAAAATATGGCATTGACCTAAGTGCCCACCAATGGATGAATGCATAAAGAAAATACGGTATGTATATGTAATGAAATACTATTCAGCCTTAAGTATAATGAAATCCTGCCATTTGCAGAAACTTGGATGGAACTGGAGGTCATTACGTTATGTAAAATAAGGTAATCACAGAAAGACAAATATTGCATATTCTCACTTACATGTAGGAGCTAAAAAGTTTGAGCTAATGAAGATAGAGAATAGAATGATGATTAGTAGAGCAGGGGAAGGGTAGTAGGGAGGACAGATTACAGGACAAAAAAGAACAAAAGATATTTATTACCACTGAACTGTACACTCAAAATGGTAAAGATGGTAAAGTGTATATGTATTATTTTACCTCTATAAGTAAAATAGATAAATAAATATTACTGAAGGAAACACAATGTGGCTATATGCTATGTACATACAAGAGACACATCTGAAGACATAAAAACACAGAAGGTTTGAAAGTACTGTGATGGACAAATATGTGTAGGAAAATCATAAAGGTAGAGCTGTAAAGTACAGACAAAAGGGCATATTAAAAATCCTCTTTGAGATAAAATATCATTACACTAACAGATGGAGTATCTTGAGTGGAAAAAGTAACAACTCTAACTTTGTATGTTTCAATAACAGGTACTCAAAATATCTACTGCAAAAAATTGAATTACAAGGAAAAATCAACAAACCTTTAGACTCACGATAAGTGAAAGACCAATCAGACCAATAATTTGTAAGTTTAAAAAATTAGAACAACCCAGTTGGTAAGGATGAGCTAATAAACACTCATAAACTTATCTACTTAACACTTAGTAAAACACACACAGCATATTTACTTCCCACCCCACCCCCGACAAAAAAAAATGACCACGTGCTAAGACATAGGACAAATCTCAAGAAACACAAAAAGGTTTTACATCCTACAGATCATTCTCTTTCAATATGAGGCATTAAATTAAGAATCAATAACAAAAAGTTTTATAGTTGGAAATTGAAAAACACTAAAAAAATTTCAAGAAACAAAAAAGAAACCTTAAAGATTATTTGAAAATCTTTAGAAGTGAACAATAGTGAAAATGTTTACATATGAAATCTTGTTTGGGGCTCTTAAAGTGGTGCTTGGAGGGAAATTGATATTCATAAAGATGGCTTAAAGATAGCCTTTAAGGAAAAGGAAAACCAATAAGTTAATATACCTCAGGAAACCAAAAGGACCACAGAATACCCCAAGGAAAGTAAAGAAAGAGATGATCCAGATAAGAGCACAAATCAGTGAAACAGAAAACAAAAATAAATAATACAGATGATGAACAAAACAAAAAAAGGTTACTTTGAAAACACTAATGATATCAAAAATTTTGATAAGTTTAATTGAGAAAACGAGACAGGGAGAATTGTTATGGGTAGGGGTAAGAATATGGGTACATGGAGCCCAATTACACTATTTTTTTCTACTTTGGGGTGTGTGTGTGGCATATGTTTTACATATATATTTATTTATAGGATATGAATATATTTATAGAAATATATTCATATATATAATAAATGTATACATGTATCATATATTATTTAATTTAAACATTAAATATATATAATATAATATATATATTTAATATTATATATATAATTTATATATATTTAATATTATATATATAATTTATATATATAATATTATATATATATAATTTATATATATTTTATTATATATAATAAAATATATATAAATTATATATATAAATTATATATAATTTAATATTATATATAAATATATATAATATATAATATATATTTAATATTATATATAATAAATATATATTTTAAATATAAAATATATATTTACATATTTATTTTAAATGTAAAATATATATTTACATATTTATTTTAAATATAAAATATATATTTACATATTTATTTTAAATATCAAATAAATAGAGCTGGCTGTGGTGGCTCATGCCTGTAATCCCAGCACTTTGGGAGGCCAAGGCAGGCAGATCACAAGATCAGGAGTTCGAGATGAGCCAGCCTGGCCAACATGGTGAAACCCTGTCTCTACTAAAAATACAAAAATTAGCCAGGTGTGGTGGCGCGTGCCTGTAATCCTAGCTACTGGGGAGGCTGAGGCAGGAGAATCGCTTGAACCTGGGAGGCAGAAGTTGCAGTGAGTCGAGATCGTGCAACTGCACTCCGGCCTGGACAACAGAGTGAGATTCCATCTCAAAATAAATAAATAAATAAATATATTTATATCCTGTAAATAAATCATTTATATATATATTTATAGGATAGATATAGATGGCTAGATATGAATGAGAGACAGTTAATTTGGGAATACTTATGAACACACATACAAATACTAATAATAAAATAATAGTAAACCTAACTAAAACATGTATAAAAAGGAATACCTCCCTGTAAAATCCGATTTTTTTAAGGAATGAAAAGATGGTCTAATATTAGGAAATCTATTGATGTAATTAATAACATTAACATATTAGAGGAGAAAATTCATGCAATCATCTTAATACAGGCCAAAGGAAGAGTTACAAAATTTCAAATACATTCATTATTAAACACACACACACACACAGCCCACAGGAAACTTTAATACAAAAGTGGCAATATGAAGAAACAAGGTTGCCTAGAGTTTATACTTTTGCTGATGCAGGTGGTGGCAAAGCCATCTTGTCTTTAGTATGTACAGATTGACCACTAAACATATAAAAAGATGCTTAAACACCAAAGGTAATCAGAAAAATGCAAACAAAATAAATTAGATACCATGTTATACCCATCACAGTGTCAAAAATAAAGTATGACAATACGAAGCATTAGCAAAAGTGCAGAGAAATTGAGCTCTCATACACTGCTATTGAGATTATACATTGATATGATTCATCACAAGAGTATTTGGCCCTAAACTGAAAAAAGTTAAAAATGTGCAAGCCCTAACAAACCACAAATTTTATCTTTAGGTACACACCCTAAAGAAATTAAAAAATGTTCACAAAAATATGTGTACAAGAATGTTTGTTGTATTACTGCTTTTTAATAGCCAAAAAAGGAAACAGCCCAAATGCACATTAACAAGAGAATGGATGAATGTATGACCACATATTCATACAATGTAATAATCTTTGATAGTTAAAATAAATGAATTAGAGTAAAATACACAAAAAAGTAGAGTTTTTAATACGTGGTAAAAAATAAGTTGTATAATGATACACATGCTATGGATGAGTTTTATATAAAAGTTTCAAAACACAAAAGCCACTATTTGTTATTTATGAATGTATGTGATATACACATTCTTATTTATAAAGTATGCATATAAATGACAAAAAGACAAAAGCAACTTCACGGTTGTGAATATCTTTGAGGAGGGAGGGAAACAGGGAAATGGTATCAGGGTAAGGTACACAGGTAATTTTGCTTGTATCTTTAAATATTATTTTTTAGATAATATGCCATAAAAAGACATTTGACTCATTTTTAAGATTTTAAAAAGTTGGATGATCATATCTATTTTTTCTCTACACAGAGAAATTGACAGCCTAAAATAGAAAAAGGTTTTCATCCAGTCTGTGCCTCAGACTGCCAATAAGCGGGAGCTTGAAGTAGACATAGCTACTTTTTCTAGTACTAGAGAGAAAACAGGTACAATAATTTCAAGTCTATTGCCACCAGGAAAGAGATCCCTGTGCTACTCTCCTTTTAATTAACAGTTTTTTTTTTCTGCATGGTGTTTGGATACTAGGATAATGGCATAATTTTCATAAGCAGTTGCCATATCAGAATGTATGTTATCTGAATCTGTTATCTAGAATTATTACTATAATGTCTTTTTCTGTGTTATTTCCCAGGCTTCCATTTTATTTTTCTCATTAAGCTGGATGGTCAGTTCTTTTATTGTATTGTATACTTGCACCATTTTCCCCCCTGATTATCCACTGTATACCATAGGAAATTTTCTCTACACAGTCAAAACTACTGGGGAAAATCACAAAGTGATTATTTGCTCCACAAGTATTCCATGACCTTTGGCCAAAAGCAATCAGATTTTGACCTAACCATTCTAGAAATGTAATCAATTCCTTCCTTGCAAATTGATCCCTTGTATACGCTCCAAGGATGACTGCCTAGAAATTGACAAATGAATTCTGTTGTTTTGTGAGGCATTTAAATCACATCTTCCAGATAATAAGCCTGAGTCTGCCTCCTGGGAAAGACGCTTAATACATTTTCTACACAGGGCAGAGATGACACTTAGTTCTTGGGGAAGCATTTCTGTCTTGTTAGAGCTTGAATGGCTTCAACTCTCTAACACTGTTCGATGTGTCAAAGCAGGCTCCCAGATAAAGCCTGCAAAGTTTATTCAGCTTTAGCAGTGTATGGGGCCAAGGCACGTGATAACTGCATTACAATGAAGGCCTTGCCATTTTCCCATTACAAGGGCCACTCCCTCTTATTTTGGCCATCCCATCTTTCCTCTACTCTTCGCCTTCTCTTCATCATTCTCTATTTTGAAGAAACATAATTGATACGTTATTTCAGATGTATTTAGTCCATGAAATAGTCTTTTTTTTAAATTAAAGTTTTAGGGTACATGTGCACAATGTGCAGGTTTGTTACATATGTATACATGTGCCATGTTGGTGTGCTGCAACCACTAACTTGTCATTTAACATTAGGTATATCTCCTAATGCTATCCTTCCTTCTTCCCCCCACCCCACAACAGGCCCCAGTGTGTGATGTTCCCCTTCCTGTGTCCATGTGTTCTCATTGTTCAATTCCCACCTATGAGTGAGAACATGTGGTGTTTGGTTTTTTGTCCTTGCAATAGTTTGCTGAGAATGATGGTTTCCAGCTTCATCCATGTCCCTACAAAGGACATGAACTCATCAGTTTTTATGGCTGCATAGTATTCCATGCTGTATATGTGCCATATTTTCTTAATCCAGTCTATCATTGATGGACATTTGGCTTGGTTCCAAGTCTTCGCTATTGTGAATAGTGCCACAATAAACATACATGTGCATGTGTCTTTATAGCAGTATGATGTATATTCCTTTGGGTATATACCCAGTAATGGGAGGGCTGGGTCAAATGGTATTTCTAGTTCTAGATCCCTGAGGAATTGCCACACTGACTTCCGCAATAGTTGAACTAGTTTACACTCTCACCAACAGTGTAAAAGTGTTCCTATTTCTCCACATCCTCTCCAGTACCTGTTGTTTCCTGACTTTTTAATGATTGCCATTCTAACTGGTGTGAGATGGTATCTCATTGTGGTTTTGATTTCCATTTCTCTGATTGCCACTGATGATGAGCATTTTTTCATGTGTCTTTTGGCTGCATAAATGTCTTCTTTTGAGAAGTGTCTGTTCATATCCTTCGCCCACTTGTTGATGGGGTTGTTTGTTTTTTTCTTGTAAATTTGTTTGAGTTCTTTGTAGATTCTGGATATTAGCCCTTTGTCAGATGAGTAGATTTCAAAAATTTTCTCCCATTCTGTAGGTTGCCTGTTCACTCTGATGGTAGTTTCTTTAGCTGTGCAGAAGCTCTTTAGTTTAATTAGATCCCATTTGTCAATTTTGGCTTTTGTTGCCATTGCTTTTGGTGTTTTAGATATGAAGTCTTTGCCCATGCCTATGTCCTGAATGGTATTGCCTAGGTTTTCTTCTAGGGTTTTTATGGTTTTAGGTCTAACATTTAAGTCTTTAATCCATCTTGAATTGATTTTTGTCTAAGGTGTAAGGAAGGGATCCAGTTTCAGCTTTCTCCATATGGCTAGCCAGTTTTCCCAGCACCATTTATTAAATAGGGAATCCTTTCCCCATTTCTTGTTTTTGTCAGGTTTGTCAAAGATCAGATAGTTGTAGATATGTGGCATTATTTCTAAGGGCTCTGTTCTGTTCCATTGGTCTATATCTCTGTTTTGGTACCAGTACCATGCTGTTTTGGTTACTGTAGCTTTGTAGTATAGCTTGAAGTCAGGTAGTGTGATGCCTCCAGCTTTGTTCTTTTGGCTTAGGATTGACTTGGCAATGCGGGCTTTTTTTTGGTTCCATATGAAATTTAAAGTAGTTTTTTCCAATTCTGTGAAGAAAATCACTGGTAGCTTGATGGGGATGGCAATGAATCTATAAATTACCTTGGGCAGTATGGCCATTTTCACGATATTGATTCTTCCTACCCATGTGCATGGAATGTTCTTACATTTGTTTGTATCCTCTTTTATTTCATTGAGAAGTGGTTTGTAGTTCTCCTTGAAGAGGTCCTTCACATCCCTTGCAAGTTGGATTCCTAGGTATTTTATTCTCTTTGAAGCAATTGTGAATGGGAGCTCACTCATGATTTGGCTCTCTGTTTGTCTGTTATTGGTGTATAAGGATGCTTGTGATTTTTGCACATTGATTTTGTATCCTGAGACTTTGCTGAAGTTGCTTATCAGCTTAAGGAGATTTTGGGCTGAGATGATGGGGTTTTCTAGATATACAAGCATGTCATCTGCAAACAGAGACAATTTGACTTCCTCTTTTCCTAATTGAATACCATTTATTTCCTTCTCCTGCCTGATTGCCCTGGCCAGAACTTCCAACACTATGTTGAACAGGAGTGGTGAGAGAGGGCATCCCTCTCTTATTGGCATTGTTTATATTTCCTGGCTCTCTATGTTACGTAAAAATATCCAAGGAGATTCCTGGTCATAGACTCCTAGAAAAAGCTCAAGGACATAGATTCCTTTCTATATTGCATCTGCAATGCCATATCCTGTGGAATAAGAATAAATTGACAGCCTAAAATAGACAAAGGTTCTCATCCAGTCTGTGCCTCAGACTGCCAGTAAGGGAGAGTTTGAAGTAGACATAGCTACTTTTTCTAGCACTAGAGAGAAAACAGGTACAATAATTTCAATTCTACTGCCACCAGGAAAGAGATCCCTGTGCTATTCTCCTTTTAATTAACACAATTTTTTTTTCTCCATGGTGTTTGGATACTAGGATAATGGCATAATTTTCATAAGCAGTTGTCATATCAGAATGTACGTTATCTGAATCTGTTGTCTAGAATTATTACTATAATGTCTTTTTCTGTGTTCTTATTTCCCAGGATTCCATTTTGTTTTTCTCATTAAGCTAGATGGTTAGTTCTTTCATTGTATTGTATACTTGCACCATTACCTGATTGTCCACTGTATATCCTAGGAAATTTCTCTGTGGCAGCTGACACTAGTGGCACTAGCTGGCACCTAGTGGGATCTAAGCAAAGTATTCCTGGGGAGAGGGTGAGGTTAATAATACCTAAAATTGGCATTTTAAGTTTCCCAGTTATTATCTCCCTGACTCTCCTAACATTACTCCTCTTTTCCCTCTTTATTTTCTCATTAGTTTTCTTGGTATAGTTCAGACAAATACTTGTTAATTACATACCATGGGACCCTGGGTTCCTGCACCTCTGACATGCTCAGGGACTAGAAGAGAAGGTGGAGCAGTGCCTGGAGCCTTAGGATCTTGAGAGCTAGGATGGAAGCTAGGTCAGAAGGGAATTTGGACCAGATAGAAGAGCAGCCAATGTTTTTCTCAGCTGTTACTTTTCTGCTTTCCTTTCCAGTGACTGACAATATGCCTAGAATGATATTCCTAAGCCACTTGCCCACTGTCTCTGCATTCTAATTCTTTGCAACCTTTCTCTTATTGCCATTTCCACCCTCTTCCTATACATCTGATGGAGAAAATGGTCTAAACTCTCCTAATAATAGATAATTATAGAAGGTTGCATGGCCCCAGTTCACTCAAATTGGGATAGTCTTCTTTGTTCTGTTTCTCTCCTAGGAGATCATGGACACAGGATTGGCATTACTACTGAGGAGCTATGATGCTTTGTGTGACCAGCAAGCTCAATTTGTTGCAAATGAATAACACCAGCCTCACCACAAGCCTGTGAAACTGCCAGGGCAACCATTTTCCAACTTATCTCTTGTACTCTAAATTAAATTTCTTTTTTTTCCCTCTGACTTTCTCCTTAGAAACATCTACCACTGTTTAGCTTTCATCTTTGCTCAGTTCCCTACTGTCATAGTTCCTTATATTCATGAATGGAGAAGCCACCAAACCTAGTAGCTGAAGCTTGGAATCATCAATCATTGAGTCACCAGTCTTAATAATCACTAATGTCTCCTGAGGAAAGCTATTTTCACTCTTTATCTGCAGGGCTTGCTATTAATGTTTAATTTCATCTCAACAAACACATACAGAGGACCTCTGTCAGGTTCTGTGCTAAATGCTGGAGAACCAGAGATGTCCCTGACATGTTTTCTGTCCTTGAAAATTTTTCAGCTAAGTGGAGGAAGACAGTCATTATTTTTCCCTCAGATTTGATTTGTTCCTTCTCATTTATTCTTGCACTTAATAAAAAGTTGGGAGTTTGCCATGTACCAAACACTGAGTCAGACATTTATGGTATTGAGATGAACAAAACAGACATGGCTTATACCTTCATGGAGCTTTTGTCAAAAAAGCTGAGAAGCTGTGTCTGTAAGGGCCAGTGTTTGGCCAAGGAACGTAATGGATGTAAAATATTATGGGTGGTGGTGTGTCAATGTTCAAAGTGGCAGCGTAATTTTCCCCCTTTGTGAACAAAAGACTGCCTCTATTTCCTTAGGAAAGTATTTTGGACCCAAACGCCCTCTTTTCCTGGAAATGAGCCAAGAACCCAGGCAGCCCAAATTTTCATCAACTTTTCCAAGTAGTCTGTGGTCTCAGGGGAGCCTGGGTTCTTGGTGAAACTAGTTGCCAAAGTCAGAAGACTGCCTAAAGCTTTACCCAAATGCATCCCTGGCCCTGGGATCAATTGAACAGTCTACTTAGTAGCACAGAAAAAAAAACATTTCTCAAAACACCCGAAATATGCTTTTTAGCCAGAATGATTGTAGCTATTCTGCCTTGTGACTGGATGGACATGCGGCTAAAAATAATGTGAAATTCATTTGACCAAAGTCTGCCCTCTCTATCAGGAAGGTGCCATTCTGTTGCTTCAGCTAAATAATGAGGAATAAAAACAAACAAGCAAATTATAACATGAAACTTCAAGAGACATAGACAGAAAGTCCCAATTGTTAGAAACGTCTCCAGAGCCTGGACACACCCATACACGCCTGCTATGGTGAGGAAGCAGCAGAGTGAGGAGCTGGTTGGAACAGGGACTGTGTGTGTCCTTCTCTGGTATGCCTGGGTTTAGGTATCTGTTTGCATATGTGTTTCTACAGAATGCCTAGAATAGTGTGTGGGCTGTGTACCCTATATGTATTTGTTATGTGTATGTATATTTGTCTGAATGTTATTTATGGTTGTTGGTGCATGAATGAAAATGAGTGAGTGAGTGTATGTGTGTGTGAGAAGAGTCACTTCATTTATCCTTTTATAAATATCCTAATTTAATTCCTAACAATAGAAAAAGAGCTACATACACCTGGTGAGTATGGTTGTCTCTGATGGGCTGTGAGATCTCTGAATATAGGGCTTCCTAGAGCCTTTAATGCATAGTTGGGCTCGTAAGGAGTACTTGTTGAATGGCCAACTGGCAACAATGTTAACACATGCCTGGATTTTAACACATGCCTGTGGGAATTACTAGTCAACAAGTTGACAGAGGGCAATGGAGACATACAGGCTTTCTTGCTGTCCCTAAGAGAGAGCCATCTCCTCCATTCCTTATATCTTACATACCCCTTAATGAGCTCTCCCTGTGTGTCAAATGCTGTTAAGTGCCAGGGAAGCCATGGAGACTTGGTACTTGCCCTCGAGGAGTTCAAAGGAAGTCTAATGTACCCTTCTCTTTACTCTACACTTGAAAGACAAGGTTCAGACCTCTCCTTTACCCATGCCTGGCCTTCCAAACATTCACATACTGATGATTTCTTCTCCTGAGAACTAGCCAGCTTTTCCAATTGACTCATAGACCTTGCACCTGATTGAAGAGTCATGTAAAATCAACGGGCCTAAATCAACTCTCAGGCTCCAGCCTTTTCCCCTTTGTACTCCATCCTGCACAGATCACCAGATCAATCATTCCAAAACAACACATATATTTTTACTGTCCTAACAAAATCCACCCAATGGCTCTGCATTACCTATAAGAAAACCTCTACCACTTCCCTACACAACTGTTTGTGTTAGTCCAACAGGCGGAAAGAAGCTTTGTCCCCTGCCAAGTAGTAGTCCCACTGAAAATAGACACACAGAAAAAAACTCTAAATAGTGAACATGGGCATGTCATTATCTTCAAACATATTTTCCCTGATACTAGGATTTTTGCTTGCAACACAAAGTCAGTCATTCAACAAAAACTTATTGAACATCTAATAATGGCCAGGTATACAAAGCAGATAATAGCTTTTTTGTGTCTCTAAATCATAATTATTCAATTGAATATTTGATACTCAGTATATATCGATAGGGTATCTATTTGAGTGAGGCCTTCTGCTTCAACTCTCCACTGTACTCTTTGTTTTGAATACAATGGATAATGGTGAGAAAAGGGGCCACTCCCTTGCTTGTTCTGCTGTGCCCTGCTCTATATTTTGAGTCTGCAATGAAGCTCTCTCCATGCCCAAATCTGTACAAAGAATAGTTTCCAGAAGTGATTTAGATTCTTTCTCCAAACTGTTTGTATCATTCTGGCCAGTCCATGTCCCTAGTGGATGAAACCCAGTTACAAGGAACAGACTTCTTGGATGACACCACCAGCTGCTTTACTGAGAATCCCCACCACAATTCTCTCCTCATATGACCTACCTGTACCAATATGTGTGGTGCCAGCAGAGTGTGAAGGGAGAAGTCAGGGAAGCTTTAATTAAGGATAGGGAACCAAACAAACTTTTGAAAGATGTGTCGTGGGAGAAAGATAAGGGCACTCCTGAAAGGGGTATATACATTATATGTGAATAGGTGGGGAGAGCAGGGCAAAGATGGATTTGGCTAAACGTAGGGTGGCGAGGGTAGGAAATTCATATGAGAAAAGACCACTCCTTAGAATATAGCTACAAGGCCCTGCCTTAGGAAAGCTCCAATTTATTTTCTTTGGTCTAGTGCATCCTCTTTTACATTTACCTTTGCAAGAACTTACCATGTCAGTGTCTGACACAGGGCCAAAACTGGTCACGTAGATGTCAGTCTTCACTTCAGTCACTGCATCTGCGTGAAAGAAAGTAGAAAAGCAGAATGTCAGGAAAGGCTTTTGTCTTAGCTCAGAGAGAGTCCAGTGCAGTACTCTGAATGACAGCCAACTTACTACTTCTGAGAAAGGAAAACCCCTCAAAAACTTCTCATCTGTGCTATCTCTTCACAGGGAACATGCTAGGTACAGACTCAAAGTCTATCCCTTTAGTATCATTGAAAATGACAGCATAATACCAAAACAACAAAGCTTAGATAGGGCCCTTAGAGATCCCTGACATTCACAAGAGCTGAGCTCTCACTGGGCTTACCCTTACCTGTAGTAGGTTACAAATGTTGCAATATCCAACACTCTTCCACTTCTAGGAACATAGGATGATTGTTCTTCCACTCCCCTGCCTTTTTAAAATATAGAGGGGCAATAGGAATGGTTCTGGATGTGGGAGAAAGTAATATGTGTCTCTCATGGCTGGAACAATTGATGTCTAATGCAAGACCCTCCATGCCATGATGATCGTAAAAACACACATTGCTGTGGTGCTACAATAAAATTGAAAAAGTCTGGAATGATGAGCTAATATATGGAGGAGCACTGCCCTGGAGAGTTGCCTGGATCCACAATAGACTTTGCATGAATGAGAAATAATTTTTGGGGGGGTTAATTGTCCCATATTTGGAGACAACTGATATCATTTGATACACTCTTTACATTTACTTTCCTTCATTGTAACCATTTGTTTTACTTGTCAATCTTCCCACCTAACCCAAGAGCTTCTGAAAGGTTTATGACTCAGATGGTGCTCACTAAACATCAAGTTTTGCATGAATGGATTAATCTCATCACACACCACATATTTGCCAAATTGGAAATTAATACTGTCTTAGTCCATTCAGGCTGTTACAACAAAATACCTTAGACTGGGTAATTTATAAAGAACATAAATTCATTGCTCACAGTTCTGGAGTCTGGGAAGTCTTAGATCAAGGCACCAGCAGGTTCAGTGTCTGGTGAGGGTCCACTCCTCATAGATGGTGCCTTCTATGTCCTCACATGATGGAAGGGGCTAGGGAGCTTGCTCAAGCTTCTTTTATAAGAGCACTAATCCCAATCATGAGGGTGGAGCCCTCCTGACCTAATCGCCTTCTAAAGGCCTCACTGCTTAGTACTATCTTAATACTATAGTATTAAGTACTATATAGTACTTATATACTATATAGTACTTAGTACTAAGTATTTATAGTACTTAGTACTATAAATTTCAGCATACAGATTGTGGGGAGACAAAAACATCCAGAACAGCAGCTACCCAGAGAAGTGAAGTTTATAGTATATAAATAAGTTATATACTTATAAGTTAGTTATAAATATACTTATAAATAAGTTATATACTTATATACTATAAGTATAGTATAGTATATAAGTTATATACTTATATACTATAAGTATAGTATAGTATATAAGTTATATAAGTATATATACATCCAGAACAGCAGCTACCCAGAGAAGTGAAGTTTTTCCACTACTGAGTTTTTCTTTTCCTGCTTCTGTCAGCCCTACTTACCCCCACTGCAGCCCAGTTAGCCTACCCATTCCAGCGTACCTCAAATGGAGCATGAGCTAAGGCAGGCTATCCCAGCCTTGCAAAGCCCATTTCAGCCTACCAGACACCTCAAGATTACAGTAAACCAAACAAGTCTCACTCCAGCCCAGCATAGCTGACCTGAATTGAGCACACTAGTAACACAGCTAACAGGAGTAAAGCCTACACAAGCCTTGATGTATGTCTATAATAGAGCTGGCTACTGCAGTTTATGGTGCTATTTCTTTTCTCTCACGGAAAGGTAGGGAACACATCTACTCCATCTGTACCATATTAGCTGTACTCATCCAGACCTGAGTTTTGGCCCAAATGTATTTTAGCTCTCGTTGATTTCTCACTTTCCAGAACCATTCCTTAGGCTTAATATATTGTGCCCCTACTCAGGCATTTATGTGTTCAATATACTCAAGGCCACTACACTCATCCATAAAAATTCCCATTTTGAGAAGAGACTATGAGTATCATTTAATAATAATCAACACTATAATCAGTTCACCAAAATACACAATTTACTCCCAAACTTAATCAGCAAATAACATGTCTCTGAAACTAGAGCTGTGTTTTAAATAGCTGGGCTCTCATCTAGAGCAGAGGATTCTTTGGAGCTATTTCGGTACTTGAAGGAGAAGAGACAAAACTTCAGAACCCAGAATATGCTCCCTTAAGGTTTCTCCCTTCAGACACATTGCCAGGCTCATTGGCTAAAGAAGCAAATGCCTATATACCTACTGTGTGACATAATGACCTCCAATTGTCCTATCCCCAAATACATAAAACAAAATAAATTCATTAATGGAAGAGACCACCATTATATTTGAATCCAATATTTTAGGCAAAAACATTGCAGATACAGAATAACTTTCTAAATCAACATGGTTGTAAAATTGTAAGATAGTCATGCAGACTTCCAACATCCTACAGATAAGAAGAGAGATAGTAGGGAAAAGTCTATAAAATTTATAGGTAATATGATTTGGCTCTGTGTCCCCATCCAAATCTCACCTTGAATTGTAATCCCCATAATTCCCATGTGTCAAGGCGGGACCAGGTGGTGGTAATTAAATCATGGGGGCGGTTTTCCCCATGCTGTTCTCATGATAATGAGTGAATTTCATGAGATTTGATGGTTTTATAAGTGTCTGGCATTTCCCCTGCTGGCACTCATTCTCTCTCCTGTTGCCCTGTGAAGAGGTGCCTTCCACAGTGATTGTAAGTTTCTTGAGGTATCCCGAGCCATGCAAAACTGTGAGACAATTAAACCTATTTTCTTTATAAATTACCCAGTCTCGGATATTTCTTCATAGCAGCGTAAGAACGGATGAATACAATGGTTATGGTGGGACTCAAGAGTTAATGGGTAGGATGGCTTGATGGCAATCCCAACTCTAAAATGACCAAGGAAGGTCTTCTGTCTATATTGCCTCCTCCAATCCTCTTCTAAGTACCTTTCTTCTATTTCTTTTTTTTCTTCCATCCTTCTTTCCTCTCCTCCTTCATTCAACACCACTTCCTCTATTCCAATTTTCTTACCTGCCAGACTCTTTCCAAATGGGATAGAAGTGGAGGAAGAAGGGATTTGGTGTCCAGTGTACCAGATCAGCTAGCTACTAGATCAAACTTCTCAACATTATTTTCCTGCTGTTCCCCACACTGTTTCTTTCTTAACAATCAATGGTTGCCTTTTCAATGAAAGTGAACAGGTTAGAAATAAGAATGGCACCAGATTTGCATCAACCAGAAATCCTTCATGCAGTCAGGTGTGGAAAAGAGATTGTTACTGCATCCTGGTATCATAAGTGAGAGAGGGCTCTGAATTTATGTTACCATCCACAGGCCTCTATTCCAAGCCCAGGCAAAAGCAGGGATATTTGACATGACTCCAGTGTTCTACACGGGGACCACTATGCCTTGATGTCTAGCCCCATTTTCTGGCTAAGAAATCGGGCTGTCTTGGGGCAAGGCACCTGATAACACATGGAGAAGAACCCTGATGAATATGATACAGTAGTTAAAAGCATGACTAAGTTTGGATTTAGGTTCTGCCACTGCTCTTTTGTGTGCCTTTGTACCTGTTTCTTCTTGGGAAAATTGAGGTAATGATACTTCAGAATTGCTCTGAGAATTTAAGGAGATAGTATTTAGACCAGTAGTTAGAACAGATTCAGAGTTTAGTACATGTTAGCTAATGCTGCTGCTTAATACTATTTCTGAGAATAGATCACATGAGCCACCCATAAGGCCAAATGGGCAGAACTCACACAGATGTCTAAGGTCCTGGGTCCTAGACACTGAAGACAGTATCCACTCACCACTTCAGCTCCTCTATGTGAAGGAATGACTAGGAGTTTCCTATTTCATTTAATTAAGTGCAAAGGCCAGTGAATTAAACTGAAACTCATGAGGGCCACAATATATAGAGTCTAGCCTCTGTTGACAGAATTCTTGATAGAGACAAATATGAAATTTTAATTAGTAGAAGATAAGAAGGGATTTTTCTTCTCTTTTTATATAATTGTTTACAGTTGCTGCTTGGCTCTTTCTTCATTTGCTTCAGGGATTTAATTTCCTTCCAATATTATCCTCTGAAACAAAAGGTGAACACAATTGTTTTTCCTTTTGCAAATTTACTGCAGTATTGGAAGCACTTGGATGATCCTCAAGTGGTCTGCACATATATGCATAACGTACACATACACATGATTACACACACCCTTAAACCTCAATAGGACTCCCATTGGTAGGGAACTCATTTGCCAGACCCTACAGTACTTCTGCTTGCTGCTAATCTGAAAGAATAAAGATGAGCCGATCAACAAGTGATCACTGTATTTATGTTGAGTATACTGCTCATAATATACTGTATTTTCTGGTTTTACCTCAAATATATGTCCAATAATTCTTGAATTTTCTTGAAACCAGTCTCTGTAAGTTTGCCATTTCTAGCTGCTCCACCCCAGCACAATCATGCACATTTATCTTAGTGCTACCCTTTGGATCCACACAACAAAGTCTGCTTTCTCTTCCCTTTAAGAAAAAAAAATATATATTTAAAAGCTTCAGAGATTTAAAGAAAGTGATCCTTGTACCCCTGTCTGCTCTTCTTGTTTCTTTCCATACTAAATGCCCCGACTTATTTTGATTATGTCTCCCTTCTTTTTTTTTTTTCCTTTGGCTCACCTTGTATTTTATCTTTCTTTCTTTCTTTTTTTAAATTATACTTTAAGTTCTAGGATACATATGCACAACGTGCAGGTTTGTTACATAGGCATACATGTGCCATGTTGGTTTGCTGCACCCATTAATTCATCACTTACATTAGGTATTTCTCCTAATGCTATCCCTCCCCCTGCCCCCCACCCCACGACAGGCCCTGGGATGTGATGTTCCCTGCCCTGTGTCCAGGTGCTTTCACTGTTAAATAATCACCTATGAGTGAGAACATGTGGTGTTTGGTTTTCTGTCCTTGCAATAATTTGCTCAGAATGACGGTTTCCAGCTGCATCCATGTCCCTGCAAAGGACATGAACTCATCCTTTCTTTATGGCTGCATAGTATTCCATGGTGTATATATGCCATATTTTCTCAATCCAGTCTATCATTGGTGGACATTTGGGTTGGTTCCAAGTTTCTGCTATTGTGAATAGTGCCACAATAAACATATGTGTGCATGTTTCTTTATAGTAGCATGATTTATAATCCTGTGGGTATATACCCAGTAATGGGATCGCTAGGTCAAATGGTATTTCCAGTTCTAGATCCTTGAGGAATCCCACAATGTCTTTCACAATGATTGAACTAGTTTACCCTCCCACCAACAATGTAAAAGTATTCCTATTTCTCCACATCCTCTCCAGTATCTGTTCTTTCCTTTTTAATGATCGCCATTCTAACTGGTGTGTGATGGTACCCCATTGTGGTTTTGATTTGCATTTCTCTGATGACCAGTGATGATGAGCATTTTTTCATGTGTCTGTTGGCTGCATAAATGTCTTCTTTTGAGAAGTGTATGTTCATGTCCTTCACCCACTTTTTGATGGGGTTGTTTGTTTTTTTCTTGTAAATTTGTTTAAGTTCCTTGTAGATTCTGGATATCAGCCCTTTGTCAGATGGGTAGATTGCAAAAATTTTCTCCCATTCTGTAGGTTGCCTGTTCACCCTGATGATAGTTTCTTTTGCTGTGCAGAAGCTCTTTAGTTTAATTAGATCCCATTTGTCAATTTTGGCTTTTGTTGCCATTGCTTTTGGTGTTTTAGTCATCAAGTCCTTGCCCATGCCTATGTCCTGAATGGTATTGCCTAGGTTTTCTTTTAGGGCTTTTACGGTTTCAGGTCTAACATTTAATTCTTTATTCAATCTTGAATTAATTTTTGTATAAGGGTTAAAGGAGGGATCCAATTTCAACTTTCTACATATGGCTAGCCAGTTTTCCCAGCACCATTTATTAAATAGGGAATCCTTTCCCCATTTCTTGTTTTTGTCAGGTTTGTCAAAGATCAGATAGTTGTAGATATGTGGTGTTATTTCTAAGGCCTCTGTTCTGTTCCATTGGTCTATATATCTGTTTTGGTACCAGTAACATGCTGTTTTGGTTACTATAGCTTTGTAGTATAGTTTGAAGTCAGGTAGCATGACGTCTCCAGCTTTGTTCTTTTGGCTTAGGATTATCTTGGCAATGTGGGCTCTTTTTTGGTTCCATATGAACTTTAAAGTAGTTTTTTTCCAATTCTGTGAAGAAAGTCATTGGTAACTTGATGGGGATGGCATTGAATCTATAAATTACCTTGGGCAGTATGGCCATTTTCACAATATTGATTCTTCCCATCCATGAGGGTAGAATGTTCTTCCATTTGTTTGTGTCCTCTTTTATTTCGTTGAGCAATAGTTTGTAGCTCTCCTTGAAGAGGTCCTTCACATCTCTTGTAAGTTGGATTCCTAGGTATTTTATTCTCTTTGAAGCAATTGTGAATGGGAGTTCACTCATGATGTGGCTCTCTGTCTGTTATTGGTGTATAGGAATACTTGTGATTTTTGCACATTGATTTTGCATCCTGAGACTTTGCTGAAGTTGCTTATCATCTTAAGGAGATTTTGGGCTGAGATGATGGGGTCTTCTAAATATACAGTCACGTCATCTGCAAACAGGGACAATTTGACTTCCTCTTTTCCTAATTGAATACCCTTTATTTATTTCTCTTGCATGATTGCCCTGGCCAGAACTTTCAACACTATGTTGAATAGGAGTGGTGGGAGAGGGCATCACTGTCTTGTGCCAGTTTTCAAAGGGAATGCTTCCAGTTTGTGCCCATTCAGTATGATATTGGCT
This sequence comes from Homo sapiens, assembly GCF_000001405.40. Classification (NCBI taxonomy): domain Eukaryota; kingdom Metazoa; phylum Chordata; class Mammalia; order Primates; family Hominidae; genus Homo; species Homo sapiens. The sequence goes on from NC_000023.11 coordinate 152,291,642, forward strand.
GTGGGTTTGTCATAAATAGCTCTTATTATTTTGAGATACGTTCCATCAATACCTAGTGTATTGAGAGTTTTTAGCATGAAGGGCTGTTGAATCTTGTCGAAGGCCTTTTCTGCATCTATTGAGATAATCATGTGGTTTTCGTCTTTGGTTCTGTTTATGTGATGGATTATGTTTATTGATTTGCATATGTTGAACCAGCCTTGCATCCCAGGGATGAAGCCAACTTCATCGTGGCGGATAAGCTTTTTGATGTACTTACTGCTGGATTCGATTTGCCAGTATTTTATTGAGGATTTTTGCATCAATGTTCATCAGGGATATTGGTTTAAAATTCTCTTTTTTTTGTTGTGTCTCTGCCAGGCTTTGATATCAGGATAATGCTGCCCTCATAAAATGAGTTAGGGAGGATTCCCTCTTTTTCTGTTGATTGGTATAGTTTCAAAAAGATGGTACCAGCTCCTCTTTGTACCTCTGGTGAATTTGGCTGTGAATCCGTCTGGTCCTGGACTTTTTTTTAGTTGGTAGGCTATTAATTATTGTCTCAATTTCAGAGCCTGTTATTGGTCTATTCAGAGATTCAACTTGTTCCTGGTTTAGTCTTGGGAGGGTGTATGTGTCGAGGAATTTATTCATTTCTTTTAGATTTTCTAGTTTATTTGCATAGAGGTGTTTATTGTATTCTCTGATGGTAGTTTGTATTTCTGATGTAGTTTGTATTGATGTTTGTATTTCTGTGGGATCGGTGGTGATATCCCCTTTATCATTTTTTATTGCATCTATTTGATTCTTCTCTCGTTTCTTCTTTATTAGTCTCGCTAGCGGTCTATCAATTTTGTTGATCTTTTCAGAAATCGAGCTCCTGGATTCACTGATTTTTTAAAGGATTTTTTTTGTGTCTCTAGCTCCTTCAGTTCTGCTCTGATCTTAATTATTTCTTGCCTTCTGATAGCTTTTGAATTTGCTTGTTGTTGCTTCTCTAGTTCTTTTAATTATGATGCTAGGGTTTTGATTTTAGATCTTTCCTGCTTTCTCTTGAGGGCATTTAGTGCTATATAAATTTCCCTCTACACACTGCTTTAAATGTGTCCCAGAGATTCTGGTAGGTGGTGTCTTTGTTCTCATTGGTGTCAAAGAACATATTTATTTCTGCCATCATTTTGTTATTTACCCGGTAGTCATTCAGGAGCAGGTTGTTCAGTTTCCACGTAGCTGTGCGGTTTTGAGTGAGTTTCTTAATCCTGAGTTCTAACTTGATTGCACTGTGGTCTGAGAGACAGTTTGTTGTGATTTCTGTTCTTTTACATGTGCTGAGGAGTGCTTTACTTCCAACTATGTGGTCGACTTTGGAATAAGTGCGATGTGGTGCTGAAAAGAATGTATATTCTGTTGATTTGGGGTGGAGAGTTCTGTAGATGTCTATTAGATCTGCTTGGTGCAGAGCTGAGTTCAAGTCCTGGGTATCCTTTTTAACCTTCTGTCTCGTTGATCTGTCTAATATTGACAGTGGGGTGTTAAAGTCTCCCACTATTAATGTGTGAGAGTCTAAGTCTCTTTGTAGGTCTCTAAGGACTTCCTTTATGAATCTGGGTGCTCCTGTATTGGGTGCATATATATTTAGGATACTTAGCTCTTCTTGTTGAATGGATCCCTTTACCATTATGTAATGGCCTTCTTTGTCTCTTTTGATCTTTGTTGGTTTAAAGTCTGTTTTATCATAGACTAGGATTGCAAACCCCTGCTTTTTTTTGTTTTGTTTTCCACTTGCTTGTTAGATCTTTCTCCATCCCTTTATTTTGAGCCTATGTGTGTCTCTGCACGTGAGATGGGTCTCCTGAATACAGCACAGTGATGGGTCTTGACTCTCTATCCAATTTGTCAGTCTGTGTCTTTTAATTGGGGCGTTTAGTCCATTTACAATTAAGGTTAACAACTGTTAACATTACAATAACAACAATAATAACAATAATAACAATAACAACTGTTATTGTTAACAAACAATAGTTTGTGTGAATTTGATCCTGTCATTATGATGTTAGCTGATTATATTGCCCATTCGTTGATGCAATTTCTTCCTAGCATCAATTGTCTTTACAATTTGTCATGTTTTTGCAGTGGCTGGGACCAGTTGTTCCTTTCCATGTTTAGTGCTTCCTTCAGGAGCTCTTGTAAGGCAGGCCTGGTGGTGAAAAAAATCTCTCAGCATTTGCCTCTCTGTAAAGGATTTTATTTCTCCTTCAGTTATGAAGCTTAGTTTGGCTGGATATGACATTCTGGGTTGAAAATTCTTTTCTTTAAGAATGTTGAATATTGGCCCCTACTCTCTTCTGGCCTGTAGAGTTTCTGCCAAGAGATCCGCTGTTAGTCTGATGGGCTTCCCTTTGTGGGTAATCCGACCTTTCTCTCTGGCTGCCCTTAACATTTTTCCTTCATTTCAACCTTGGTGAATCTGACCATTATGTGTCTTGGGGTTGCTCTTCTTGAGGAGTATCTTTGTGGTCTTCTCTGTATTTCCTGAATTTGAACATTGGCCTACCTTGCTAGGTTGGGGAAGTTCTCCTGGATAATATCCTGAAGAGTGTTTTCCAACTTGGTTCCATTCTCCCCATCACTTTCAGGTACACCAATCAGACGTAGATTTGGTCTTTTCACATAGTCCCATATTTCTTGGAGGCTCCGTTTGTTTCTTTGTACTCTTTTTTCTCTAAACTTCTCTTCTCACTTGATTTCATTAATTTGATCTTCAATCACCGATACCCTTTCTTCCACTTGATCGAATTGGCTACTGAAGCTTGTGCATGCGTCACATAGTTCTCGTGCCATGGTTTTCAGCTCCATCGGGTCACTGAAGTTCTTCTCTACACTGTTTATTCTAGTTAGCCATTCATCTAATCTTTTTTGAAGATTTTTGTCTTCCTTGCAATGGGTTCAAACATCCTCCTTTAGCTCAGAGAAGTTTGTTATTACCACCCTTCTGAAGCCTACTTCTGTCAACTCGTCAAAGTCATTCTCCATCCAGCTTTGTTCCATTGCTGGTGAGGAGCTGCGATCCTTTGGAGGAGAAGAGGCACTCTGGTTTTTAGAATTTTCAGCTTTTCTGCTCTGGTTTCTCCCCATCTTTGTTGTTTTATCTACCTTTGGTCTTTGATGATGGTGACATACAGATGGGGTTTTGGTGTGGATGTTCTTTTTGTTGATGTTGATGCTATTCCTTTCTCTTTGTTAGTTTTCCTTCTAACAGTCAGGTCTGTTGGCGTTTGCTCCAACAGCTGCAGGTCTGTTGGAGTTTGCTCCAACAGCTGCAGGTCTGTTGGAGTTTGCTGGAGGTCCACTCCAGACCCTGTTTGCCTGGGTATCACCAGTGGAGGCTGCAGAACAGCAAATATTGCAGAACAGCGAATATTGCTGCCTGATTCTTCCTCTGGAAGCTTCATACCAGAGGGTTACCCGCCTGTAATGAGGTGTCAGTTGGCCCCTATTGGGAGGTGTCTCCTAGTTAGGCTACACGGGGGTCTGGGACCCACTTGAGGAGGCAGTCTGTCCATTCTCCGAGCTCAAACACTGTGCTGGGAGAACCACTGCTCTCTTCAGAGCTGTCAGATGGACGTTTAAGTCTGCAGAAGTTTCTGCTGCCTTTTGTTCAGCTATGCCCTGCCCCTAGAGGTGGAGACTACAGAGGCAGCTGGCCTTGCTGAGCTGTGGTGTGCTCCACCCAGTTCAAGCTTCCCCAGCTGCTTTGTTTACCTGCTCAAGCCTCACCAATGGCAGATGCCCCTCCCCCTGCCAGGCTGTTGCCTCACAGGTCAATCTCAGACTGCTGCGCTAGCAGTGAGCAAGGCTCCGTGGGCATGGGATCTGCTGAGCCAGGCATGGGATATAATCTCCTGCTCTGCCGTTTGCTAAGACCGTTGGAAAAGCACAGTATTTGGGCGGGAGTGTCCCATTTTTCCAGGTAGTGTCTTTCACAGCTTCCCTTGGCTTGGAAGGGGAAATCCCTTGACCCCTTGCACATCCTCGGTGAGGCAATGCTCCGCCCTGTTTCGGGTCACCCTCCATGGGCTGCACCCACTGTCCAAACAGTCCCAATGAGATGAAACGTTTACCTCAGTTTGAAATGCGGAAATCACCCATCTTCTGAGTCAATCACGCTGGGAGCTGCAGACTGGAGCTGTTCCTATTCGGCCACTTGGAATGGAAAAATGTCTCCCTTCTTTTGACATGGCTTTGAGCACCCTCACTGTACCCTATTAATTTTTTTCCTCTGGCTCAGGTCAGATTTGTTAACTGTCCCTCTGAAATACATTTTGTGGTGAGAGTTTGTCACAGTTCTATTAGACATATGAGATAAATGATATGAACAAAACTCAACTACACCTTTACATCTCACTATGGGTCATGACAGACTCTTTAGTTCCTCACAATGCCATTCTAAGGATAGTGAGGTTTTGAGGATTTGGGCTTTGGCCAAGAGAACAAAGTCATGAGTTTCCTGTTTTCTCACCTCCAGATCACTGGGAATTTTGGTGAATAAGTGCTCATTATTGCATACACTTTTCATCTTGAAGAGGGACTGGGTGCCTGTAAATGAGCTCCCAGGTGACTAGCTATCTGAGTTGGCTAGCTTCATAGATTTAAGGAGTGGACAACAGTGACTTATGTACAAGCTCTTGCACATCTAAGATCTAGAGTGCTTTGTTCTCACGTTAACGACCTTTCCATTTGTCATTGGCAATATTTGGGGACTAAGATACTATAAGTACTCATTAATTTCCCCTTCCCCTTGCAGTAGCATTAATCATAGATAAACACTCTGGAAGAATCATAAACAGGTTGCTTACGGAAGCAGAAATTACAAAAGATTGTATCAGAAGTCCTGAGCTCCAATCTAGGCTCTGCAATAGACTCATGCCCACTTTTGCAGGCTGTTTGGGCAAACCTGACAACTTTTGACATTTGGTAGGCTTGGGTTCTAGCATTTTGCTTGCATATGCTATTCCCTCTAGTGTCTAGTACCTGGAATGTGCAGCAAAACTTTGATAATCAGCTGCTTTTCCTTTTCTTTCTCTTTTTTTTTTTTTTGAGACAGAGTCTCACACAGTTGCCCAGGCTGGAATGCAGTGGCATGATCTTGGCTCACTGCAACCTCCATCTCCTGGGCTCAAGCCAATCTCCTTCCTCAGCCTCCCAAGTAGCCGGGATTACAGGCACCCACCACCACACCTGACTATTTTTGTATTTTTAGTAGATAAGGGATTTCACCATGTTGGCCAGGCTGGTATTGAACTCCTGACCTCAAGTGATCCACCCGCCTTGGCCTCCCAAGTGCTGAGATTACAGGCATGAGCCACCATGCCCGGCCAGCCAGCTGCTTTTCTGTTGAGGACTTTAGTGGAGGAGTGTACACAACATATGCTGATAAAATAACACCAGAAGGAACTACCAAAACATTTAAGAGATCACAATCACCACCCTAACCACTGTGGGTTTTTGTTAACTCCACTATTGTTTTACTAGAATCTAGACTCTGACAAAGGTAGGATTGGACAAAGTTCACTGCCTGTTTCCCAAAATTCTCAGATGTTTCATTCTTAATGAAGTCTCAAAATTTATGTTCCAGTCCCAGGCCACATATAGTTGTTGGACAGTAGACACCATTCAGAGGATTCTACTCCATTCACTGGCCCTACAAAAGCACTGATTCTTGTGCCATCACTCTCAGCATTCCACTTTCTTCATCTTTATTCCATTCCTCAGTTTGACATTTAATACTGAAATTGTAAAGTACCAAAACATATTTCAATTGTCAATTCAAATGATTTCATTTGCCTTTCACTCGTTCTAGATTTTCCCTTCCTCCAAACTCTCCTTTTGCTTTTTCCCTACACTTATTATTGGTTACTTATACTGATACTTACCCAGAATGTAATGGGAAAAGCACTGCATCTGATTTTATAACATCTCAGTATAAGCTCTAGCAGTACCACTGACAAGCTTTATGACCTTGAATAAGACTTTAAACTCTCTGAGCTTCAGTTTCTTTATCTAGAACATGAAGAGTTTCAGCACAGAGATATTTAAGGTCCATTTCAAAAAATATTCTATAATAGGAGGAAAAGGGTAGATATAGCCAGCCTCATAGAAAGAAATGTCAGTAACAAGTGTGGAAGAAATAAAACATTCGAGAGCAGACTCTTCACCAGTTCATTGCTCCTCGCTGCAAATAGAGTTCACTCCCAAGAGCTAGTAGGACTTCCTTGGAGCACCATTATAACAAAATTAGAAAGAGAAGTTGATGCAGTGCCCAAATGATGACCAAAACATAACTTGGAGGCTCACTGCACAATATCCTTTCCACTGTAGAGGAATGTCCTTCAACTGGAACAAGCTGAGAGCCAGAGGAGAATAATAAAATCTTCAAAACAGCTGAAATATTCCTAAATATTACAGGGATATGCTGCTATCTTTCCAGGGCCTACAGATTCTTAGCCTGAACATAAAATTAATTGGTAGAAAAACCACTAATATAGGATGTGGAGGTTGGGTTAGTCCTGGCTCTACTTCAAGTTAACTATGCCTCAGTTTCCTTGTCTGTTTTTTTTATTATACTTTAATTTTTAGGGTACATGTGCACAACGTGCAGGTTAGTTACATATGTATACATGTGCCATGTTGGTGTGCGGCACCCATTAACTCGTCATTTACATTAGGTATATCTCCTAATGCTATCCCTCCCCCCTTCCCCCACCCCACAACAGGCCCCGGTGTGTGATGTTCCCCTTCCTGTGTCCAAGTGTTCTCATTGTTCAATTCCCACCTATGAGTGAGAACATGCGGTGTTTGGTTTTTTGTCCTTGCGATAGTTTGCTGAGAATGATGGTTTCCAGCTTCATCCATGTCCCTACAAAGGACATGAACTCATCATTTTTTATGGCTGCATAGTGTTCCATGGTGTATATGTGCCACATTTTCTTAATCCAGTCTATCATTGTTGGACATTTGGTTTGGTTCCAAGTCTTTGCTATTGTGAATAGTGCCGTAATAAACATACGTGTGCATGTGTCTTTATAGCAGCATGATTTATAATCCTTTGGGTATATACCCAGTAATGGGATGGCTGGGTTAAATGGTATTTCTAGTTCTAGATCCCTGAGGAATCACCACACTGACTTCCACAATGGTTGAACTAGTTTACAGTCCCACCAACAGTATAAAAGTGTTCCTATTTCTCCACATCCTCTCCAGCACCTGTTGTTTCCTGACTTTTTAATGATCGCCATTCTAACTGGTGTAAAAAGGGAGTTGATTTTGTTATGACTTCAATATTTAAAATATTATAGTTTCCAAGGACATAATAGATTAAAAGAGACTACCAGAGGTAGCTACACTGTCGTTCCTAAGAAGTGTTTGGAACATCCAGATAAGATGGAACAGGCAACTTTACATTTCAGTATAACCCCTCTGTTCCAAACATACAATAATGGTAGGTAAAATATAAAAGATATAGTTATTTTAAATAAAAGATCAAAGTATCATGAAAAAGAAACAAAAAAAAGGAGTAAGTAATGTTGAAGCCAGAATTCTGAGTCTGAAAATAAAGAGTAAAGTAAAAAAGACTAAAATTGCTCTGTATGAAAGGGAAGACTGGAAGCAGGGTGAGTGCTTGTGGCTCAGACCTGGGGATCTCCTTGAAAAGAGGTTAGAAAAAGTGAAGCTGAACTGATGCCTGGGGTATGGCTCAGTTTGAGGCTGTGGGTTATGGTTGTGTTTGGGGCTGCAGCCCTGGGTTGGGATAAGCGGGGAAGCAGGGGGAAGGTACAATGGCATACAAAGACATTGTCCTGGGAATCGGAACTGAGCCAAGTGGTTTGTTGTACCAAGAATGTATCAGCAATGTCATAACGGAGAATAAACTGCAAAATACTATTAATTTGGAGTGAGGGTCAGTGTAGAAGCAACCACAAAACCACTTGATAGTAAGAAAAAGAAGGTAAAAACTGAAATTAAAACAAAACTGAACTGGTTTCTGGCATGATGGATTAAGTGCACTATAGTCTTTCTCTCCCACTTGTTATAAATAAATTTCTGAAAAAATATCAAAGGTAATTACCAAAGACTCTGAAAAGTAAACATGATCAGGTGAATTTTTGAAGAGAGTTAAAACATGGAGAAGCAACCCACAGAGAAATAAATTTCCTGTATGTTATTGTTTTTTCTTATTTTCTTTTACAGGTTTGCTCCAAAGGCAAAGACACAAAGGGGGACTGTGACACAGGTGGCTAAAACTCTGAGAGAAACCTCACTGGTCTTACCACAAAGAGAGGGAAAAGGGCTTCTGCAGGTCAGAGAGTGTGGGGGAATACCAGAGTGGAGATGGTTAAAGAAGATGTTCTACTAATTTCTGTGTTTGAGGCCCCACAAATAATAGATTCACTCTTGAGCTGCACATGCAGAGGCCAAACCCAAGGTAGCATAGAAAAAGCTTTGAGAACTACACTATATTTAAACCACTACATAAATTTCAGAAAAATCCCTGAGTAGTACAAGTATGGTACAGATACAAGGCTGCATAGCACAGACTTTGATAATTGAACTATGAACTTAGATTAAAACCACAGTCTTGGACTATCTCCTAAGTGGTACATGTGTGAAAGAAACCAAACATAGCCTAGTAAAGTCTTTGAAAACTGAACGAGATGTAGACTATCACCCACAGAACGCAAGGCAGAACTCACAAACTAAACTTAACTAAGTTGATTACCTGATAAAACAAATGAAAAAAAAAATCAACATTCTCCAGAGCCCAGAATCTACACAGCAAAATATTCAAAATGCCCTAGATAAAATCCAGCATTAGTACTTAGAAAGAAAAAGGAAAATGTCACCAATTCTCAAGGGAAATGACAATCAACAAATGTCAACTGCGAAAGCCCAGATGTTTGAAGTGTCAGCCAAAGAGTTTAAATCAACTATTATAACTCTGTTTCATGAGGTAAAGGAAAACACGTTCGAAATGAATGGAAAGATAGATGTTCTCAGCAGAGAAATTAGAAAATATTAAAATAACCTATTTGAAATTTTAGAAATAAAAAATGCAATTACCAAAATAAAAAATTATCTGGGCGATCTCAATAGCAGAACAGAGATGACAAAGGAGTCAGTGAACTTGAAGGGAGGCTAATAGAAATCATCCAATATGAGAAACAGTAAGAAAAATGGCTGGAACAAATAGCCTTATTGGATAATAGGATAAGGTTTCACATACAGAGCACTGTAGTTCCAAAAAGAGAAGAGAAAGAGATTCGTGCAGAAAAAAATTTTTTTGAAGAAATAGCGCTCAGAAACTTCCAAAATCTGATAGACTACATCAATGTACAGAATCAATATGCTCAGAAAACATAAAACAGAAAGATTAAAGAGAATCATGCCTAGACATATCATAATCAAACTGCTAAATACCAAAGTAAAGAAAGATCTTGAAAGAAGATATTGGGAAATAGCACATTCTATATAGGGGAGCAATAATTGGAGACTGAAGATAAATCACAGAGGATATATGATGGTGAAAAAGCATCTTCAACAAGTTTAAAGAAAACAACCATCAATACCAGAATCCTATATCCAGCAAAACTATGTTTAGGAAAGAAGTAAAAATAAAGACATTCTCAAATTTTCAAAGGACTAAGATAATTTGTCTCCAGCAAAATCATTTTATAAGAAATTCCAAAGAAGTTTCTTTGGGCTCAAGAGAAATAATGTCATGGGGAAATTAGATAATCAGGAATTAAGGAAATACAACAGAAATGGAAATTCTGGGTAAATATTTTTTCCCTTTTTAAATTCTTTAAAATAGTTATGACTTGAAATAAAATATTACAACCTTGTCCTATGTTTTTTTGTTTCTTTTTTCTTTTTGAGACAGAGTCTCACTCTTGTTGCCCAGGCTAGAGTTTAATGGTGCGATCTCGGCTCACTGCAACCTCCACATCCCGGGTTCAAGTGATTCTCCTGCCTCAGCCTCCTGAGTAGCTGGGATTACAGGCACCTGCCACAATGCCTGGCTAATTTTTTGCATTTTAGTAGAGACAGGGTTTCACTATGTTGGCCAGGCTGGTCTTGAACTCCTGACCTCATGATCTGCCCACCTCAGCCTCCCAAAAAGCTGGGATTACAAGTGTGAGCCACCGTGCCCAGCCATCTTGTGTGGTTTTTAATGAATATTGATATAATTGATAACTGCAACATAAAGGTCATTTGAGTGGTAAACTGACCTATTTGGTTGCCAGGCTACTACAATTTACTGGAAGTGGAATGATGTAAACTTTAGGACTGTCAAAAGCTGACTTTTGAAGTTAATCTTGTGAAGATTGTAAGCCCTATAGCAACCAATGAATCTCATATTATAAAGAAATATTTCTAAAAAGACAATATATGAATTAGAATAAAACAATTCAAATATTCAAATATTCCAAAAGAAGGCAGAAAGGGGGAAAAGATAAATATAAGGATGTGGGACAAATAGAAAACAAATAATAAGATGATGAATGTAAGCACAAACATGTAAATAAATATATTAAATGTAGGTGATCTAAACACGCCAATTAAAGTAGAGATTGCCAGATTGAAAAAAAAAATAGCCAACCACATTCTGTGTACAAAAAGCATACTTTAAATATAAGGGTATAAATATGATAAAAGTAAGTGAATAAAAAATGTATGCAATGCAAACACTAATTCAAAAGATAGATTTGGTGGCCATTCAGGTTAACTTTCCCTTATCTGAAATGCTTGGGGTCAGAAGTGTTTTGCACTTCAAATTTTTGGATTTTTGAAAAATTTGCACATATATAATGAGATATTTTGGGGATGGGACCCAAATCTAAACACAAAATTCAGTTATGTTTTATATAGAGCTTATAAACATAGCCTGAAGGTAATTTTATGAATAATTTCAATAATTTAGATTCAGGGGTTACATGTTCAGGTTTGTCACCAAGGTATATGGTGACGCTGAGGCTTGGGGTACTATTGATCTCATCACCCAGGTAGTGAGAACAGTCCATAATAGGTAGTTTTTCAACCCTTTCCCCACTGCCTCCCCCCATTCTCTTGTAGTCCCCAGGGTCTACTGTTTTCATCTTTATGTCTGTGTATGCCCTATGTTTAGCTCCCACCTGTAAGTGAGAACTTATAGTATTTGGTTTTCTGTTTCTCAGTTAGTTCACTTAGGACGATGGCCTCCATTTGCATCCATGTTGCTGCAAAGGACATGATTTTATTCTTTTATGACTGTGTAGGATTCCGTGGTGTATATGTACCACATTTTCTTTATCCAATCCACCATTGATGGAGACCTACATTGACTCCATGTCTTTTCTATTGTGAATAGTGCTGCACTGAACATACTGGTGCATGTGTCTTTTTGGTAGAATTATTTATTTTCCTTTGGGTATATACCAGTAATGGGATTGCTGGATCCAATGATACTTCTATTTTTAGTTATTTCAGGAATTTCCAGACATCTTTCCACAGAGGCTGATTAATTTGCATTCCCACCAACAGTGTATAAGTGTTGCCTTTTCTCTACAACATTGGCAATATCTTTTTGACTTTTAAACCACAATGAAATACCATCTCATGCCAGTTAGAATGGCGATCATTAAAAAGTCAGGAAACAACAGATGCCGGCCAGGATGTGGAGGAATAGGAACGCTTTTACACTGTTGTTGGGAGTGTAAATTAGTTCAACCATTGTGGAAGACAGTGTGGTGATTCCTCAAGGATCTAGAACCAGAATTACCATTTGACCCAGCAATCCCATTACTGGGTATATACCCAAAGGATTATAAATCATTCTATTATAAAGACACATGCACACAGATGTTTGTGCAGCACTATTTACAATAGCAAGGACTTGTAACCAACCCAAATGCCCATCAATGATAGACTGGATAAAGAAAATGTGGCACATATACCCATGGAATACCATGCAGCCATAAAAATGAAAGAGTTTATGACCTTTGCAGGGATATGGATGAAGCTGGAAACTATCATTCTCAGCAAACTAACACAGGAACAGAAAACCAAACACCACATGTTCTCACTCATAAGTGGGAGTTGAACAATGAGAACACATGGACACAGGGAGGGGAACATCACACTCTGGGGCCTGTCAGGGGGTGGGGGCCAACGGGGGGAGAGCATTAGGACAAACACCTAACGCATGTGGGGCTTAAAACCTAGATGACGGGTTGATAAGTGCAGCAAAACACCATGGCATATGTATACCTATGTAACAAACCTGCATGTTCTGCACATGTATCCCAGAACTTAAAGTAAAATATATATTAAAAAATAGCCATTCTAACTGGCGTGAGATGGTATCTTATTGTGAGTTTAATTTACATTTCTCTGATGATTAGCAATATTGAGCATTTTTTTCATTTGTTTTTTGGATGTTTGTATATCTCCTTTAGAGAAGTGTCCATGTTATTTGCCCACTTTTTAATGGAGTTGTTTTTTGCTTCTTGATTTATTTAAGTTCCTTATAGCATATGGATATTAAACCTTGATCAGATGCATAATTTACAAATATTTTCTCTCATTCTGTAGGTTGTCTGTTAACTCTGTTGATAATTTTTTCTTCTGTGCAGAAGTTACCTTAGATTAATTAGATCCCACTTGTCAATCTTTATTTTTGTTGCAATTGCTTTTGAGGACTTAGCCATGTATTTACCATGGCTGATGTTGAGAAGGGTATTTCCTAGATTTTCTTTTAGGATTTTTGTAGTTTGGCGTCTTATATTTGAATCTTTAATCCATCTGGAGTTGATTTTCTATATGGTGATAGGTAGTTTCCAGTTTCATTCTTCTACACGTGGATAGCCACTTATTCCAGCACCATTTATTGAATAGGGTGTCCTTTCCCCATTGCTCATTTTTATCCACTTTGTTGAAGATCAGATGGTTGTAGGTGTGAGGCTTTATTTCTGGTCTCCATTCTGTTCCATTGGTCTATGTGTCTGTTTTTGTACCAGTACCATGCTGTTTTGGTTACTGTGGCTTTCTAGTATAGTTTGAAATAGGCTAATGTGATGCCTCCAGCTTTATTCTTTTTGCATATAATTGCTTTGGCTCCTCAGACTGTTTTTTTGTTGTTGTTGTTGTTCTGTATGAATTTTAGAATAATTTTTCAAGTTCTGTGAAAAATGACATTGGTAGCTTGATATAGGAATAGTGTTGAATCTGTAGATTGCTTTGGGCAGTATGGCCATTTCAGTAATATTGATTCTTCCAACCAATGAGCAAGAAATATTATTCCATTTATTTGTATCATCTCTGATTTCCTTTTTAATGAACAAAGCAAGCAATTTTATTCTCATCAATCTTTTTTCACATTTCATTCATTTATTTTTTCTTATTTTCTTTTTATTATTTCAATAGCTTATGCCTGCTTAGTATTTTGACGTGTATATGTACCACATTTTCTTTATCCAATCCATCATAGATGAGCACCTAATTAATACAGAAACAGAAAATCACATACCATATGTTCTCATTTATAAGTAGGAGCTAAACGATGGGTAGAGATGGCACAAAGATGGAAACAATAGATACTGGGGATTCCAGAAGGGGCAAAGTAGGATGGGGGCAAGGGTTGAAAAACTACCTATTGGGTACTATGCTCACTATTTAAGTGATGGGTTCAACAGAAGCCCAAACCTCAGCATCACACAATATATCCATGTAAGAAACCTGCAAATGTACCACCTGAATCTAAAATGTAAAAAAAAAAAAAAATTATTGTCCCAAGTAATCACAAAATTAAATGTCCCAACTATACAAACCCCCTGACACACATATTTAAATTAATTTCATCTTTTATTTATCTGATTAAAAAGAACACTTTTCCAAATCAGATTTTTTAATGTTGTAATAACTACCTAAAAGTAAAGTGATAAGAAAATAAAAATTATTTACATAGTAAAAGAAAGAATAATTAAGGAATTTTTCCATTCAATGGAACTGTTTTATATGTTGATTGTCTTATTAGTGATGATTATATACCACCACAACAAACTATATTGTGCATGTTATATTCATTTTTAAAAATATAAAATTTAACTAAAATTAAATATTAAAGTGAAAATAAGCACAAATACTCCCATTCAAATGAGCCTACATATCAAAACCAATGAAACAGAACAGGATACCCAGAAACTGTTCTATGAATATATGGAAGCTTGATATAAGGTAACAAAGACATTACATATTAGTGAGAAAGAATGAATGATTTTAAAATGCACTGGGACTACAGGTTATCCAGCTGTAAAAAGTACATTTTTATCTCATACCACATATAAATATTAATTGTAAGTGTATTAAAAATCTCAAATAAAAAAGCAATTCATGAAAGAAGGAATCTGAATACTCAATGAACATAAGGTTTCCAATATCAATACATGATCACGGTAATGCAAATTAAAAGCTGGTACTATTTCACAGCTATACCCTGTCAAATATCTAGACCCTTGGTAGTACCAAGTGTTGATAAGGAAGTGAAATAAAGAGACCTCTCACACACTGCTGCAGTTGGGGGATGTGGGGAAGAAAACTAGCACGACAATTTTGGAGAGCAATTGGGCAATATCTGCTAAAGCTTAGATGTATATTCCCTATAAGTCAGCTGTTCCTCTGATCTATATTTACCAGAAATGTCTACACATGTGTGCAAAGAAACATGTATAAGAATGTCCATTTAGTGTTTAAAATGTTGTTCTTTATAGACAATATAATAGGTATCTTTGTACAAATAGTATTCTCAGTTGCCTCTGAAGTCTCCAGTAAAGACTACTTTGCAATCACTGTTGCTTAATGTGTTGCAAGTGAGATGTGGTCTCTTTCCCCATTGTAATGGAGTAAGTTAATATGGTGGGTCTGGCCAAGCTGGTCTAGGCAGATCCCAGGCTTTCTGCCTAGAATCAGACATCTTTACTTTGCAACGCAAAATGAGAAGTTTTACCTCCCATGTCTTTGTTAAAGTTTTCTTACTCCTTTGAGCCTGTTAGAAAAAACAAAACAAAACCGTACCTTCTAAATACACTGCCAATCTGCCATTTCTGAATTTCAGTTTTAAACCAAAAATTTCTTGTATTTTTCCTCTGACATCAATATTAGCCAGAATCTGCTCTTTTAATTTTCGGATGAGGAACCCTCCTCTAAGTTGATATACACCTACAGTGCCCCAACATGCCTGCCCCAGCTTTGACATAGATCTGTTCTGTTTCAGTACCCTTTTATAGAAAATATATCACCTCCCACCAAATTTTGATATTCAGATAGTGGCAGACTGGAACATTCTGTGAGAGTACACTGTTCACTCTTATTCCTGCCTCACTATTTCTCCCTTCGTACCTCATGAATGAGGTATAAAGAAGCCTATATCTAGTAGCAGAAAACCTGAGACTGAGTCCTGGGTCAACTCCTTATTGGCTAAATTCTCTTAATCATTTTAGTCTTAGTTTCCACATCTGTGAAATGGGGATATCAATACCTGACCTCACGGCCCTATTGTGATAATTAAACGAAATTAAAGTAAAGTAAAGTAAATTAAATAAGGGATGCTGGATGTGAAAAGGCACTTTGAAATTGTAAAGTGCTATCTAAATGCTAGTTATCACCAGTACTATCATATCCATTATGGTAGAATTTTCCTGTACCTAACACCTTCTGTGAAATATTCTAAATATTTGAGGAAGAAGAAATGACTCATCTCCTATGGATTAATTAGAAACTCTTAGAAGTAGTGGCCATTTGGGAAAAAAGAAAGGGCCAGAATTTCCAGGGGAGGGTCATTTATTTAGTTTATTTAAAAAATATGGGGAGACCAGCCAATATGATGTAGGGAGAAGAGCAAAAATGGCAGACTAGACATAGCCAGGAAGAGCTTCTCCCATCAACAGACCAGACCATTAAGAAGACTGGCACACTCTGAGCATATCTTCGGAAGAAAGGCATTAAGAGGGGACAGAGGGAAGATGCAAAGTCAGGGGTGAAATGAGGAGGAAGCTAGGAACCCTGCACAGGGTTACTGAGCACCAGGGCTCATTCCTGGTCCTGAGTAACTCATGGAGAAGGGGTGAGTTAAATAGGCATGGAGTAGCCCACTCTCGCCATAGACCTCTGGAATCCTAACTGGGGGAGAACCCATGACACCCACAGACATTTGAGCTGGCAAGGAGAGCTTCATGGGTAGTTGGCAGGGACAGGACTTCTGCCTTTGTGGAGCACAGAGGGTTTGGCGTGAGAATGGCTACAGTGGAGCACAGCCAGGGATGCCCATCCACCAAAGCTTGCCACACTCCTCTAGGTGGCCTTGGCCTTTGTTGACTGTCCCACCTGGATGGAACAGGGACATCTTGCCTATAGGATAAGGCCAGTCTGATCTGAGTGCCCCTGGTCTGCTGGCCTTTCCCAGGGTCCCTGCCTGGCTGCACCTACTTGCAGCACAGCATCAGATGCCAAACCAGGGCACTTCCCAGCAGCCATCACCATGTCTGCTTTACTGGCAGACCCTGCCTAGCCATCAGAGAGCTTTTGCAGAAGGATCACTACTGGGTGTACCCACACACAGCATCCTTCCACTGCTTTGCTGGCATGCATGTGGACCCAACTGACCGGCTGCCCTTCTGCTGCTGGCATGCATACGCACAAACCCTGCAGCTGCTGCCCTGATTAAGCACTTTTGCCAGGACCTCCCAACAATGTTATTGCTGGCAGATCAGGAACATCTCAGCCCCTCCAGTCCAGCAGGTACATAAGCTTGAGGGGCGAGACAACAAAGCAGAGGGCCTGGTCTCAGCCCTCCAGGATTAGAGCACACAGCCCAGGAATGCTGAACTAAGCCTTGGCTACCTGAAATCATCCAGAAATGAAGCCAGTTGACTGAATCCAACCTATAGCACAGTCAAACCCTAAACGGCATCAAAAGATATAAAAGCAGAAGCCCCATCCAAATGACAGCAACTTCAAAGATTAGAGGAACACCAGCCCACACAGATGAGAAAGAACCAGCTCAAGAACTCTGGAAACTCAAAAAGCCTGAGTGTTTTCTTCCATCCAAATGACTGAACTACCTCCCCAGAAATGGTTCCTAACCAGGCTGAAATGGCTGAAATGTCAGACATAGAATTCAGCATGCAGGTCATCAAGATTGTGAAGAAAGTTGAAACTCAATCCAAGGAATCTAAGGAATCCAGTAAAACATACAAGAGCTGAAAGATGAAATAGCCATTTTAAGAAAGAACCAAATTGATCTAATAGAGCTAAAAAACTCACTGTAAGAATTTTGTAATACAGAAGAAATTATTAACAGCAGAATAGAGAAAACTGAGGAAAGATTCTCATATCTTGAAAACTGCACCTTTGAATAAACTCAGTCAGCAAAAATCTTTTTAAAAGAATAAAATAGAATGAACAAAACCCCCAAGAAATATAGGATTATGTAAAGAGACAAAACCTATGATTCATTGGCATCTCTCAAAGAGAGGGAGAGAGAACAATCAACTTGGAAAATATATTTCAGCATATTGCCTGTGAAAATTTCCCTAACTTCACTGGAGAGATCAACATTCAAATTCAGGAAATTTATAGAATCCCTGTGAGATACTATGCAAGACGACTATCCCCAAAACACATAGTCATCAGATTCTCAAAGGTCAACATAAAAGAAAATATATTAAACGCAGCTAGAGAAGCTAGAGAGAAGGGGCAGGTCACCTACAAAGGGAACATCATCAAGCTAATAGCACATCTTTCAGCAGAAACCCTATAAGCCAGAAGAGATTGGAGGCCCATATTCAGCATCATAAAAGAGAAAAAAAAAAAGATTTTTATATCCAGCCAAATTAAGCCTCATTAGCAAATGAGAAATTAAATCCTTTTCAGATAAGCAAATGCTAAGGGAATTCATTCCCACCAGACCTGCCTTACAAGAGGTCCTTAAAGGAGTGTTAAACACAGAAACAAAAGACTGGTATCTGCCACGACAAAAACACATTCAGGTACATAGACAATTAACACTACAAAGCAAGTCTACATAACAACCAGTTAACAACGTGGTAACAGGATCAAATCCACACATATCAACATTAACCTTGAATGTAAATGGGCTAAATGTCCCAATTAAATGGCACAGAGTGGCAAGTTGGATAAAGAAGCAAGACTCAACTGTAATGCTGTCTTCAAGAGACCCATTTCACATGCAGTGACACTCATAGGCTCAAAGTAAAGGGATAGAGAAAAATCTACCAAGCAAACAGAAATCCAAAAAAAGCAGGAGTTGATATTCTAATTTTAGACAAAACAGACTTTGAACTGACAATGATAAGAAAAAGACAAAAAACTGCATTACATAATGGTAAAGGGTTCAATTCAACAAGAAGACTTCACTATCTTAAATATATATGCAACCAACACTGGAACAGCCAGATTCATTAAACAAGTTCTTAGAGACCTACACACAGACTTAGATAGCCACTCAATAATAGTGAGAGACTTCAACAATCCACTGACAGTGTTAGAAAGATAATCAAGGCAGAAAACTAACAAAGACATTCAGGACCTAAACTTGACACTTAACCAAATGGACTTAGCAGATATTTACAGAACACTCCATTCAACAACAAAACACACATTTTTCTCATATAAACATGGCACAATTCCTAAACTGAACTACATTCTTAACTGTAAAGCAAATCTGAACAAATACAGAAAAACTGAAATCATACCAATGACACTTTTAGATCACAGTGCAATAAAAATAGAAATCAATACCAAAATATCTCTCAAAACCATACAATTACATGGAAATTAAACAATATACAAAGATATGACACACCAGAATCTCCAGGACACAGCTAAAGCAGTGTTAATAGGAAAGTTTATAGTATTAAACACCTGCATCAAAAAGTTACAAAGATTTCAAATTAACAACCTAATAGCATGGCTAGAGGAACTAGAAAAGCAAGAGTAAACTACTCCAAAGCTAGCAGAAGAAAAAAACAATAACCAAAATCAGAGTTGAATTGAAGAAAATCGAGATTAAAAAAAACATTCAAAAGATCCATGAAACTAAAAGGCTTTCTTTGGAAGAATAAATAAGACTGAAAGACCACTAATTATACTAATAAAGAAAGAATGAGAGAAGATCCATATGAATACTATCAGAAATGACTAAGGGGATATTATCACTGACTCCACAGAAACACAAAAATCTCTCAGAGACTATTACGAGCACCTCTATGATCACAAACTAGAAAACCTGGAAGAAACTGATAAATTCCTGGAAACATACAACCTCCCAAGATTGAAAGAGGAAGAAATTGAAACCCTGAGCAAATCAATAATGAGTTCCAAAATTCAATTAATAATAAAATACCTACTAACCAGAAAAAGCCCTGGACCAGATGTGCTCATGGCCCAATTCTACCAGATGTATAAAGAAGAGCTTGTAACAATCCTACCATCTATTCCAAAAAATGAGGAGAAGGGACTCCTCTCTAACTCATTCTATGAAGCCAGTATCATTCTGATACCAAAACCTGGCAAAAACACAATGCAAAAAGAAAGCTTCAGCCAATATCCCTGATAAACATAGATGCAAAAATCCTTAACAAAATACTAGCACACCAAATCCAGCAACACATCAAAAGGCTAATCCACCACAATCAACTAGGCTTTATTCCTGGGATACAAGGTTGGTTCAACATGTGCAAATTAATAAATGTGATTCATCACATAGAAATAAAAACAAAAACCACATGATCATCCCAATAGGCACAAAAACAGCTTTTGATAAAATTCAACATTCCTTCATGTTAAAACCTCAACAAACTAGGCATCAAAGACATACTTCAAAATAATAGGAGTCACCAATGACAAACCCACAACAAACATCATACTGAATGGGCAAAAGCTGTAATCATTCCCCTTGAAAACAAGAACAAGACATGGATGTCCACTCTCACCACTCCTATTCAACACATTCACTGGAAGTTCTTGCTAGAGCAATCGGGCAAAAGAAGGAAATAGAAGACAGACATCCAAATAAAAGAGAGAAAGTCAGACTATCTCTCTTCATGGATGATATGATTCTATACCTAGAAAACACCATAGTTTTGGGCCACAGACTCCTAGAGCTGATAAAAAAAAAAACATCAGCAAAGTTTTAGGATACAAAATCAATGTACAAATTTCAGTAGTATTTCCGTACACCAAAAGCATCCAAGCTGAAAGCCAAATCAAGAATGCAATCCCATTCACAATAGCCACAAAATGAATAAAACACCTAGGAATACAGCTAACCACGGAGGTAAAAGATCTCTGTCTACAACAAGAATTATAAAACACTGCTCTAAGAAATCAGAGATGACACAAACAAATGGAAAAACTCTATGCTCATGGATAGGAAGAATCAATATTCTTAAAATGGCCATACTGACCAAAGCAATGTACAGATTCAATGAGAAGCCCAAATAGCCAAAGAAGTCCTAAGCAAAAAGAACAAAGCCGGAGGCATCATACTGTTCTACTTCAAACTGTACTATAAGGCTACAATAACCAAAACAGTATGGCACTAGAACAAAAACAGACACATAGACCAATAGAACATGCTACAGAACCCAGAAATAAAGCTACACACCTACAACCATGTGATATTTGACAAAGTTGACAATAACAAGCAATGGCGAAAAGTCTCCTTATTTAATAAATTGTGCTGGGATAACTGGCTAGCCATATGCAGAAGATCGAAACTATACGTTTTCTTTTCACCATATACAAAATCAACTCAAGGTAGATTAAAGACTTAAATTTAAAACCTAAAACTATAAAGACCCTTGAAGAAAACCTGGGAAATACCATTCTGGACATAGGACCTGGCAAATATTTCATGACAAAGAAATTAAAAGCAATTGCAACAAGAACAAAAATTGACAAATAATACCTAATTAAACTGATGAGCTTCTGCACAGCAAAAGAATCAAAAATGTAAATGGACAGCCTACAGAATGGGAAAAATAATCACAAACTACACATCTGACAAAGATCTAATTTCCATAATCTATACAGAATTCAAACAAATCAACAAGCAAGAATCAAACAACTCCATTAAAAAATGGGAAAAGGACATGAACAGACACTTCTTCAAAGAAAACATACATGCAACCAACAGGCATATGAAAAAATGCTCAACATCACTAATCATTGGAGAAATACAAATCAAAGCCACAATGAGATAGCCATTCCGACTGGTGTGAGATGGTATTATATACTGTATAAGGTAAACTTTATACAGTGCTGGTGGGAATGTAAAGTAGTTCAGCCACTGTGATGCAATTCGTCTATGTAACAAACCTGCACATGTACTCCCTGAACCTAAAAGTTGGAAGGAAAAATAAATAAATAAAATGTATAAAAATATCCATACATTAAATAAAAATGTAAAATTCTGAAAAAAATATGGATTGACAGCTTTAGTCCCAGAAATACTGATTTGGTGGTCTTAATGGAACCCTGGAATTCAGGTTTCTGCAAGCCTTCTAGATGATTTTCATGATCAGCAAAGTTTGGGGATCACTAATCTAAGATGTTAACAATTCCCTTTCACTTCCCAGTGTCTCAAAGCACCTCTCAGTTACCCCTGTCTGGTGAGTTTTCTTTGCATCTTGTTGCCTTATAATTAGTCTGTGCCTTTATGTTCAGTCCCTTTATATTGGTGCTTAAGTTGCACCATTTGCCTCTCAAATCTGTTATCCCTGGACTCCACATTCTGCAGCCTACAAGCCAGGTCTGCCCAGTCTGCGCTCAGCACAGATACTAGCTGTATGTTCTCTCAGGTTTTTAAGGAAATGCTATTTCCAGTACCTCCATTACTGGCCTTGACTTTACTCTAGCTAGAAATTACCTGAATGTAATTGCTGGAACTGAAACTGGCATTTTTGGCTCTAATATCTGCCATCATCCCTACTGCTATTTATTGCTATTTCTGCTGCAGCGACTGCCTGAGAAATGTACTGGTTATGCTAAAACCACATCCTTTCCCCTTCAGATATATTTGCATCAGTAGAACTTGAGCTCTAGGCTCACAGAGGAACACAGTGCAGGCTGTCTTTATGGTGTTTGTGCTAAAGTTGGGGGGATGAAGAGAGGTGTCTTTCCTTTCGATAAGTGGTCTGGTCAGCTGAGACCCATTCCTAGGTTTCAAATAAGCACTGAGGAACCTGGTTGGCAGTCTTACCCAGGAAGATGGTCATTAACACTATTTAAGATTCCAGCAGGGAACACAGGACCATCATAATCAAGCTCCTTGCCCAGGATGCAATGAGTCCCAGGAAAGGAAGATATCATGAGGTCAAAAGTATGACTAACAGTTCATTCAGACGGGCTCATTTATCTGACCACATCCAAGCACACCAGGACTTCCCTGCTACATGACACGTCGACCCACCAACTGCTAACACAATCAGAGTATTTGTCTTTTTTCTCTCAGTGCCACATACATACTTCTCCTGTTGCATTTATCACACCCTATCATAATTTTATGTTTTCAGAGTTCTGCCTTGTCAACTACATTTAGCTTCTTGAGGGCAGGAATCATATATTGCTCATTTGTACCCACCCAGAACCCAATAAAACAACAGAACAATAAATAATTGCTGAATTGGATAAATAAAGGAAACTGTCAAGTTGTCCATTTTCTAGAATAAAATCTTATTTTAAGAGTAAGTAAGATCTTATCACTTCCCTGTGTTAAAACCTTCTGATGGCTTCATAACATAATTTGAATAAAACTCAAGTCTTTACCAAGCCGTATAATTCCCACATGATCTGGCTTCTGCCTACCCCTCTAATTTCATGTCCTTTCTACAGCCCATCCCAACTGGTTGTTTTTGTTTCTTTGTCTCTGGAATGTAACAAGGCCATTATCATCTCAGATTTGTCACATGTGCTATTCCCTCCACCTGGAAAGCTCTGTCTGGTGAACTCTCACTCACTCTTTATGTCTTGGCTTAAATGGCACTTCGTCAGAGAGGCATTCTCTCTGTTTTTCCTAAATCTGAATTAGGTATTACTGTTATTCTATTTCACGTCACAGTTTATAGTTAGAAATTGTATGATTATTTCTTTAATGTTTGTCTGTCTCACATGCCAGATTGCAAATATCATGAAGTAGAAATTTTTGGCCATTTTATTTACCAAGCTAACCTCTACATTAAGTACAATGGTTGGCACATAGCTGGTAATCAAAAAATGTGTTGAATAAAAAGATTTTTTTTCTAGGAAAAAAAATGGTGGATAGGAGGCAGGACCAAATTGCAGTTCCCACTCGGGCAGACAGAGCAGCATGTGGAGACTCGCACCATGAACTTCTGGTCCAAGAACTACTGCAGGAATATACCAGGAAAGCTGAGAGAACCCACAGACCTTTTGAAGGAAGCAGATTGCTCCTGCAGGACCCGGGAGACAGCCGGAATACTGTTAGTGCCCAAACTGTGAAAGTGAGAAAGGGGGATCATCTGCCCCCAAACACACACCCTCACTGAGGAACCTGAAGGTCCAGATCATGGGAGAAGGATTTGACCTTACCTGGAGCTGAGACAATTTAGAGAGCCACGCAAAATACAGGGGTAGAGGAAGCAGCGGGAAGTCCTGTGGGCTCTCTGAGTCCTC
This sequence comes from Homo sapiens, assembly GCF_000001405.40. Taxonomy (NCBI): domain Eukaryota; kingdom Metazoa; phylum Chordata; class Mammalia; order Primates; family Hominidae; genus Homo; species Homo sapiens. The sequence goes on from NC_000023.11 coordinate 152,315,366, forward strand.
AGGAAAGCCATTTCTGACTTGTCTCACAGAGGTCTTTGGGGAGGGCTGCCAGAGAAATTGGGAAAATACCACAGGGAGAAGGAAACCCCCAGCTGAACTTTGTAACAATTCCATCCAAACGTGAAGTTTCCTGGCCAGAACTCAGGGGAAGGCATGAATCTGGTGTGCAGATTCGACAGGTGAGGAGGCGTGAAAGCCCTGCTTGCTTTCTCAGCTGGGAAGCTGGTAGCCTGAGACAAGTTCTCAGCCTTGCTCACCCACTGTCTGGAAACAAACTCGGTGCCATTTGTGGGAGCACGGTAGGAGTGAGACTGGCCTGTTGGGTTGCAAGGGAGCTGGGTGAGGCCTGTAACTGCTGGCTGTCCCCCACTTCCCTGACAACCTGCATGATACAGCAGAGGCAGCCATAATCCTCCTGGAAACATGACTCCATTGACGTGGGAACCATACCTCCATCCCCCACAGCAGCCACAGCAAGCACCACCCAAGGAGAGTCTGAGCTCAGACACACCTAACCCTGCCCCCAGCTGATGGTCCTTCCCTTCCCACCCTGGTAGCTGAAGACAAAGGTCATATTCTCTTGGGAGTTTTAGGCCCGCCCCCCGACCCCCCCCCCCCCCACCACATGATCCTCTCCTGTACTACCACAACTGATGCTCTCTTGAAAGCAACACCTCCTGGCAGGAGACCAACCAGCACAAAATTAGTGTGTTAAACAACTACAACTAAGGGTCCTCACAGAATCCATTTCACTCCGCTGCCACCTCCACTGGAGCAGGTGCAGGCATCCATGACTGAGAGACCTGAAGACAGTTCACATCACAGGACTTAGAGAAATGCAAACTGTACTGAAAAGTCTCAGCAATAGAACAGAAAAAGCAGAAGAAAGCACTTCAGAGCTCAAAAACATAGTTTTTGAAATAACCCAATCCAACAAACACAAAGAAAAAAGAATTAAAACTAATGAACAAAGACTCCAAGAAGTTTGGGATTATGTTAAACGAACAAACCTAAGAATAATTGCCATTCCTGAGGAAGAAAAGAAATTTAAAAGTTTGGAAAGCATATTTGGGGGAATAATCAAGGAAAACTTCCCCAGCCTTGCTAGAGATCTAGACATCCAAACACAATAAGCTCAAAGAACTCCTTGGAAATTCATCACAAAAAGATCATCACCTAGGCACATAGTCATCAGGTTATCTAAAGTGAAGACAAAGGAGAGAATCTTAAGAGCTGTGAGGCAAAAGCACCAGGTAACCTATAAAGGAAAACCTATCAAATTAAGAGCAGATTTCTCAGCAGAAACCCTACAAGCTAGAAAGGATTGGGGCCCTCGCTTCAGCCTCCTTAAACAAAACAATTATCAGCCAAGAATTTTGTATCCAGTGAAACTAAGCTTCATAAATGAAGGAAAGATACAGTCTCTTTCAGACAAACAAATGCTGAGATAATTCACCATTACCAAGCCAGCACTACAAGAAAAGCTAAAAGGACCTCTGAATCTTGAAACAAATCCCAGAAATATGTCAAAACAGAACCTCTTTAAAGCATGAGTCTCACAGGACCTATAAAACAAAAACACAATTAAAAAACCATGTATTCAGGCAACAAATAGCACAATGATTGGAATAGTAGCTCACATATCAATACTAATGTTGAATGTAAATGGCCTGCATGCTCCACTTAAAAGATACAGAATTGAAATGGATAAGAATTCACCAACCAAGTATCTGCTGCCCTCAAGAGACTCACCTAACAAATAAGGAGTTTGCAAATTGACACCAAAAGTGAGCAGGAGTAGCTATTCTTACATCAGACAAACAAATTTTAAAGCAACAGCAGTTACAAAAGTCAAAGAGGGACATTATATAATGATAAAAGGCCTTGTCCAAGAGTAAAATGTCACAAACCTAAATATATATGCACCTAACACTGGAGCTCCCAAATTTATAAAACGATTACTACTAGACCTAAGAAATGAGATAGATAGTAACACAATAATAGTGAGGGACTTCAATACTCCACTGACAGCACTAGACAGGTCATCAAGACCAAGTCAACATAGAAACAATGGATTTAAACTATACCCAAGAAAAAATGGACTTAACAGATATTTACAAAACATTCCACTCAACAAACACAGAATAAACATTCTATTTATCAGCACATGGAATTTTCTCCAAGATAGACCATATGATAGGACATAAAATAAGTCTCCATAAATTTAAGAAAATTGAAATTATATCAAGTACTCTCTCAGACCACAGTGGAATAAAATTGTAAATCAACTCCAAAAGGAACCTTCAAAACCATGCTAATACATGGAAATTGAATAACCTGCTCATCAATAATCATTGGGTCAACAATGAAATCAAGATGGACATTTAAAAATTATTTGAACTGAATGATAATAGTGACACAACCTATCAAAACCTCTGGGATACGGCAAAAGCAGTGCTAAGAGGAAAGTTCATAGCCTTAAATGCCTACATCAAAAAGTCTGAAAGAGCACAAATAGACAATCAAAGGTCACACCTCAAGGATCCAGAGAAATAACGGACCAAACCTAAACCCAGCAGAAGAAAAGAAATAACCAAGATTAGAGCAGACTATGAAATTGAAACAAAAAAGAAACAATAAAAAGATAAATGAAACAAAAAGCCTGTTCTTTGAACAGATACACAAAATTGATAGATCATTAGCAAGATTAACCAAAAAAAGAAGAGAGAAGATCCGAATAAGCTCAATTAGAAATGAAATGGGAGATATTACAGCTGACACCACAGAAATACAAAAGATCATTTAAAGCTAGTATGAACACCTTTACCTGCATAATCTAGAAAACCTAGAAGAGATGGATAAATTCCTGGAAACATACAACCCTCCTACCTTAAATCAGGAAGAATTAGAAACCCTGAACAGACCAATAACAAGCAGTGAGATTGAAATGTTAATTTAAAAAAATTACCAAACAAAAAAACCATAAAAACCCAGGACCAGACCAATTCACAGCTGAATTCTATCAGACATTCAAAGTAGAATTGGTACCAATCCTATTGACACTATTTAACAAGATAGAGAAACAGGGAATCCTCCCTAAATCATTCTATGAAGCCAGTAACACCCTAATACAAAAACCAGAAGAGGACATAACAAAAAAAGAAAACTACAGACCAATATCCATGATGAACATAGATGCAAAAATCCCTAACAAAATACTAGCTAACCAAATCCAACAGCTTATCAAAAAGGTAATCCACCATGATCAAGTGGGTTTCATACCAGGGATGCAGGGATGATTTAACACATGCAAGTCAATAAATGTGATACACCACATAAACAGAATTAAAAACAAAAATCACATGATCATCTCAATAGATGCAGAAAAAGTGTCTTTATTTATGCGGGAAGAGCACTTGACAAAATCCAGCATCCCTTTCTGATTAAAACCCTCAGCAAAGTCAGCATACCTCAATGTAATAAAAGCCATCAATGACAAACCCACAGCCAAAATAATACTAAACGGAGAAAAGTTGAAAGCATTCCCTCTGAGAACTGGAACAAGACAAGGATGCCCATTCTCACCACTTCTATTTAACATAGTACCAGAAGTCCTAGCCAGAGCCGACACAAGAATGGAATAAAGAGCATCAAAATCGGTAAAGAGGAAGTCAAACTGTTACTGTTTGCTAATATGATCATATGCCAAGAAGACTGTAAACAAAGAGAAACACAGCCCATGCTTATAGATGGGTAGAATCAATATTGTGAAAATGACCATATTGCCAAAACCAATCAACAAATGTAATGCAATTCCCATCAATGTACCACCACCATTCTTCACAGAACTAGAAAAAGCAATCCTAAAATTCATATGGAACCAAAAAAGAGCCCACATAGCCAAAGCAAGGCTAAGCAAAAAGAACAAATCTGGTGGCATCACATTACTTGACTTCAAACTATACTATAAGGCCATAGTCACCAAAACAGCATGGTACTGGTATAAAAATAAGCACGGAGACCAATGGGACAAAATAGAGAACCCAGAAATAAACTTAAATACTTACAGCCAACTGATCTTCCACAAAGCAAGCAAAAACATAAAATGGGGAAAGGACACTCTATTCAACAAATGCTTCTGGGACAACTGGCAAGCCACATGTAGGAGAATGAAACTCGGTCCTCATCTCTCACCTTATAGGAAAATCAACTCAACATGGATTAAGGACTTAAATCTAAGACCTGAAACTACAAAAATTCTGAAAGATGACATCAGAAAAAAACCTCAGACATTGGCTTAGGCAAAGCCTTTATGACTAAGAACCCAAAAGCAAATGTAACAAAAACAAAAGATAAATAGGTGGGACTTAATTAACCTAGAGATCTGTACGGTAAAAGGGACAGTCAGTAGAGTAAACAGACAACCCACAGACTAGGAGAAAATCTTCACAAATCTATACATCTGACAAAGGACTTATATCCAGAATCTATAATGAATTAAAAAAATAGCAAGAAAAAAACAAACAATTGCATCAAAAAGTAGGCTAAGGACATGAATAGACAATTCTCAAAAGAAGATATACAAATGGCCAACAAACATGAAAAAATGCTCAACATCACTAATGATCAGGGAAATGCAAATAAAATCCACAATGTGATACCACCTAGCTCCTGAAAGGATGGCCATAATCAAAAACATAAAAAAAAAGACGTTGGCATAGATGCAGTGAAAAGGGCACACTTCTACACTGCTGGTGGGAATATAAACTAGTACAGCCACTATGGTAAATAGTGTGGAGATTCCTTAAAGAACTAAAAGTAGAACTACCATTTTATCCAGCAATCCCACTACTGGATATCTACCCAGAAAAAAAGAAGTCATTATATGAAGGAGACACTTGCACACGCATGTTTATAGCAGCACAACTCACAATTGCAAAAATATGGAACCAGCCCAAATGCCCAGCAATCAATAAGTGGATAAAGAAATTGTCGTATATACATATACTATGGAATACTACTCAGCCATAAAAGGAACAAATTAATGGCATTCTCAACAACCTGGATAGACCTGGAGACTATCATTCTCAGTGAAGTAACTCAGGAATGGAAAACCAAACATCGTATGTTCTCACTCATAAATGGGAGCTAAACTATGAGGATGCAAAGGTGTAAGAATGATACAATGAACTTTGAGGACTCAGGGGAAAGGGTGGAAGGGAGTGAGGAATAAAAGACTACAAATGGGGTTGAGTGTATACTGCTCAGGTGATGGGTGCACCAAAATCTCACAAATCACCACTAAAGAACTTACTCATGTAACAAAATACCACCTGTTCCCCCAAAGCCTATGGAAATAAAAAATCTAAAAAACAAAAAAAATAAAGATGGATAGGTAGGTATACAAATGGAAGGATATCCAGCATATCTGCTTTAAAGTTACCTTGATTTGGTCTTTCTTAACATTAATCACACAGAGGAGGGATCAAACTTCTCAGAGCTCCATATCCTCAATGCTTTGTTATTCTTCCTCCCCAGCCTCCAACTCCAACCTGATAAAGGCTTGGGCCAAAAATAAACATGCTAAAATAAACAAAAAACATTTTTTTCTCTGTTGCCTGATTATTTTATGGTCCCATTTGTTTACCCTTTGAATACCTGGTAATCTATTTGATCACAAATTGTTTTATTTTTATATGTTCCAGAATCTTCTCTGCTATAGACATTAAGACATGGTTGAATAAAATTGGATGATTCAAGGTGGAGAATAAGAAGGAAAAGATAGGGTAAAGATAAAACATCTTCCTGTCACTTCAGCAAGCAGGGCCTCACATACGGTTAAATAACCTCACATAGGTTAAAGCAATGATTCCCAAACTTGGCTACATATTAGACTCACATGGGGAGCTTTTAAATCTTCTGATTGTCCTAGTTCCACCAGTCAAATCAGAACATCTGTGGGTAAAGTCCAAGAATCAGTGCTTTTTATTACGGTAAAATACAGGGAATCAATATTTTTTAAAGATCATCAGGGAATTCCAATGTGCATCAAAATCAGTGCACAAAATCGAATTTAGTGCATCAAAATATGAGCACCACTGTATTGAAGTCTCATGGGCATCATTGTGAGTGCTGAGGGCCCTTGGAAAAGACTGTTGTCATATGACTTCCTTGATTAGTCCTCAGGCATCCCTTCGGTCTAATTCCAGATTCAAACCTACTCTTTGGAGATTGATTTTAGGCATTAATTTAATTGGATCTCTTGGGCAGAAAGTGAAACAAAGTAGTAACAAAAGACTGCAGTCTTTCTGTTGCTATGTAGCATCCCTCTCCACCAATCAGTGATTTCGCAAATGTCCATGAACATTTCTCCGTTTTCCTAGTTAGGTGTTTGTGCAAGAGAACCCTCCTCACAGTTTTCAATGACAAATATTGGGGTTATACAAAGTACACAGACCTTCATGTCAAACATGCTGAATTCCTTTCCTCCCTGTCCTTCCCTACTCTCTCCTCTCTTCTCCCCGCCACTCCTCTCCTCTCCATCAAAAAATAAAGTAAAACAATTTAAAAGTTTCTCAAACATTTAATCATAGAATTGCTACATGACCCCACAATTCCACTCCTAGGTATAAAACCTGAAAACAGGTGTTCAAACAAAAGCTTATACATAAATGTTTACAGCAATACAATTTACATTAGCAAAAAATGGAAGCACCTCAAATGTTTATGAATGAATAAACAGATAAACAAATTGTGGTTTATCCATACAATAGAATATTATTCATTCATAAAAAAGAATGACATACTGATACATGTACTGATACATGGATGTACCTCCAATATATCTTGCTAAATCAAAGAAAGCAGACACAAAAGGCCACATATTGTATGATTTCATCTATACGAAATATTCAGAATGGGTGAGGACATAGAGAATGCAAATTCATGGTTGCCAGGGGCTGAGAAGAGGAGAAACAGGGGTAAACTGCTTAATGGATAAGGGGTTTTACTTTGGAGGGATGGAAATGATTTGGAACTAGACAGAAGTTGTGGTAGCCTAACACTGTGAACATGTACTAAATGCCACTGAATTGTTCCCGTAAAATGGTTACCTTTTTATGTTATGTGAATTTCACCACAATAAATAATTTAAAATAAATAAAGTCAACTCTTTTTTTTTTTTTTGAGATGGAGTTTTGCTCTTGTTGCCTAGGCTGGAGTGCAATGGCACGATCTCGGCTCATTGAAACTTCTGCCTCCCGGGTTGAAGCAATTCTCCTGCCTCAGCCTCCCCAGTAGCTGGGATTACAGGTGCACACTACCACACCCAGATAATTTTTGTATTTTTAGTAAAAATGGGGTTTCACCATGTTGGTCAGGTTGGTCTCGAACTCCTGACCTCAGGTGATCCACCCACTCTGGCCACCCAAAGTGCTGGGATTACAGGTGTGAGCCACTGCACCAGGCCAAAGTCTACTCTTTTTTTTTTTTTTTTTTTTTTTTTTTGAGACAAAGTCTTGCTCTGTCACCAGGCTGGAGTGCAGTGGCGCAATCTCGGCTCACTGCAACCTCCGCCTCCCAGGTTCAAGCGATTCTCCTGCCTCAGCCTCCTGAGTAGCTGGGACTACAGGCGCGCACCACCATGCCCAGCTAATTTTTGTATTTTTAGTAGAGACGGGGTTTCACCATGTTGGTCAGGACGGTCTTGATCTCTTGATCTCGTGATCTGCCTGCCTCAGCCTCTCAAAGTGCTGGGATTATAGGCGTGAGCCAATGCACCCAGCCTCAAAGTCAACTCTTAATTAAAGTCATCTTAATGGCTTTGTCTCCATCAACCACTACCGAATTCTTTGGAGTGGGATATCATTCAGTGTTGCACTCATAGCCATTCTGAGCATGTTTTTTTGTTTGTTTAATCTGTCTTACTTTTATTTTTTACTTCATTTTGAATGTCAGTTCTAGTACAAGTAGCAGCGGGGGATCAGTAAACACCCTGGACTGGAATTCAAGAGGCCAATGTTCTATTCCTTGAACGGGAAAGTTTCCTCTCTGCTATGACCCTGAGTTTTACCATCTATAACCTTCTCACTTTCCCAGCAATGTTTTGAGAACAGAATATTACATAAAAGTAAGGACTAAATGGATGTGAAAGTGCCCTGCCAGCATTCATGAAGGGTAACAAGGATCCTGGGAATCTCTTTGTTTTTTCTTCCAATTAAAGAAAGAATTCCTTCTGCACTAGTAGCAGCTTATAAATGAGTAATATATTATCAGATATATTCTTTTCTTCACATTCTTTGAAGCAACTTTTGTAATGAGAGGATTAAACTGTAATTGCTTTCTGTTAAAAAAATATTAACACCAACCTTTTCTCTAATCATGCTTGTGTGCTTAATACTGTTTACATTTACACTGGTCTTTTTTGAGGAACCTAAAACACAGAGTCTACCTGGGCATAAAATCTGTATTTAGAGAAAATAGAACAAAGAAACTCTTAAGAGACCAAGGATACGTTTGTTTCCCTTAACATAATTCAAACAGCTTAGCTTTGGAAACTAGCCCTTTGTCTCATTGAGCTACTATTTCTAATTTATATGATTTTAAGAAAAACACTATGTCTTATCCAACCTTACATCCCCAGAGCACTTAGCAGAGTATCTGCCTTATTAAAGGAACTTAATAAATGAATTAATTAATGATTTAATCCATCAACATCCCTGTGGCAGTGATGGAAGTCATGAAGCTCATTTATTTGTTGGTGGAATCAGACAACAGAGAGGCTGGAAAATTATCCCAATGCCAAAAAGAATGTTCTTACTTTAACTGTGCTGTGTCATTATCAATAGCTTGGGAAGATAGGCTTAATTAGTTATATAGAATACTTTCTTTATTAAGGCTAATATCAATATCAATCAGCAGTAAAATTCTGGGTCAGACTGGTAAACAAAAATACGTAAGCTTTGGAAAAACAGATAATTATTAGCAGGAGCTACCATGGATTCACTAAAAACAAATTATGCCAAGCCTAACTTTTATGGAAAACAAAATTGCCACACATTTCACATCAAAGAGAGAAGCTGTTGACATTGTGTATCTGAATTTCATCAAGGCACTGACAGACTATATCATGTGTCCATTATGCTACATGGAAAAATTAAATAGATTAGAGAATATTTATATGGCTTCTTAACTGGTTAAAATATATCCAAAGATTTTGTTTAGTAGGTCAATATAAAACACTGATATAGTCTCTAATGGCTAATATCAGGCTTTGTCCTTAAATAATTATACTAAAAATAAAGACATAGAAGACATGATTCAATGATACAGATAAAAATTATAGTCAATACATTGAATAAAAGAAATAGAAAGCTTTATGTGGCTTGGAGTTATTAGAGTATAATATATAAGGTGAAATTTAATACGGATAAATAGAAATTCTTGCATTTGTCTCCAAAAATAAATACTAGGATACATAGGATTGAGGAGATTGGCTGGTCAATGGTTGTAAAAAAAATAATCTACTAGATTTTAATTGATCAAAAAGCATTAAGGTAAGCCAAGTGGGCAATGCCATCACCAAATAGGCCAATTTTATTTTTAGGTTACATTAATGGAAGTGTGATGTGTAAAATGGGAGAGGTGATAGTCCTGTTGTTCTGTGAGATAGCTTGAAAGCATCCAGAGTATTGTGTTCTTTACTAGATAACACACCTTAGGCTGGATATTAATAAACCTGGTAGATTACAGAGCAGCATTTTTCAAGCTGATCTATGGATGACTTGTATCCCAAGTGAGAAGTGATTAGGTGTTTTGTGGAGGGGAGAAAAAGGCCCAAGGTCAAAAAAGACTACATATGAAAACTGTTTCCTGGAGGTTCTAAGATGGCCGAATAGGAACAGCTCCAGTCTACAGCTCCCAGCGTGAGCAATGCAGAAGACGAATGATTTCTGCATTTCTAACTGAGCTTTGAAGAGAGTAGTGGTTCTCCCAGCATGGAGTTTGAGATCTGAGAACGGACAGACTGCCTCCTCAAGTGGGTCCCTGACCCCCGAGTAGACTAACTGGGAGACACCTCCCAGTAGGGGCCGACTGACACCTCATACAGCCAGGTGCCCCTCTGAGACAAAGCTTCCAGAGGAAGTATCAGGCAGCAACATCTGCTGTTCTGCAATATTTGCTGTTCTGCAGCCTCTGCTGGTGATACCCAGGCAAAGAGGGTCTGGAGTGGACCTCTAGCAAACTCCAACAGACCTGCAGCTGAGGGTCCTAACGGTTAGAAGGAAAACTAACAAACAGAAAGGACATCCACACCAAAATCCCATCTGTACGTCACCATCATCAAAGACCAACGGTAGATAAAACCACAAAGATGGGGAGAAACCAGAGCAGAAAAGCTGAAAATTCTAAAAATCAGAGCGCCTCTTCTCCTCCAAAGGAACGCAGCTCCTCACCAGCAACGGAACAAAGCTGGACAGAGAATGACTTTGACGAGTTGAGAGAAGAAGGCTTCAGCAGATCAGTAATAACCAACCTCTCCGAGCTAAAGGAGGATGTTCGAACCCATCACAAACAAGCTAAAAACCTTGAAAAAAGATTAGGCGAATGGCTAACTAGAATAAACAGTGTAGAGAAGACCTTTAATGACCTGACGGAGCTGAAAACCATGGCACTAGGACTACGTGACACATGCACAAGCTTCAGTAGCCGATTTGATCAAGTGGAAGAAAGGGTATCAGTGATTGAAGATCAAGTGAATGAAATGGAGTGAGAAGAGAAGTTTAGAGAAAAAAGAGTAAAAAGAAATGAACAAAGCCTCCAAGAAATATGGGACTACGTGAAAAGACCAAATCTACATCTGATTGGTGTACCTGAAAGTGATGGGGAGAATGGAACCAAGTTGGAAAACACTCTTCAGGATATTATCCAGGAGAACTTCTCCAACCTAGCAAGGCAGGCCAACATTCAAATTCGGGAAATACAGAGAACGTCACAAAGATACTCCTTGAGAAGAGCAACCCCAAGACACATAATTGACAGATTCACCAATGTTGAAATGAAGGAAAAAATGTTAAGGGCAGCCAGAAAGAAAGGTCGGGTTACCCACAAAGGGAAGCCCATCAGACTACCAGTGGATCTCTCAGCAAAAACTCTACGAGCCAGAAGAGAGTGGGGGCCGATATTCAACATTCTTAAAGAAAAGAATTTTCAACCCAGAATTTCATATCCAGCCAAACTAAGCTTTATAGCTGAAGGAGAAATAAAATCCTTTACAGACAAGCAAATGCTGAGAGATTTTGTCACCACCAGGCCTGCCCTAAAAGAGCTCCTGAAGGAAGCACTAAACATGGAAAGGAACAACTGGTACCAACCACTGCAAAAACATGCCAAATTGTAAAGACCATCGATGCTAAGAAAAACTGCATCAACTAACGGGGAAAATAAACAGCTAACATCATAATGACAGGATTATATTCACACATAACAATATTATCCTTAAATGTAAATGGGCTAAATGCTCCAATTGAAAGACACAGACTGGCAAATTGGATAAAGAATCTAGACCCATCAGTGTGCTGTATTCAGGAGACCCATTTCACGTGCAGAGACACATACAGGCTCAAAATAAAGGGATGGAGAAAGACCTACCAAGCAAATGGAAAAAAAAAAAAAGCAGGGGTTGCAATCCTAGTCTCTGATAAAACAGACTTTAAACCAACAAAGATCAAGAGACAAAGAAGGCCATTACATAATGATAGAGGGACCAATTCAACAAGAAGAGCTAACTATCCTAAATATATATGCACCCAATACAGGAGCACCCAGATTCACAAAGCAAGCCCTTAGAGACCTAAAAGAGACTGAGACTCCCACACAATAATAATGGGAGACTTTAACACCCCACTGTCAACATTAGACAGATCAACGAGACAGAAAGTTAACAAGGATATCCAGGAATTGAACTCAGCTCTGCACCAAGCGGACCTAATAGACATCTACAGAACTCTCCACCCCAAATCAACAGAATATACATTCTTCTCAGCACCACATCACACTTATTCCAAAATTGACCACATAGTTGGAAGAAAAGCACTCCTTAGCAAATGTAAAAGAACAGAAATTACAACAAACTATCTCTCAGACCACAGTGCAATCAAACTAGAACTCAGGATTAAGAAACTCACTCAAAACCGCTCAACTACATGGAAACTGAACAACCTGCTCCTGAATGACTACTGGGTACATAACGAAATGAAGGCAGAAAGAAAGATGTTCTTGGAAACCAATGAGAACAAAGACACAACATACCAGAATCTCTGGGACACATTTAAAGCAGTGTGTAGAGGGACATTTATAGCACTAAATGCCCACAAGAGAAAGCAGGAAAGATCTAAAATTGACACCCTAACATCACAATTAAAAGAACTAGAGAAGTAAGGGCAAACACATTCAAAAGCTAGCAGAAGGCAAGAAATAACTAAGATCAGAGCAGAACTGGAGGAGATAGAGACACAAAAAACACTTCAAAAAATCAAAGAATCCAGGAGCAGGTTTTTTGAAAGATCAACAAAATTGATAGACTGCTAGCAAGACTAAAAAAGAAGAAATGAGAGAAGAATCAAATAAACACGATAAAAAATGATAAAGGGGATATCACCACTGATCCCACAGAAATAAAAACTACCATCAGAGAATACTATAAACACCTACACAAATAAACTAGAAAATCTAGAAGAAATGGATAAATTCCTGGACACATACACCCTCCCAAGACTAAACCAGGAAGAAGTTGAATCCCTGAATAGACCAATAACAGGCTCTGAAATTGAGGCAATAATTAATAGCCTACCAACGAAAAAAAGTCCAGGACCAGACGGATTTACAGCCAAATTCTAGCAGAGGTACAATGAGGAGCTGGTACCATTCCTTCTGAAACTATTCCAATCAATAGAAGAAGGGGGAATCCTCTCTAACTCATTTTATGGGGCTAGCATCTTCCTCATACCAAAGCCTGGCAGAGACACAACAAAAAAGGAGAATTTTAGACCATTATCCCTGATGAACATCGATGCAAAAATCCTCAATAAAATACTGGCAAACCGAATCCAGCAGCACATCAAAAAGATTATCCACCACGATCAAGTTAGCTTCATCCCAGGGATTCCAGGCTGGTTCAACATACACAAATCAATAAACGTAAATCAGCATATAAACAGAACCAAAGACAAAAACCACACAATTATTTCAATAGATGCAGAAAACGCCTTTGACAATATTCAACAGCCCTTCATGCTAAAAACTCCCAATAAACTAGGTATTGATGGAATGTATCTCAAAATAATAAGAGCTATTTATGACAAACCCACAGCCAATATCATACTGAATGGGCAAAAACTGGAAGCATTCCCTTTGAAAACTGGCACAAGACAGGGATGCCCTCTCTCACCACTCCTATTCAACATAGTGTTGGAAGTTCTGGCCAGGGCAATCAGGCAAGAGAAAGAAATAAAGGGTATTCAATTAGGAAACGAGGAAGTCAAATTGTCCCCATTTGCAGATGACATGATTGTATATTTAGAAAACCCCATCGTCTCAGCCCAAAATCTCCTTAAGCTGATAAGCAACTTCAGCAAAGTCTCTGGATACAAAATCAATGTGCAACAATCACAGGCATTCCTATACACCAATAACGGACAGAGAGCCACATCATGAGTGAACTCCCATTCACAATTGCTTCAAAGAGAATGAAATATCTAGGAATCCAACTTACAAGGGACATGAAGGACCTCTTCAAGGAGAACTACAAACCACTGCTCAACGAAATAAAAGAGGACACAAACAAATGGAGGAACATTCCATGCTCATGGATAGGAAGAATCAGTATCGTGAAAATGGCCATACTGCCCAAGGTAATTTATAGATTCAATGCCATCCCCATCAAGCTACCAATGGCTTTCTTCACAGAATTGGAAAAAACTACTTTAAAGTTCATATGGAACCAAAAAAGAGCCCACATAGCCAAGACAATCCTAAGCCAAAAGAACAAAGCTGGAGGCATCATGCTACCCGACTTCAAATTATACTACAAAGCTACAGTAACCAAAACAGCATGGTACTGGTATCAAAACAGAGATATAGACCAACGGATCAGAACACAGCCCTCAGAAATAATACCACACATCTTCAACCATCTGATCTTTGATAAACCTGACAAAAACAAGAAATGGGGAAAGGATTCCCTATTTAATAAATGGTGCTGGGAAAACTGGCTAGCAATAAGTAGAAAGCTGAAACTGGATCCCTTTCTTACACCTTACACAAAAATTAATTCAGGATGGATTAAAGACTTAAATGTTAGACCTAGAACCATAAAAACCCTAGAAGAAAACCTAGGTGAAACCATTCAGGACACAGGCATGGGCAAGGACTTGATGACTAAAACACCAAAAGCAATGGCAACAAAAGCCAAAATCGAAAAATGGGATCTAATTAAACTAACGAGCTTCTGCACAGCAAAAGTAACTACCATCAGAGTGAACAGGCAACCTACAGAATGGGAGAAAATTTTTACAATCTACCCATCTGACAAAAGGCTGATATCCAGAATCTACAAGGAACTTAAACAAATTTACAAGAAAAAAATCAAACAACCTCATCAAAAAGTGGGCAAAGGATATGAACATACACTTCTCAAAAGAATACATTAATACAACCAACAGACACATGAAAAAATGCTCATCATCACTGGCCATCAGAGAAATGCAAATCAAAACCACAATGAGATACCATCTCACACCTGTTAGAATGGGGATCATTAAAAAGTCAGGAAACAACAGGTGTTGGAAAGGATGTGGAGAAATAGGAACACTTTTACACTGCTGGTGGGACTGTAAACTAGTTCAACTATTGTGGAAGACAGTGTGGCAATTCCTCAAGGATCTAGAACTAGAAATACCATTTGACCCAGCCATCCCATTACTGGGTATATACCCAAAGGATTATAAATCATGCTGCTATAAAGACACATGCATACATATGTTTATTGTGGCACTATTCACAATAGCAAAGACTTGTAACCAAGCCAAATGTCCATCAATGATAGACTGGATTAAGAAAATGTGGCACATATACACCATGCAATAGTATGCAGCCATAAAAAACGATGCGTTCATGTTCTTTTTTGGGACATGGATGAAACTGGAAACCCTCATTCTGAGCAAACTATCGCAAGGACAGAAAACCAAACACCGCATGTTCTCACTCATAGGTGGGAATTGAACAATGAGAACACTTGGACACAGCGTGGAGAACATCACACACCGGGACCTGTCGTGGGGTGCAGGGAGGGGGGAGGGGTAGCATTAGGAGATATACCTAATGTAAATGACGAGTTAATAGGTGCAGCACACCAACATGGCACATGTATACATATGTAACAAACCTGCCCATTGTCCACATGTACCCTAGAACTTAAAAGTATAATAAAAAAAGAAAACTGTTTCCTATGTATTCATAATTAATATTAACATAAAAAGGAATCTTTGTAGTCTTGCATTAAAAACCCATTTGCCTTTGTTAAGCTACCTAAACATTTGACAAAACAATTTCATTTTTCAAAACACTGGGTCACTTGTTGATTTCTCACAGGATGTTAACATTCAGTGGAACACAGTTTGAGGAATGTTGACTGAGAAGACAGTGATCAGGACTGTGAAACACCCTGAAACCAGAAAACATGAAGGACACTTGAAGACACTAAAGATAGAATTCCCCTCAAATTTCCAGAGGCTCATCACATAAAAACAGACTTTGGAAGGAAAAAAAAAAAAAAGCCAACTCTCCCATAATTAAAACTGGCACCATGAATTCAAAGGGACCATCTACAGAACTTCTTAGGAAGGTTTAAAGTGGGAGCACTAACTCACGAATTAGAGGTAATCAAGCAGAAGCTAGATAGCTAAGTATCAGCAGTGCTACAAAAGGGATTATCGTCCTCAAAGAGAGGCTGGTTGGGAAAAAATTTGGAAGTTTCTTCATGAGTTAACATTCTGTACCTCACTAACCAGCTCATGGACATCTTATGATTTTACAGGCACTTCAACTGGAAGTGTTCTGCGATGCAGAGTAATTCAGTAATGAGTTGAAATTCCATGAAGGTGTTTGCCCAGGGACACACAGAATGCACTCCTTGGTAAAGTAAATATCAAATACCACACTTAATTTCATACCAGCCAGCTATTGCACAGTAGGGGCCCAAGTATAGCAGTAAAACAATAAATTTACCATTTTAGAATAATCAAACTGAAGAATGAAGGAGGTGAAATCTAAACTTATTTACAGGTCAACAAGTAAAGGGACAGGAAGAGATTTAACCAAAGTTGACAACTCATGCTGGTAGAGCTATATAACTAAAGTCTCCTCTCAGTCCAAGACTGTTCCCATCACTCCAATGACTACCAAACCCCTGATGTACTATGATCAATAATAATCTGGAATTGCCTCAAGAATAAACTTATCTTTAGGTTTTAATATATACCTAATTAATGTTAAATAAATCTACATTTAGTCATTAAAGTTTTCTCTGAAGAGTTAAGTGCCCCATCAGCCAAGTTTTGAGTTGGTGTGTTACACTACCACACATCTTCTTTAATTCACCACTATGCCCATTAACTTGATGATTCATTTCCTATTTAACTTCCTTTTAGCTAGAAATCAAAACAGCCCATCAAAATGCTGTAGTTATCTCCTGAATGTCAAAGGAGTCTTTCTTAAACACAAGATCACATCTACTTTTCAATTTGAAAACAATTCTGTGTGCTGTTTCTTATCCAATACTATAAACATTGTTCTGTCAAATATCTTACTAACGTGACTTTTCAGTTATCTTATTAATATGGCTTCTCTCTTCATAATGCATAGAAGACAGAATGCCTACAACCACTAATTCATTCCCTGGGTTCCTTTTTCTGGTGGAGAGTGAAAACTATTTCTCAAAAAAAGCTATGCTAAGATTGCTAATTGGGAGAGGTTATGCCCTTTCTGTCCACCTTGTGTTCATTATTTCAGTTACAGCAAGCACTTTCTCAAGCACTTTCTTTCCCAGTACTTAGGTGGAAGAAAGGGAAGAAAACAAACTCCCACTTACTGAGCATCTATTTGATAGGTTATTTACATAATTTATTTTCTTAATCCTCAGAACAACTTGGCAAGGTATCTCGACCCTTTTTTTTACAGATGAGAAAACAGACTTGGGGAGAACAAGAAAGTGCTCCATGATTAGACAGCTGGAACAACCGGCAGAGAACGGACTGACCTCTTGGTCTGCCTGCCTGTAAAAGCCCTGTTCTCTGGTGCAAACCCTGTTTGAAGGGGCAAAGATCCATGCCAACGCAGAGGCCTGTGTAGACAAAAGCTGCCTTATAATGAGCAGGACCCAGGCCCTAGTGTTTTTGCTTTAACCCACAAGCATCATCTTGCTTCTCATTTTAAAATTTTATGGTCAAAAATTCTCTTTGGAGGCTTGGGAATTCAAATTCAGCAGCTTTAATCATGCTACTTACTGAAAATTTCTTCCTAATGGTATACATTATCCACCCATCACAACTCCCTTTGCACAAGCCAAGTTTGTGTAGATTACTACATGTAGTAAAATCATTTGGATAAGAACTGTGAGCTGAGAATTGGCCATTGTTTTTCTTCCCGGGGCAATTTTGTGATCCTTGGCATTGCTTAGAGGCGAAAGATCTGGGTGTGATCCTGGTAGAAAGCACCAAAGCTTTTAGTGGATACATGAGACTGGTATAATAAAATTGAAAAATTTTATATACATGGCAGCTTTTCTCACAGAACATTTGCTGAATTCTGAGGTTGCACAAGACGCTGAAGAGGCAGGCCAAAATTTCAGAAAAGGAGAACAAAATATCCTGTAGCCTTGCAGTGCTTATGAAACACGGAGAAAAGAACTTCCTTAATCATATAAAAAAATTTACAAAGTAAACCTACAACAAATTCCATTATTAATGGTGAAATATCAAAAGCTTTCCACTGAAATAAGAAACAAAACAAGGATAGCTGCTATTACCTCTTCTGTTCTACTCTAATTGAAGATG
This sequence comes from Homo sapiens, assembly GCF_000001405.40. Classification (NCBI taxonomy): domain Eukaryota; kingdom Metazoa; phylum Chordata; class Mammalia; order Primates; family Hominidae; genus Homo; species Homo sapiens. The sequence goes on from NC_000023.11 coordinate 152,333,476, forward strand.
ATATGAATTTGTATGCAGAAAATCTAAAAGAAATTGTAGACAAATGTTGGAATTAGTAAGTCAGTAGAAAAAGGCTTCCAGATACAAGGGCAATGTGTAAAACCAATCATATCTCTACATAGCTATAACAAATGTTATTTTATCCTTCTTTTGCCCTAATCCTCCTATATTGAAGAACAAATTCTCAAAATGGCATGAAAAATCATATCTCAAGGCATAGATCAAGCAAAAATATGTAAGACCTCGAAAGTGAAAAGGCCAAAACATTATTCAGAGGAATTACAGAATAAAATTAAGAGGAATATACTAATTTATGAATTAGAACATTCAGTATTATAAAGATTTTTTAAAACTCCACAAGTTTACTTATATATTCAATATGAAGCCAACCTGAGTAGATTTTTTTCTCAGAAAATGATAAGCGGATTATAAAATTTATCTAGAAATTTGAAAGGCCATGAATAGTCAAGATAATCTTGAAAATAACAAGGCTGGATGACTTATATTACCAGATATCAAACCTATCATAAATATATAGTAATTAAGATAGAAGTGACATTTATCATGAGAATGAAGTTTGGCCTAAACATATGTAAATCAATCATTGTTATTTACTGTGTCAACACACTAAAAAGAAAAATTATATAACTAGCCTAATAGACAGAGAAAGAACAATTGAAAAATTCTGACGTTCCTGTTAAAAACTTTTAGCAAACTAGGAGTAGAAGAAAACTTCCCAAAATTGATAAATTTCATCTAGGAAAAACCTACACCTATCATCATATTTAATGTTGAAAGACTGAACCCTTTCTCCCTAAGATCAGGAACAAGACAATGGTGTCTGCTTTCACCATGTCTATTCAACATTATATGTGAAGTCTACTCAGTGCAATAAAGAAAGAAAAAAGAGCATCCATATTGCACAGGAAGAATTAAAATGGTCTTTCTTCCTATAGGACATAATCATTTAAGCATATTATCTAATGAATCTACAAAAAAAGCTACTAGAAGTTTCACTTCTGATATGAAAACATGAAGAACTCTGCAGACCTGCTCCTCAGTGAAATGGAAATTTATTATCATTATTTTTCCTTTCTGTGAAGAATGGGGTCTGGCTACGTTGCCCAGCCTGTTCTCAAATTTCTGGGCTCAAGCTATCTTCATGCCTTTGCCTCCCTAAGTGCTTGGATTACAGGTGTGAGCCACTATGCCTGGTCTAAAATTTATTTTTGAAACAACGAAATAAAGTTTCTGAAAATGCTCCTATGGGCATACATAAAATCAAAAAAAAATTATTCAAGAAAAAATGTATTCAAGAAAATCTACTAAAACTGAGTAAGAAAGCAAGAGGTTAGAATATTTAAACCGAGAACCATTCCCACCCACCTGCCAGCTCAGTGAAACAGAAACTCTATTCTAGATGTGTGCAACCAAGAACACAGGGCTCTCTCTTCCCCCATCTCCCAGCTGAAGAGCTATCTTCCTGGGTAAGGCACGACGTCAGCATTTCTCATCCAGGAATAAGCTACCTGTTGCTGAGCTAAATTCTAAGCAACTTTGGCTGAGAGTTTCTTCCTTTCTTGCTCCCAGCCCTCACTTACGGCACGGAGACTCTAACTTGGGAATAGCACTGCTGAGAGTACTGTGGCCTCAAGTTCTCTTGATCTGGCTAATGGAGCAGTGGTCCATGCTCAAAAATGCAAGCTGAGGAGACCTGGGGCCACTGCCATCACCCCTCTACCAAGCACTCAGCAACTAACATAGGGTCGTTCCTCAGAGAAAAGTGTGCCTTGTTCTCACCCCAAGAACTAGAACCATAGCTTAGAGATTTTGCCCAAGAGAGAAGCAGACCATAGAAGAGAGAGCATCAGATCGTTCCCCAAAGGAACTGACTTCATTTGCAACAAAGTATGGAGAAGTTCAAGCCTAGGGGTGCTCTCAAAAACAAGGGAGACTGTAGTGAAAGGCAATTAGGAGAAAACTGAAAGATACATTGGATGTACAGGCCAAACTGCAGACCAGCTAGTTTGCTGGAGAGAAACTGGGAAAAAGAAAGCTAGAAGGAGCCCTTCTGCAGTCAGAACAAATACCAAACAAATCTTTCACCTCTGCAACTATTAAAACCTTCAAAGAATTTTTTAAATTTTATTTTTATAGATTTAAGTGTACAAGTGCAGTTGTGTTACCTGGATATATTGCATAGTGGTGATGTCTGGGCTTTTACTATACCCACCACCTGAAACTTCAAAGATTCTTTTTTTTCAGAGACTGAGTCTCTTTCTGTTTACCCAGGCTGAAGTACAGTGGCACAGTTATGGCTCACTGCCTCTAATTCTTGAGCTCAAGCGATCCTGCTACCTCAGCCTCTCGAGGAGCTGGGACTACAGTTGCATGCTACCATGCCCAGCTAATCTTTTTATTGTTTTGTAGAGACAGGGTCTCACTATAATACCCAGGTTGCTCTTAAACTCCTAGCCTCAAGCGATCCTCCTGCCTTAACCTCCCAAAGTGTTGGGATTACAGGGGTAAGCCAGCATCCTGCCAATTTCAAAGTTTTTTGAAGTATATTTTCTTAATTTATTTAGCACAGAGGTCCAAGGAAAGGAACAAATATTGGTCCCCAAAAGGGCAGTTACTGAGACCTATGTTAAAAGATTTTTTCTATCCCACCCCACCACAGGCCTTTATTCTTTATATTCAATATCTCCCCCCCTTCATTTTTTGCTCCTGCCAATGACACTTATAGTCAAAACTTAGTTATAACAATGGCTCCAGGAGAGTGATTTTAACACAGCCAATGACCAAGTTAATGCTAAGAAACTGTTCCTGCTTCAGCTCACAATGGCTCCACTTCTCCGTATCACTCCTAATGAATATGTAGCTTGGATCGTGTACAATTTAAACCTGTTTCTTGTTCTAATGTCACAAAAATAAAATCCTTTTGGCAGCCAGACAAACATCTTCATTACCAACCATGGGTTTCCATACCTTGCTTGACAATCATCCCACCCATCCCATAAGTTTAAATGTATAATTTGTCAATGAGCAATGTTTTCCTAAGACAACATACACATCTAGAAATACTTGCTGCCTTTATGTAAGTTTGGTGAAGTTTCTTAGTTCATTCAAAATTCAGTGAGACCAGAAAACAAGATGAGTAGAACTGAACCTTTCAGGAACAGCTAATTAATAAAGAGAAAAGCACTTTGCTGGCCTCCTAGAAAGACCCCAGTTTCGTAATTTGGAGTCTTCAGAAGGCTCTGCATTATAATTTCCAGAAGCTGGTTTCAGGAAGAGTTTTAAATATTATGCAGAAAATGATTTTAGGAGTCACAGAATAACATGTCTCAAAGGGGTCTCAAGTGGTCCCCCAATTCTATTTTAAACAGCTTCAAGAGGAAATCCATTGGCTACAAGAGACAAGTCAGAGTCATAGATGTCTTCTAATTCCCCTTCTAGATGGATTCAGATTTGATTAATCCATCCATTAAAAAGATACAAGGAGAGAGAAACTGCAGGTTATGGTTGCAGAGTGTTTGGTCATGTGGATTCCCCCAAAGATAACGCTCAGAATCAAGATAAAATATTTTTTTATAAAAATTTACTGGTGCTTAACAGATGTACACGGCTTTGGGATACATGTGATAATTTAATATATTCATATAGTTTGTAAAGATTAAATCAGTGTACTTAGGATATCCATCACCTTAGATATGCGTCTTTTCTTTGTGCTAGAACCATTCAAATTTTTCACTCCTAGCTGTCTTGAAATAGAAATACATCATTGTAAACTAAAGTCACCCTATTGATTGTACTAACACTAGGTCTTATTTTTACTATCTAATTGTATATTTATACCTAATCAACTTCTCTTCATCTCTCCCTTCCTCCCACCCTTCCCAGCCTCTAGTAACCACCAATCTACTCTCTAACTCCATGGGATCCACTATTTTAAGGTCCACACATGAGTGAGAACATGTGATATTTGTCTTTCTGTGCTTGGCTTGTTTAACTTAACAAAGACCTCCAGTTCCACCCATGTTGCTGCAAATGACAGGAATTCATTATTTTGGTTGGGCATGGTGACTCACAACTGTAATCCCAGCACTTTGGGAGGCTAAGGTGGGAGGATTGTTTGAGCCCAGGAGTTCAAGACCAGCCTGGGCAACATAGTGAGACCCTGTCTCTACAAAAAATAAATATAAAAAATAAATTAGCCTGTAGTCCCAGCTATTCAGGAGGCTAAGGAAGGAAGATCCCGTGAGCCCAGGAAATCAAGGCTGCAGGGAGCCATGATCATGCTACTGCACTCCAGCTCGGGCAACAGAGCAAGACCCTGCCTTACAAAAAATTAAAAAACAAACAACAAATAAAAACAGAAAAAAGAGATTTTGTAATTTTCCGTGGCTGAATAATATTCCATGATGTACATATACCACATTTTCTTTATCCATTCATCTGTTAATGGGCACTTAGGTCGATTCCATATTTTGGCTATTGTAAATAGTGCTGTAATAAACATGGGAGTACAGCTATCTGTTGGATATATTGATTTATTTTAGATATATACCCAATAGTGCAATTGCTGGATCATATGGTAGCTCTGTTTTTAGTTTTCTGAATAATCGCCACCCTGTTCTGCATAGTGCCCATACTGATTTACATTCCACTCAACAGTGCCCAAGGGCTCTCCTTTTACTGTATTGTCACCAGCATCTGTTATTGTCCAACTTTTGGGTAACAGCCATTTTAACTGAGTTGAGATGATATATAACTGTAGTTTCGATGTGCACTTCCCTGATCGTTAATGATTTTGAGCATTTTTTCATGTACCTCTTGGCCATTTGTATGTCTTCTTCTGAGAAATGTCTGTTCAGATCTTTTGTCTATTTTTAAATTGGATTATTTATTTTTTGCTACTGAGTTTTTTGAGATCCTTATATATTCTAGTTGTTAATCTCTTGTCAGATAGGTAGCTTGCAAATATTTTCTCCCATTTTGTGGGTGTCTCTTCACTTTATTGGTTGTTTCCTTTGCAGCACAGAAGCCTTTTAGCTAGATAGAATCCCATTTGTTTATTTTTGCTTTTGTCATCTGTGCTTTCGAGGTCTTACAAAAATAGTATTTGCCCAGACCAACTTCCTGGAGCATTTCCCCAATATTTTCTTCCAACAGTTTTATAGTTCAGGTTTTAGATTTTAGTATTTAATTCATTTTGATTTGATTATTGTGTATGATGAGAGATAGGGGTTGAGTTTCATTCTTCTGCATATAATTATCCAGTTTTCCCAGCATTATTTGTTGAAGCGACTGTCCTTTTATCATTGTATGTTCTTGGATCTTTCGTCCAAGATAAATTGGCTGTAAACATGTGGATTTATATGTGGGTTTTCTATTCTGTTCCACTGGTTTATGTGTCAGTTTTTTGCCAGTATGATGCTGTTTTGATTACTACAGTTTCACAGTTGATTTTGAAATCAGGAGTGGGTTACCTCCAGTTTTGTTATTTATTTTCAAATTGCTTTGGCTATTTGGGGTCTCTTGTCATCCTATGTACATTTAAGGATTTTTTTTTTCCTATTTCTATGAAGAACGTCTTTGGTATATCGGTAGAGATTACATTGAGTCTGTAAATTGCTTTGGGTAGTATTGTCATTTTAACAATATTAATAAATAAACTCAAATACAGCCAATCAATCTTCAACAAAACAAACAAAAACATAAAGTCGGGAAAGAACACCCTATTATGTTGTAATTTTTTTTTTTTTTTAAGACGGAGTCTTGCTCTGTCGCCCAGGCTGGAGTGCGGTGGTGTGATCTCGGCTCATTGCAACCTCCACCTCCCAGGTTCAAGTAATTCTCCTGCCTCAGCCTCCCAAGTAGCTGGGACACGCCACCACGCCTGGATAATTTTTGTATGTTTAGTAGAGACGGGGTTTCACCATGTTGGCCAGGCTGGTCTCAAACTCCTGACCTCAGATGATCTGCCCACCTTGGCCTCCCAAAGTGCTGGGATCACAGACGTGAGCCACTGCCCCCAGCCTATGTTGTAATTTTTTTAAATGTTATAATGCAGAATATGGTCTATTTTCATAAATGTTGCAGTACACTTGAAGAGAATGTGTATTTTGCTGTTGTTGATTGGAATGTTCTATAAATGTCAGTTAGGTGAAGTTGGTTGTTAGCATGGGTCAAGTTTCTGCTTTCTTTACTTATTTTCTGTCTACTTGTTCCATTATCTAATTCGGGCGTTGTTGAAATCTCTAACTATATTATAGACCATCTCTTTCTCGTTTCACTTCTCGGTCTGTACTCCTAGTAATATTCTTTGCTCTCATGTCTACTTTTTCTGATATTAAAATAACTACTCCAACCTTCTTTTAATTTGTGTTAGTATGATGCATCTTTTCCTATCATTTTATCTTTAACCCACTTGTGGTTTTATATTTAAAGTGCATTTCTCTCAGGGAGAAATTTGCTCTTTTTAAATCCAATCTGACCACCTCTGCCTTTAAATATGGGTGTTTAGATGATTTATATTTAATGAGATTATCTGTGTAGTTAAGTTTAAATCTACAACCTTGCTATTTGTTTTCTGTTTGTTTCTTCTATTCTTTGTTAGCTTTTCCTCTTTTTCTGCCTTCCTATGGATTGAATATTTTTCTTATTACATTTTTACATCCTTCGTTGCTTTATTAGCTAAATTTTCAAGTTCTATAGTGCACATCCTTATCACAGTTTACCTACAGGTAATATTATCTCACTTTCTGTGTAATACAAAACTGTTCAATGGCATATTTCCACTTCTTTGTGATTTCATTGACATACATTTTCCTTGTACATATATTACAAGCTACACAATACATGGTTATTATTTTTGCTTTAAGTATTTACTTATCATTTGGTGAGAATTTTTAAATGAGGAACTATTTTACATTTACCCACAGTTTCCATTTCCACTGCCCTTCCCTTCTTTGTATAGATCCAGATTTCTATCTGGCATCATTTTCCTTGTGCTGACACATTTCTTCCAGTACAGATCTGCTGGTGATGAATCTTTTTAAGTGTTTATGTGTTTGAAAAAAGTGTTTATTTTGCCTTTTGGGGGGAAATTTATTTTCTCTGGTTAAAGAATCCTAGGATGGCTTTTGTTCTTCTCTCAGTACTTTAAAGCTGTTGCTCCACTACCTTGTGACAAAAAGTCTAGTATCCTTCTAAAGTTTTTCATCTGCACATAATGTCTTCTTTTACTCTATTTGCTTTTCAGATTTTCTTTTTATCATTGGTTCTAAGCAATTTTTTCCTTTCTCTTGGTGTAATTTTCTTCATGCTTCTTGTCCTTGGAGTTGTTGACTTTCTTGGTTGGGGAGATTGCAATTTTAATCAAAGTTAGAATTGTTTAATTTTTTTATTTCAATACCCTTTGGGTACAAGTGTTTTTGGTTACATGGATGAATTATACAGTGGTGAATTCTGAGATTTTAGTGCACCCATCACTTGAGTAGTGTACGTTGTACCCAATATGTACTTTTTTATCCCATATCTCCCTCTCAATCTCCCACTTCTGAGTCTCCAAAGTCCATTTTATCACTCTGTCTGCCTTTGTGTAATCATAGCTTAGTTCTCACTTATAAGTGAGAACATATAGTATTTGGTTTTCCATTTCTTAGTTATTTCACTTAGTATAATGGCCTCCAGCTCCGTCCACCCAAGTTACTGCAAGGACATTATTCCACTCCTTTTTATGGCCAAGTAGTTTTCCACAATGTGTATGTATCACATTTTCTTTTTCCACTCATTGGTTGATGGGCACTTAGGTTGGTTCCGTATCTTTGCAATTGTGAATTGGGCTGCAACAAACATATATGTGCATGTGTCTTTTTTATACAATGACTTCTTTTCCTTTTACTAGATACCAAGTAGTGGGATTACTGGATCAAATGGTAGCTATACTTTTAGTTCTTTAAGGAATCTCCATACTGTTTTCCATAGAGGTTGTACTAATTTATATGCCCACTAGCAGTGTATAAACGTTTCCCTTTCACCATATCCATAACAACATCTATTGACTTTTTTTTTTTTTTTTTTTGAGTCTTGCTCTGTTGCCAGGCTGGAGTGCAGTGGCGTGATCTTGGCTCACTACCATCTCTGCCTCCCGGATTCAAGCCATTCTCCTGCCTCAGCCTCCCAACTAGCTGGGACTACAGGCACACACCACTACCCCCCGCTAATTTTTTTGTATTTTTCGTAGAGACGGGGTTTCACAATGTTATCCAGGATGGTCTCGATCTCTTGACCTTGTGATCTACCTGCCTCGGCCTCCAAAAGTGCTGGGATTACAGGCATGAGCCACCATGCCCAGCCTGACTTTATTTTGTTTTATTTTACTTTATTTTATTTTATTCTATTTTATTTTAGATGGAGTCTCACTCTGTTGCCCAGGCTGGAATGCAGTGGCGTGATCTCAGGTCACTGCAACCTCCGTCTCCCGGATTCAAGCAATTCTCCTGCCTCAGCCTCCCAAGTAGCTGGGACTACAGGCACACCTCACCACGCCTGGCTAATTTTTGTATTTTTAGTAGAGACGGGGCTTCATCATATTAGCCAGGCTGGTCTCGAACTCCTGACCTCGTGATCCGCCCACCTCAGCCTCTCAAAGTTTTGGGATTATAGGCGTGAGCCACCACGCCCGGCCCTATTGACTTTTTAATAATGGCCATTCTTGCAGGAGGAATGTAGTATCTCACTGTGGTTTTAATTTGCATTTCCCTGATGATTAGTGATGTTGAGCAGTTTTTCACATGTTTCTTAACCATTTATATATATTCTTTTGAGAAATGTCTATTAATGTCATTTGCCCAAAAAGTCAGAATCTTTTGACCAGTTTTTCTTCAAGTATATTTTCTGCCCCCTTCAGATAATCCCATTACAGTTACATTAGACTACATGAAGCTGTACCACAGTGCACTGATTTCCATTTCATTTTTCAGTCTTTCTTTCTCTCCATGTCTTGTTTTTGCTAATTATTATTGCTATATCCTTAGGCTTATTAGCGTTTCTGTCCTTTTTGGGTTGTAGTTTCTTGTTTCCTTGCATGCTTGGTAATTTTTGACTGGAAACTTTTTTCCAGAAAATTTTCTCAAATTTTTTGACTGGAAACTTTTGACTGGAATCATCGTGAATTCCACTTTGTCAGATATCAGATTTTTTTACTGCTATAAATATTTTTGATTTTTGTTCCGAGATAATGTGTTACTTAGAAATAGTTAAATTCTTTGAAGCTTGATTTTAACCTTTGTCATGTGGGACTAGAGCAGCCTTTAGTCTTGGGATAATTTTGCCATGCCACTGAGGCCATATTCTAAGTACCCTACCCCATGTACCAGGTGTTAAAAGTGTTTCCACCAAGTAGAGTGATGGAAACTCTGGTTGGTGAAAACACAAGTTATTCCAAACCCTGATGTTTTACCCACTGTTTCCAGTGGTCTTTTCCTCATCCTTGAGCTGTGAGGTAAGGAGTACATCCTTGAGTTGTGAGGTAAGGAGTACATACTTGAAAACTTGTGAAGCACCCTCTACAGATTTCTGCTTTCTCTCTCTCTGTCTTTCTCTCCACAACTTTTTAGTCTCCATGCAGCTCTATCTTCTCCTCTGCCTTATGAATTAATAACCTTGGCCTCCCCAATTTCTCAACTTCTTCTCAACTGAAACAGTCCACCAGACGCTATCTGGGCTCCCCTCCCTGCACTGTAGCCTAAAAATTTGCTCCAGGCAGTTAAGGATCAGCAATCACAGAGCTCACCTTGTTTGTTTTCTTTCTTTCAGGAATCAATATCCTGTGCTGCCTTTGTTTGATTTCTATAAAACACTATATATTTGTTCATTTCTTTGTGGTTGTTTAAGATGGGAGAGTAAATCTGGTCCTTATTTTCTTTCTCTTCTTTCCATATTAATTGTTCCAACCTCAAATCCAAAAAAAAAAAAAACAAAACGCAATTGCACCATTCTCCCTCCAGTCTTCCCTATTTTAGAAAATAGCACCACCCAGTGATACAAGCCAGGAACCTAGAAGTTATCCCTTTCTCCTCCTCTTTTTCTAACCCCATAATCTAAGCAGTCACCAAATTCTCTCCATTCACACAGTCATTATTTTCATCCTAGAAAATTGCAATTAATTTGTGACTGGTCTCTCCTCCTTCAATACCGCTCTACTCTAATCCATTATTTATATAAAAGCAGGCGTTACATAGCCTTAGTCCAAAATCAAAACACAATGAAAAAACTGCAAATATATATTTAACTTTACTTAATGTGTTTATTGTAGTACTATGGGTGTAGTAATTTCAAAATATTTTTGTATATTGTAGGATTAAACAAATGGGTACATGTATCAATTAAAAGTACTTGTTGGACTGCAATTAGTAGTATCAGTGTAAACTTATTGCCATACATGCACACACACATACATATACATATATACAATACATCTGTGTGTGTATATGTGTGAGTGTGTGTGCATTTGCTATTTTCCCAGTTCTATCTACTGAAAAATCCTGGAAGCAATGAGATCCTAGCAGTAATGAGGACACCTAGCAGCCAGAAATTTGATTCTAAATGTAATTTCCCAAAAAAGGTACCACTTATTCTTGGAAAAATGACTAATTCCAAGGCTGGATTATGAAAGTACAAAATAAGTCTGGAATATACTGTCATGCCATATAATAAGAAAGTACTCAAAAAATGAGAGCATATCAAAAGGAAACAGAAGCCAAATGGAATAGGCTTCCACTTAGGGAATATGGGAAATTATTAGCAAAAATTTTAATCAAAATAGTCTATTGAAATGAATGATATTAATGGACTGTAATCCACCGAATAAAGCAAAAATCCATTCATACTGACATTAGCTAATTAATTAAAGAGAAAGAGATTTTTTCTTACAATAGAATGTCATTTAGTAAGTGTAGAATAATAATCGCTTTAGAAAATCACCATTTTGCCACCATAATTGTTATTAGTCTCACAGGGATAATCTATAGTTGTTAAGACTATTGGGTGTAAGCTGGAAAAGGCATAAAATAGTGTCAGAACATCTCTCCACAAATTACGTATTAATTATAAACTTTTAAAATAGTAATTTTAGAGTGCAGCAACCTGGTAAACATCTACATTAACATTACCAGTAATGGAGCAAACAGACTTCAAGTCCCTTCTTGAGCAATGTGCTGATAAAGACATAATTAACTCCTATGGTGTTACTTTGAAAATAAATATGGAAGATTTAATCAATGTCATGAAAGACAAAGAAATGCTGAGTGTAGGCTAAACAGACACAACAATAAATGTAATGCATAATCCTAGATTGAATCCTAAATCAATGAAAATTTCTATAAAGTACATTTTGGGGATAATTGGAAAAATTTGAATATGGACTACAGATTACAAAAGAGCATTAGATTACATTTTGTGAATTTATAATAACCCGTGATATATTATAATATATTTACCTTATTGTGATCATATTGCTGATTATACTAAACTGATGGCCAACTAAGATCTCACATAGCCAGTAGATTATTCCTTTTTGGAGTGTCAGGCTGATATATGCTCAGGGTTTTGAAAACAAAGGCATGTTTCTCAGCTTTTCCTGGACCACACCAGTCACCCAGGCAGGTATTGGTATTCTGTTACTAGAAATGGGCATTGTCTAACCTTGAGGGAGAGATGCTCCTCAACTTACAAGACCCCATCCCAATAAACCCATCATAAGTTGGAAATATAGTAAGTCTAAATCCATTGGGCTATGTCCCATAAACCCATCATAAAGACAAAAATCATACGTCAAACCATTGTGAGTCATGGAACATCTGTGTATTACTCCATATGCACCTAGCAAAAACCTAGAATCTTCTGAAGCCAGACCAGAGAAATCACCTACTGAAATGAAGGATTATGACTAATTTTTAGTGCTCATAGGGAAGAAATTCAGCTTTACACTAATCTCATTGGCCAATAGACTACTGAAGGCACCTTATAACTGTTTTTAGATAACAATGGCCAAGAAGAAGATCTGAAAAGGACTTCAAAGATCTTAAAAGGACTGACCTCCAAGCCCAGGTCGCAGCCGGTTGTCATAGCCGTCCAGAAGACGATCCAAGATTCTGGTGAAGATAGTGATGTTGTCAGTGCTGTCATCAGGAATATCTGGGGCATGCTTAGGAGACAGCCTGAGGCAATGCAAGGAAAAGAAAAAAAATAATAGTTCTTAATAGGAAAAAAAATACATGACTAGATATCGTAATTCAAGATTTCAATTAATAGACTGGGCCAATTACATAGACCTATATCTTATCCAAAATAGCAATCACTACATATTTGTCACAATGATTGCTTGTGTAGGAGGCAGACAGTGTGGTTAATACTCGAACTCTTACTCTAGCATTGGTATGAGCTTTGCCAGGCATATATCCTGGCCCCAACCCAGCAGTAAAGAGACACAAGTAGAAATTCTGGACAGAATGTCACTGAGAACATTTCCCGGCATACAGTTGGTTCATCAAATTGTGTTGCATGATTAAACAGGCATCAAAATAAAGAAGGGAAATGTTACTGAGAACTTACCTCACTTCTAGCCCAGAGAAATTTAAGTTCACAGAAAAACAGGGTTAGACAGATCCTTAAATTGTACATAGTCTACTTCTACCCTCATCCTATGGGGAAAGGGAAAACTATTTGCTGAATATCAAGAACATACACTGGAAAAAAAGACAGTCTTTTCAATAAACGGTGCTGGGAAAACTGGATATCCATATGCAGAAGACTGAAACTAGACCCCTATCTCTTGCAATATACAAAAATCACATCAAAATGGATTAAAAGACTGAAATCCAAGACTTCACACTATAAGACTACTACAAGAAAACTTTGGGGAACATCTCCAGGACATCAGTCTGGGCAAAAATTTCTTGAGCAATACCCTACAAGCACAGGCAACCAAAGCAAAAATGGACAAATGGGATCACATCAAATTACAAAGCTTCTTCACAGCAAAGGAAGCAATCAACAAAGTGAAGGGACAACCTACAGAATGGGAGAAAATATTTGCAAACTATCCATCTGACAAAGAATTAATAACCAGAATAGATAAAGAGCTCAAACAACTCTGTAGGAAAAAGTATAATAATCCAATTAAAAATGGGCAGAATATTTGAATAGACATTTCTCAAAAGAAGACATACAAATGACAAACAGGCATATGAAAAGGTGCTTAATATCACTGATCATCAGAGAAATGCAAATCACAACTACAATAACATATCATCTCACCCCAGATGAAATGGCTTACATCCAAAAGACAGGAAATAACAAATGCTGATGAGAATGTAGAGGAAAGGGAACCCTCGTACACTGTTGGTGGGAATGTAAATTAGTACAACCACTATGGAGAAGAGTTTGGTGGTTCCTCAAAATATTAAAAATAGAGCTACCATATGATCCAGCAATCCCACTGCTGGGTATATACCCCAAAGAAAGGAAATCAGTATATCAAAGAGATATCCGCACACCCATGTTTGTCACAGGACTGTTCACAATCGGTAAGATTTGGAAGCAACCTAAATATCCATAGTAGATGATTGGATAAAGAAAATATGATACACGTACACACTGGAGTACTATTCAGTCATAAAAATAATGAGATCCTGTCATTTGCAAAACATGGATGAAACTGGAGATCATTATGCTAAGTGAAATAAGCCAGGCACAAAAAGACAAAAATTGCATGCTGTCATTTATTTGTGGGAGCTAAAAATTAAAACAATTGAACTCATGGAGATAGAGAGTAGAAGCATTGTTACTAGAGGTTGGGAAGGATAGTGGAGTGGTTGAGGGAAAGTGGGGATGGTTAATGTGTATAAAATAATAAAAAGAATGAAACCTAGTATTTGATAGCACAAAGGGTGACATCAGTAGTAATAATTTAATTGTACATTTTAAAATAACTAATTGGATTGTTTTTAACACAAAGGATAAATGTTTGAGGGGATGGATACCACATTCTCCATGATGTGATTATTTCATATTGCATGCCTGTATCAAAACATCTCACGCACCCCATAAATATATATACCTATGATGTACCCACAAAAATGAAAAATTAAACAATTCTTTAAAATCCTGAATAGAAGGCCAATACACTGTGCTTGCTTTCTTACTGAAATACTAGCTTCCATGAGAATGCATTTCCATTTCCTCCTGGTGACTGTTGATATCTTAGCATCATTCTTCATCAAAAAGTTGAAAACTTTTAAGTCAAAAAGCAATGCTAGTTTGTGACCAGTCTGGACAATATGGCGAAATCCTGCCTCTACAAAAACACAAAAATTAGCTAGGCATGGTGGCACACCTGTAGTCCCATTTACTGGGGAGGCTGAGGTTGGAGGATTACTTGAGCCTGGGAAGCGGAGGTTGCAGTGAGCTGAGATCATGCTACTGCATGGGCAACAGAGCAAGACCCTGTCTAAAATAAATAAATAAATAAATAAAAATCAATGCTAAATATCACCCCCAAATTATTTTCAATATATTGTTCTATGGTTTTATTCTTTATTACTGATTTTTTTTCTCCTAATGTGCACTAAATTATTGTGTGGGGAAGCAGATTTAATCTGCGACCTAAGTAGAACTCTTTCTTATTCAGTAACTAAACTGCAACGTGATCCTATAGTTTGAATTCAAAGGTAGTTTGGGGAAAAAAGGAATCATGGCATGTCAGAATTATGGAGAAGCTTAGATATTGTATAATTCTCTCCCTTCATTTTACACATGAGACACCTAAGACACCAACACCAAAGAGAGAAATGAATTGCTTGATGCTATGTGTTTATCAACTTAATGAGAGCAACACTAAAACATGTCCATTGCACCTCATATTTGCCACTACTGGTTAGATAAAATATGATAATAATAATAATTCATCATTGAAAAATGAAAATGACGTTACTAATACACTATCTGAAGGTTATGCCAAGTTTAGTCATTTTCCTAGCCCTAAAGATGGATCAGTGGTAAATTCACAGGACCAGAATCAAATGACTAGAATTTAGTTCTGTCTCTGCCACTAACTGACTGTGAGACCTACAGGCATACCTCTGGGATATTGTGAGTTTGGTTCCAGGCCACTGCAATAAAGCAAATATCACAATTAAGTGAGTCACAAATATTTTGGTTTCCCGTGCATGTAAAAGTTATGTTTATACTGTACAGCACTCTATTAAGTGTTCAATAGCATTATGTCTAAAAATCAATTTACATACCTTAATTAAAAATACTTTATTGCTAAAAAAATGCTAAGAATCATCTGACGCTTCAACAAGTCATAATCTTCTTGCTGGTGGAAGGTTTTGCCTCAGTGTGGATGGCTGCTGACCAGTCAGGGCAGTGGTTGCTAAAGGTTGGGGCAGCTGTGGCAATTTCTTAAAATAAGACAACAATGAAGTTTGCCTCATCAATTGACTCTTCTTTTCACAAAAGATTTATCTTCAGCATGTGATGCTGTTTGGTCGCATTTTACCCACAGTAGAACTTCTTTCAAAATTGGAGCCAATCCTCTTAAACCCTGGCACTGCTTTATCAACTAAGTTTATGTAATATTCTAAATCCTTTGTTGTCATTTCAACAATATTCACAGCATCTTTACTAGGAGTAGATTCCTTATCAAGAAATCACTCTCATTGCTCGTCTGTAAGAAGCAACTCATCCCTTCAAGTTTTTTCACGAGATTGCAGCAATTCAGTCACAACTTTGGGCTCTAAAAGAGCTCCTGAAGGAAGCGCTAAACATGGAGAGGAACAACCGGTACCAGCCGCTGCAAAATCATGCCAAAATGTAAACACCATCGAGACTAGGAAGAAACTGCATCAACTAACGAGCAAAATAACCAGCTAACATCATAATGACAGGATCAAATTCACACATAACAATATTAACTTTAAATGTAAATGGACTAAGTGCTCCAATTAAAAGACACAGACTGGCAAATTGGATAAAGAGTCAAGACCCATGAGTGTGCTGTATTCAGGAAACCCATCTCACGTGCAAAGACACACATAGGCTCAAAATAAAAGGATGGAGGAAGATCTACCAAGCAAATGGAAAACAAAAAAAGGCAGGGGTTGCAATCCTAGTCTCTGATAAAACAGACTTCAAACCAACAAAGATCAAAAGAGACAAAGAAGGCCATTACATAATGGTAAAGGGATCAATTCAACAAGAAGAGCTAACTATCCTAAATATATATGCACCCAATACAGGAGCACCCAGATTCATAAAGCAAGTCCTGAGTGACCTACAAAGAGACTTAGACTCCCACACATTAATAATGGGAGACTTTAACACCCCACTGTCAACATTAGACAGATCAACGAGACAGAAAGTCAACAAGGATACCCAGGAATTGAACTCAGCTCTGCACCAAGAGGACCTAATAGACATCTACAGAACTCTCCACCCCAAATCAACAGAATATACATTTTTTTCAGCACCACACCACACCTATTCCAAAATTGACCACATAGTTGGAAGTAAAGCTCTCCTCAGCAAATGTAAAAGAACAGAAATTATAACAAACTATCTCTCAGACCACGGTGCAATCAAACTAGAACTCAGGATTAAGAATCTCACTCAAAACCGCTCAATTACATGGAAACTGAACAACCTGCTCCTGAATGACTACTGGGTACATAACAAAATGAAGGCAGAAATAAAGATGTTCTTTGAAACCAACGAGAACAAAGACACAACATACCAGAATCTCTGGGACGCATTCAAAGCAGTGTGTAGAGGGAAATTTATAGCACTAAATGCCCACAAGAGAAAGCAGGAAAGATCCAAAATTGACACCCTAACATCACAATTAAAAGAACTAGAAAAGCAAGAGCAAACACATTCAACAGCTAGCAGAAGGCAAGAAATAACTAAAATCAGAGCAGAACTGAAGGAAATAGAGACACAAAAAACCCTTCAAAAAATTAATGAATCCAGGAGCTGGTTTTTTGAAAGGGCTTTATTTCTAATTATAGTTTTCTTGCTATTTCCACCACATCTGCAGTTACTTCCTCCACTGAAGTCTCGAACCCCTCAAAGTCACCCATGAGGATTGGAACCAACTTCTTCCACACTCCTGTTAATGTTTATATTTTGACCTGCTCCTCTGAATCATGAATGCTCTTACTGATATCCAGAAAGGTGAATCCTTTCCAGAAGGTTTTCAATGGGCTTTTCTTGGATCCATCAGAGGAATCACTATCTATGGAAGCTATAACCTTATGAAATGTATCTCTTAAATAATAAAACTTGAAAGTCAAAATTTCTTCTTGATCAATGGGCTGAAGAATGGATGTTGTATTGTAAGGATGAAAACAACATTCATCTTGCACATCTCCATCAAAGCTCTTGGGTGACCAGGTGCATTGTCAATGAAAAATAATATTTCAAAAGGAGTACTTTTTCCTGGGAAGTAGACTGCAACCGTGTGCTTAAAATATTCGGTAAACCGTGCTATAAACAGATGTGCTGTCATTCAAGCTTTGTTATTTCATTTACAGAGCATAGAGAGAGTGGATTTAGCATAATTCTTAAGGGTCCTAGGATTTTCCCAATAGTAAATGAACAATGGGCTTCAGCTTAAAGTTACCAGCTGCATTTGCCCCTGACAAAAGAGTCAGCCACTGCTTTGAAGCTTCAAAGTCAGGCATTTACTTCTTCTCTCTAGCTATTAAAGTCCTGAAAGACATCTTCTTCCAATAGAAGGATGTTTCTTCTACCAAAATCTGTTGTTCATGTAGCCACCTTTATCAATTATCATAGCTAGATCTTCTGGAGAACTTGCTGCAGCTCCTCCATCAGCACTTGTGTCTCACCTTGCACTTTTATGTTATGGAGATGGCTTCTTTCCTTAAACCTCATGAACCAACCTCCACTAGCTTCAAACTTTTTCTGCAGCTTCTTTATCTCTCCCAGTCTTCACAGAACTGAAGGGAGTTATAGCATTGCTTTGAATTAGACTTTGCTTGAAGAGAATGTTGTGTCTGGCTTGATCTTCTATCCACTAAAACTTTCTCCATATTTGCAATAAGGCTGTTTCACTTTCTTATCATTTATGTGCTCACTGGAGTAGCATTTTTAATTTCCTTCAAAAACCTTTCATTCGCATTGACAACTTGGCTAACTGCTTGCCACAAGAGGCCTAGCTTTTAGAGTATCTCAACTTTTGTCATGCCTTCCTTACTAAGCTTAATCATTTCTAGCTTTTGATTTAAAGTGAGAGCCATGTAAATTTTTATTTCACTTAACACTTAGAGGCTATATAGGGCTACTAATTGGCCTATTTTCAACATTACTGTATCTCAGGGAGAAGGAAGGCCTAAGGAGAGGGAGAGAGACAGGGGAATGGCCCTTCAGTGGAATAATCAGTCAGAGCAAACACAATATTTACCGATTAAGTCCACTGTCTTACATGAGTGGAATTCATGGTGCCCCAAAACAATTAAAATAATAACATCAAAGATCACCAATCACAGATCACCATAACAGATATAATAATCAAGACTTTGAAAATTTGCAAGAATGACCAAAATGCGGCACAGAGACATAAAGTGAGCACATGCTGTTGGAAAAATGGCACCAATAGACTCACTCAACACAGGGTTGCCACAAACATTCAATTTGTAAAAAACATGCTATCCACAAAGCACAATAAAGTGAAGCACAGTCAAATGAGGTATGCCTGTATTTCCATATATGTAAAATGGGGATAACAATAACCTACATTAGAAAACTTTTGAAATAAATAGGTAAATAAGATAATAAATACAAAATTGTTTTATAAATGAAGGTTGTTCATTAACTTCCCCCCAAACTCCTGAAAATGCAATGAAAAACCTTTACAATACATTATCTTTTAGGCAATGGGAGAAAGTCAAGATCACTGACCATCTAGAGCATCCTCAATGAAGCTGTCAAACTCATGCTGTCACTGCCAGCATCCTTCATTGAGGATCCTGGTGTGTTTATGTTAAGGGAAAGCAGGAGAGGCACAAATGTGGAGTTGCTGACGCAGTTCATACAACATCCCAAAGAGGAAAGATACTTACTTCATTAAAAGGATGGCATTTTTCCTAAACCACATATTTCCTGGGAGAGAGCAGATTTTTTTAAATAATAAAAATTCGGAATTACTGAGCATATTATGTCTCTGCATCGCTCACAAACCTTTCATAACTCTTCATAGCTAACCAAATAAAATTCCAATGCCTAAGCCTGACAATCATGGCCTTCTGCAATCTGTTCCTGATATACTTTTACAGTTGCAAATTCTACTACTTCTCTTTCTGACCACCAATCACAGGCAAATCAGATTACTCACCATTTCCAAATATTCCTCATGTTTTCATTTTTCAAGTCCAGTCTTTCCTATAAGTGGAAATGTTCAACTAAAGATTCAGCACTAAGGATGCCAGTTATATACTAGGGAGGAAATGAGAAACACCTAGAATTCAATAGCACACTTTCTCTTTACAGAAGCTGCTTGAAGAAAAAAAAAAAGAAGAAGAACTAACCTGATTTTGGCTAGAATACGCCAAATCCATCTGAAAAAGACAGCTGTTCTTTTCTGAAATAGCTTATATGGACTGGTAATAAAACTACAGAGGTACTGACTTGAGACACACCTACCCACTTGGTAAAATAAAGACCAAGTCCTTCATGCCTTCTTAGTAACTAAAAGCCACTGCTTCACAAAAAAGAGAAATATTTAATTAGTATATGTTGTGAATGATAAAATAAGCTAGTAGACATATGATTCCATGTGACCATAAGCAGACATATCGCAATTTAAAATGTGTCATGAACCAAAGTTTGCAAAGAAGCAGGGGTACATTCTTCCTTTGAAACAATGCCATAAAGGGTAGCTAGTTTTCTAGACAAGAGTAAGCAATACTGTTTCTCATGGTTAATCTGAATGACTGTAACCATAGTGCCAATGCATGAGCACTATTTTGGCAACGTTTCTGGTTAAGCAGGTATTAATAGGCCAACCTGAGAACCATTTATAACACTGTTTATGTGGAAAGACATTTTTTGACACAAAAGAAAAGAAAACTAAAGTACTAAAAATATTATCTCCCCTACTATTATTTGTTCTTTACCCCCACACCCACAGCCATGATCAAAGCAATGAGCTGGCCATCAGCTCAAAGACTTTGAATTAATCCTGATGGTTGATATCCTTACAATGGCGAGTCCCGACAGTCATCACCCTAAGCAAGTGATAAAATTCAGTATCAGCCATACTGAGACAACCTTGCCTCCTGACATAACGCAACAGGAAGCCACAACATCACCTACAAAGTATCATTGATTGTGGCCTCAC
The DNA here is from genome assembly GCF_000001405.40 of Homo sapiens. Taxonomy (NCBI): domain Eukaryota; kingdom Metazoa; phylum Chordata; class Mammalia; order Primates; family Hominidae; genus Homo; species Homo sapiens. The sequence continues at coordinate 152,353,904 of NC_000023.11, forward strand.
ATGTCCATCCCTGTTCTGTGTTACAAATTCTGCACTTCCACCTCAAAAGGGAAAATGGTAGGATAAAATTACATTTCTTATTTCTCCAGGTCCTATAAGAAAAATGCACTTGCCACATCTGAACATGGTCTACCCAGCTATGTGGCTGAGATATTAAGAATTCAGTGGTTGAGAGGTTACTATATGTAAGTAAATATTCAGGTATGTAAAAGAAATTGACATGTGCCTCATTCTTACTTAAAAGTAACCAAACTCAGGAAAAGCAATATATCATAATGATTAATAGCATGGACTCTGGAACCAAACTTTCTGGGTTTCAATCCTAACTCTTCTATTTTCTAGCTGTGTGAGCTTTGGCAAGTTACCTGACCTCTCTCTGTCTCCATATTTTATCTGCAAAGGAATAATAACATCACTTAGCTATCAGGTCTGTTATAAGGATTATATTAATCAACATATATTAATAACTTAGAATAGAGCTTGGTATATA